>NC_000011.10:61191740-61494770 GCF_000001405.40 Homo sapiens | reverse complement strand
CAGAAGGGTTAAGTGACCGACTGATGGCAGGGAGCTGCCTTGGGTTGTGGAGAGCTGGAATCTGAACCCAGGCAGTCGGATTCCAGGGCTCAGGCCTGTGACAGGTACACTCTGCCGACTGCCTGGGCCTGGAGGGGAAAGAGCTCTGGGGCTGATGCTCTCTGGAAGCAAGGGGATGAGGCCACTGAAAATGAAGCCATGGGGTCAGCGCCCCTGGCCTGCTGCTCCTCTGGGCCATCCCCTAGGGGCTAACTGCCTCACATGTCTTCTAAACTCTCATGCTGAGAGACCGGAACTCTCCCACTGTCCCCTGACATCACAGAGCAGAAGAGGGAAGCCACACAGCAAGATGTCCTTTCAATAGGGACTGGCATCCTGAGGAGCCACCAGATAGAAAGTGTCCCCTCTTCCTGTCCTGGGGACACGGAGAATTTCCCAGCACTGACTCTACCCTGGTCTTGGCGCCTACCAGGGGCCAAGGCTGGAATGTAGAGGCCCTTAGGCCACTTGCAGGAGAGCTTAATGAGGTTGGTCAGAGGCTGGGCTCCGTGCAAGGGGAGACCAGGGGGCACATTCAGAGAGGAAAGGTGCATCCTGGGGGCAACGCAGTGGTCCATAAGGGCCACGGCCATGGCAGCTGGGCAAGTAGCGGGTAGCAAAATGGGAGCCAACTGCATGGACTCAGGGAGGCTGGGCGACTGACATCCTGGTAAGGTGGGTGATGCCTAGAAGCCCACATCTGCCATATTCATTCATTCATTCATTCATTCATTCATCTGGTATTTACTGAGCACCTCCATATGTGCCAGGCACTGTCCTGGGCTTTGGACTTTCAGCGTAAACAAGGCATATATGGTCCGTGCCCTTGTTGAGGCTCATAATTGAGAAGGGCTCCTTAGCATGGCCTTCGAGGCGCCCCCAAATCTGACCAACCTGCCTTCTCCGGTGCTGTGCCTCATGAATTCTCCCCCTGCCCTGGCCAAACTGCCGCCTGGTGCAGGACAAGGGAGGTGGAGATGATGGAGCGGGTGTAATCAGGCTCCAGTGTCCCCGGCACCATAACTCCTCCACCCCACATTGAGCCAGATAGAGGAAGGATGGGCAGGAAACATGAGCTGTAAAAGGACACTCGGAGGAGAAGAAATGAAGACGCGAAATAGAGATGAGGGAGGTGCCGCGTGTGTGTGTGTGTGTGTGTGTGTGTGTGTGTGTGTGTGTGTCTGTGCTGAAAGTCTCGGTACATCTGTTTTTGTGTCTGTGTGTCCAGCATGGTGGCTTATGTCTTTAATCTCTGCACCTTGGGAAGCCAAGGTGGGAGGATCGCTTGAGCCTAGGAGTCTGAGACCAGCCTTGGCAACATGGAAAGGCCCCATCTCTACAGCAAATACCAAAAGTTAGTTGGGTGTGATGGTGTGAGCCTGTAGTACCGGATACTCAGGAGGCTGAGATGATAGGGTCACTTGGGCCCGGGAGGTTGAGGCTGCAGAGCGCCATGGTTGCACCACTGCACTCCCACCTGAGCGATGGAGGGAGATCCTGTCTCAAAAACAACCAACCAACCAACCCTGAGACTTGGTAATTTCTAAGAAAAAAGGTTTAATTGGCTCACAGCTCTGCAGGCTGTATAGGAAGTATAGCAACAGCATCTGCTTCTGGGAAGGCCTCAGGAAGCTTCCACTCATGGTGGAAGGTGAAGGGGGAACAGGCATTTCTTTTTTTTTTTTAGATGGAGTCTTACTCTGTTGCTCAGGCTGGAGTGCAGTGGTGTGATCTCGGCTCACTGCAACCTCTGCCTCCCAGGTTCAAGCCACTCTCGTGCCTCAGCCTCTGGAGTAGCTGGGATTACAGGCACGCACCACCACGCCCAGCTAATATTTTGTATTTTCTTTCTTTTTTTTTTTTTTTTTGAGACAGAGTCTTGCTCTGTCGCCCAGGCTGGAGTGCAGTGGCACGATCTCAGCTCACTGCAAGCTCCGCCTCCCAGGTTCACGCCATTCTCCTGCCTCAGCCTCCCGAGTAGCTGGGACTACAGGCACCCGCCACCACGCCCGGCTAATTTTTTTGTATTTTTAGTAGAGACAGGGTTTCACCATGTTGGCCAGGCTGATCTCAAACTCCTGACCTCAAGTGATCCGCCTGCCTCAGCTTCTCAAAGTGCTGGAATTACAAGCGTGAGCCACCGCACCCAGCCGGGAGCAGGCATTTGACACACAGCAGCAGGAGCCAGGGGTGGGGGGTGCCACACAGTTTTTAACAACCAAATCTCAGGAGAATTCACTATAGTGAGGACAGCACCAAGCCATGAGGGATCCACTCCCATGACCCAATCACCTCCCACCAGGCCCCACCTCCAGCACTGAGGATTCCAATGCAACATGCGATTTGGATGGGGACAAATACTCAAACTATATCAGTGGTATAGGCTGGCTGTGTGTGTGTGTGCGTGTCTGAGAGTCTTGGGTGTTTATGTGAAGATCTGGTGCTTGTGCCCATTTGTTTGTGTTTCCGTGTGTGTGGTTGTGTTAGTTTGTCTGTGTGTACTTCCGCTGGCGTTTATGTGCCTAGATGTGTGTGTGCGTGCCTTCAGGGGTCTGTGTGCACATGTGTGTTTGTATTTGCATGTGCTTTTGAGTTGAGTGTGTGTGTGTGTGTGTGCGTGTGTGTGTGTCTTTGGGCAGGGAGAGGCTGGCTGATCCCACACTCGCTCCCTCTCCTCCTTACTATGGCCGTGGCTGGGGCCCAGCCCAGTCCCTTTGGAGACTCACTCCTAATGCTGGGGCATGGACTGGCAGGTCGCCACCCACGGTCTGGGCTGTCACTGGGTCCTGAGTCTGGCTCTGAGACTCTGTGTCTTCTGCTTCCCTCCTCTCATGCTGGGACCAGCTGGAGCCACCCACAGCCCACATGGAGCCCCAGCCGGGCTGTGGACAGCCCCCAGGCCTGCTGCTCAAGGCTGTGCTGGGTACAGCCAGGCTCTGGGGCCAGCAGTGCTGCTCCACAGACCCCCACTAAGGAACACAAGTGGAGGCAAGGGTTCGGAGGACACCCCCTCTGCATGCCCAGACAGGGCGGCAAGGCACGGGGGATATCCCCAACCCAGCGCTGCTCCTGCCTTTCTGCCCTGTGTGACCCCGAGCAGCTCACGCACCCTCCTGGGTTCACACTTCTCATTTATAAGGAGTTGGTGCTAGCAGGGCCACAGCATACAGTTGTAGTGTTGTGCACTGCACAAATGCACCTGGCTGAGGTGACAAAAGGTGCTGAGAGCTGGCCCAGATGCTGTCTTGCAGGCTGGGGGCCTGTGTCAGGCTGCAACATCTGGAGGAAGAGACGCCCTTCTCTTCCCACACAGGATGTTGGCTCATCAGGGCCTGCGCCCACCTGGGACATCCGCCTAAGGGGCAGCTTGTTCTCTTTCTCACAAACAGGTGACCTGCTCTGGTCACCTTGGCTGGGACGGAGACTGGCACCAGCCTTTGTGATCAAGCGCCCCCCACCCCCGTGTTGGTGTCCAGGTGGCCATGCATCCAAGACTCTCCTCTGTCCCCTTGCCCTGCGTCTGCTTCCCTCCCCTTCTCTGGACCACCTGCCCCTCCCCTGGGGTTCTTCCACCCACACTTGACCAAGCACTTTCCCAAGCAGCACAGGCCATAGAGGACCCCTTTACAGGACAAGAAACTGAGCGTGGAGAATGAAGTGCCTATCCATCGTGTCATGGTTCCTCAGAGGTTCCAGCCGAGCCCTTCCGACTCCAAATCTGGCCCTAGCTCCTCCACCCCTGCACCCACCGCCCCAGCTCACCCCTCCTTTTTCCAGCCACCCTGATAGTGATGTCACACTTCTCTGCTTCAATGCTCTTTATTTCATTAGGAAAGTAGCTGGGCAGGGGTGTTCCCCTGGGGGATGGAGTGGGGGTACAGACAGTAGCCTGGCTCCTGTCCCCTAGGATTGACAAACCTGTAGAGGAGAAGCAGAGGCGAGGCCTGAGCAAGGGGCTCTGGGGTGGTTCTGTGTGCTTGCCTGGCAGAGAAGGGGTTCTGAGAGGCCCCCTGATCTGTCACCCCCCACTTGGAAGGGGGGTCCCCAGGCAGGACTTGCTTAACCCAGGGCTTGAGAGGCAGGGCTGGCCCATAACGGTTGCCCACACAACCAGAGCAGCTGAGTGTGGGGATCCCCAGCCCCTTACCAAGGGCTCAGGGCTCAGCTGTGTGCCACGCAGCGGCTGCTGTGAGGTGTGTTCTGGTAGAAGGGGTCAGCTGAGGTCAGGGTTCTGCAGGGAGGCAAGAGGAGAGTGTTGGGGGTGTTGGCAGGCAGGGCATGGACCTTGTCTTCTTGTCTTCTGCCTGACCCTCCCTGAGAGAGCATAGCCAGGGTTCAGCCAGGGCAGCCAAGCCACAAACATTCTTTGCCTGCCAACTCTGGGCCATTGTTGATATAAATGTAATTTCTGAGGAATTGAATTGAGCAGAAAGGAGCTGAGTGAGGCCGAACCACAGTCCATTCATCTCTGGATCCGTCCCCGCATCCCCCTCTGGATCTGAACCACCCCAGAGCCCCTTGCTCAGATCCTCCCCATCCAGTCCACCGGGCCTGGGGAACAGGGGCAGGAGAGGGAGGAGGAGCCATCTGAGGGAGGGGTCACTGGAAGGAGAGGAGGGGAGGAGCCTGTGCTAGCAGGAGAAGGGACACCAGAGCCAGCCAGAGGAGATGGGCCTCTCATAGGAATGAACCGGACTGACAGCAAGAGAGGAGAGGAAGGGAAAGGCCTGGCACACGGCCTGGATGAGGGGTAGGGAGAAAGAACAGAGCTGGGGGTGGTGCCACCTTCCCACGTGGGGATGCAGGTGCCGCAGGCTCTCCATGGGGTTGGGGGTGGCCTCCATGCAGCTGACCGGCTGGCTGAGGGCGTAGCCTCCTGGCATCTGGGGCTGGATGCCACCTCGAGTCCAGCCTTCCTGGTCTAGACCCTTGGGGATGTTCTCAAAGTACCTGGAGGAGAGGAGGGGTCCTTGGCTGGAAGCTGGACTCTGCCCACCTCTGCAACCCCTGCTGCCCTTCTCCATCGACCCTCAGATCGCCCAGCCTCCCCACCTTTGCTCATGCTGTCCTCGTCTAGCTCTCCCTAAGCCCACGTCCACTGGGGGAACTCTTACTCAAAAAGCCTGCCCTCCCCTCCACCTGACGCTGAAACACTCTTTGGAGTGTTAAAGGACAGTTTCAGTGATGCCCCTGTCCCTGGCCTGCCAGTACCTTGGGGTGGGGACCCCGTCTCATCCACTTCTCTAGGCACTTAACTTTCCTTCCATTTCATTTCCATTTCCTTCCATTTCACTGAGCACAGCCAGGTCCAGAGGGTGCAAAGACAAGTAAGAAGGGGGTCCCACCCTTGAACTTATGAAGAGGGGGTGCAGACAGATCAATGCAGGAATCAGTGATGACAATCCCGGGGCTCTGCGCGCACCAGGAAGCACCAGCAAGCGTGCCTGACAGCCAGCAGGAGCTCAGGACACAACAGGACACGACAGGCTGGAAGGACCCAGCAGACAGGACTGGAGCTGGTCTCTGCCAGAGCCACAGGAGGAGGTGTTTGCCTAAGAAGGGGTCAGAACATCGTTGCCCCTCCCCCACCTCCGTGGGAACTGGAGCGGCCACTGTGCTGAGTCTGCTGTGCGGGCGGAAGCTCTGCTCCTCCCCTCTGAGCCTCAGGGTTTAGGCCAGAGGACAACAAACGGCCCTTCCAGCTCAGACTCTCTGTTGCTCCTCCAGGACACCGCCCTCCCCTCTTTTCAGTCTCAGTTCAAACGTCACCTGCTCAAGGCCACCGATTTCAAATCCGACCCGTGCGCACTGCAGCCCTCGCGATCCCTTTCTCTTTGCGCATTACCTAACAGCTCTCGCTAACTGGCTGCAGCCACATGCATGTCTCCTCCCATGCAGAGGTCTGAGCTCCGTAGGGCAGGAGCTGCACACACATTCCCAGGGCCTGGAGCAGGGCTTGGCACCCAGTCAGGGCTCAGTTAAAGTCTATTCCATGAATGGATTCTGGGAGGTATCCCGGAGCAGGGGGTGGGGCAGGGGGAGGAGACAGAGAGGTGGCAGGGACACCTTGAAGGACCAGGAGTTGGAGAGGAAGCAGGGTGGACACAGGTGACTGATGTTGTGAGGAAAGCTTGCGCTTCCTGGCTCGGAGTTTGTCCTAAGAATTATACTTCCTGGAGGCGGGCAGATCACGAGGTCAGGAGATCAAGACCATCCTGGCTAACACAGTGAAACCCTGTCTCTACTAAAAATACAAAAATGTAGCCGGGCGTGGTGGCAGGCGCCTGTAGTCCCAGCTACTCGGGAGGCTGAGGCAGGAGAATGGCGTGAACCCGGGAGGCGGGGTTTGCAGTGAGCCGAGATCGCACCACTGCACTCCAGCCTGGACGACAGAGAGAGACTCCATCTTAAAAAAAAAAAAAAAAAAAAAGGAATTGTACTTCTTGGCAGGACACGGTGGCTCATGCCTGTTATCCCAGCACTTTGGGAGGCCAAAGCAGGCAGATCACTTGAGGTCAGGAGTTCAAGACCAGCCGGGCCAACATGGCGAAACCCCATCTCTACTAAAAATACAAAAATTAGCTGGGCATGGTGGCACATGCCTGTAATCCCAGCTATTTAGGAGGGTGAGACAGGAGGATCACTTGAACCCATGAGGCGAAGGTTGCGGTGAGCTGAGATCACGCCATTGCACTCCAGCCTGGGCGACAGAGTGAAACTCCATCTCAAAAAAAAAAAAAAAAGAAGAAGAAGAATTACACTTCCTTTATACCACTCCTATAATGCTTTCCCCACCCAGTCCTGGCCCCAGGAGGCTTCCCCATGGCTCTGGGGCCACCTCCTTCCTGGAAGCCCTCCCTGATGCCCAGGACAGTCACTCCTAACCCAGGGAATGCACAGCACAGAATTTACCTTCTGAGGGAGCATCGAGCCCACCAACCATTGGCTGGATGGAATGTCTTAGCAGATGCTGCTGCTCCAGACTCCCTCGCACTGCCCTGTTCTTTCCATGCCCACCAGCCTGGCCACCAATGCCCTGCATCTCTGTGGGAAAGCTACCCTTGGGATGCTAGAAGCTGCTTTGCCTGAGCAAGGAGGCACCTGGGCTTTAATGTTGCCCTGGGGATAGCCTTTAACCAATGACCGATGGATGTGGGGGTATAAATACCCCAGCTCTCTCACCTTTGACTGGGGTAGTTCTGAGTTGTGTGCTTTACACTGTTTTCTAGAGTTTTCCCAGTGGGATAGCTGGCCTAGTAACATGCTCATTATTGCTGCCTTCCCTCCCTCATCCCTCTTCTCCACTCCCACACGCCTAATAACTGCCTGATAACATGCTTGCACTCCAATCCTTGGCTTAGGGTATGCTTCTGGGGAACCCATATTCACTCAGCATTGATCTTCTCCACGAGGCTGTGAGCTCATTACTTATCCCAGTCTCAGTCTGTTTCTCAAATGGGTTTCAGCTTTGGACCAGGAAGCGGACCTCACCCTTGGTTGTAGGTGGTCAGGTATCGCTGATCCCTGTCAGGATCACAGGGGCTCCGGACATACATGGGGTTGTTAAGGCTGAACCCTGTGGGCTCCTGCACAAGAGGGGTAGACAGGGGAATTGTCAAGTCAGAAGGGGTGGGGATTTGGGGGTGGAGGCTAGGTGTAGCAAGTCTCACCTTTTTCCCCACAGTCTCCCGGCCAAGCAGGGCAACGTTTGTCTGTTGCATCCGATGAAGTGGCTGAAACTGCTGGTGACTCACGCTGCTGGGTTCTGGGCAGGGAGGGGGCACCTGCAGGGCACAGAACCACCAGAAGGGAGGCTGAGGTGGCCAGCCTGAGGCAGCAGGGATGGAGAGGGGAGCAGGCAGAGGCACACACAGCTGTGACCTGTCCACAGCCCCAGCGACCCTCCCTTCCCCTTCCAGCCAATTCTATTTCAGACCACACCCCTCATCTTCCAGCCCCCAGGAAGGCCCAGGCTCTCTTCACCCTCCACCTGAGGGCCTACCTCCACATCCCTAAATATCCTAATTCTTCTCATTCTTCAATGCCTGACCCAAATGCCACCTCTTCCCAGAAACCTCCCTGTCTTCTCCCTTCTCTGAGCAAGACGCCAAGGCCACTCACTCTGGGGTTCAGAATCCTTTCATTCCCTCGGCTGAAGGCTGTTTCCCGCTTGGAGCCTCTGGCCAACACAGGTAGGAACTCATCTCCCTGGAGGGAGCAAAGCAGCCACTGGCACCAGGATGTGGCTGCCTCCCCCACCACCTTCCAGAGCCATGTTCTAACTGCTCCCCGCCAGGCGGTCCCCAGCCTCCCCCTAGCTCAGCTTACATGTAGGTGAGTCTTGGGGAGGAAGTCTGACTTGGTGACACTCTGGCCTGGGAGGAGGGCCTGGAAATAGGCCCACAGAGGATGTCAGCCCCGCAGAGGCAGCCTGGGCCCCTGGTGGCTCCCACCCACTCTGCCTCCAGGCCACTGCTGTGCTGAGCACAGAGGAGGACTCAGCTCAAATGGGCATCACTGAGAAAAGGGAAGTGTTTGGGGAGAAGACAGGGGAAGGCATGACTCTGAATGGGACCAGCAGGCCAGGGCTCTTGTCTGAACTCTGAATGACATTGGCTACACCTCCTTCATCTCTTTGGACCTCAGTCTTCTCATCTATAAATGGGGGACTTGGACCAAAGCAGTGGTTTTCACCTAAGCTCTTTCGTCTTGTGTTTGAACAAAGGGCTCTGCAGCTCACATTCTTTAGGAAAGCTAGAAACCCTGAGACTGGAGGGCTTCAAGCCCCCTAAAGTTCTAGCAGGAGCCCAGCCGACTTACAGGGTCCCCAGGGAGGGCCTGTGAGGGCGGTTGGAAGACAATGGGGCTCTGGTGGGACTGTTTGGTGAAGCCACTCCCCTCCTTTGCGCCGATCGATTTCTTCTGCAAGAAATCTGCAAAAGAAATGCCCTGTGTGCTGCCAGGCCACCTGGCCCACCCATGTGTCCTCCAGAGGCTCAGTGTCCCAGCAGGTGCAGAGGGAGTGGATCCCAAGATCCTGGAGACCTGCGCCATGAGGATCGTGGGTGGCAGGGTGAGGATTCCAGAGTCCAGGCCGGAGGACAGGAGAGGGAGCAGCAGGAAGGGCATGCACCGGCCAAGCCACCCTCCTGAGAGGCCCAAGGTACTGAGGTCAGCCCGGGAGAGGCGCTTCCCTCCAGCCACCTGTGCATCCTTCTTTCTTCCACTGGTGCCTTCTCAGTCCTAGGCCAGCTCCAGGGCCCCTGGGGTAGCAAGTAGGGAGGTGGATTGGAAGATGGGAAGGGAGCTGTGAGTTCAGACAGGGCCTACCTGGCTGGTCTAGAGGGTCCCTGAGATACTTGGAATTGTACTCCGACGTCATGAAGCGTGGGCCCTGGAACAGAGAGGTTGGAGGAGTGGGGGCACTGACCCACCAGGGCCCCGAAGGCGTGTGGCGGCGGTGGAGTGGCGCCTCGGTTCTCTGTGCTCTGAGGAAGCCTGTGTGGGCCAGTACAGCACCCTGGACACAAGTCTCTGTGGGGTGGGACATCGCAGGGCCAGGAATTTCAGCACAAAGCACAGTTCCCCTGTGACTATGAATACCACGTCACACCCCACACCAGACTCCTGGTAATGAGTGGGGGGCCCAGAGGGACCGAGACCAGGAGGGGCCGTGAGCAGGAGGAGGAAGGCTGGGGGAAGAGGAGTAGCGTTAAATCGCGAGAAGCCACATTGAGGCTATTTTGGAAATAGCCAATATCAAATCCTTTGCTCTCCCATCTTTCTTGGCGCCCTGAGCCCACCCTGAGCTGGCTTCTTGGGTGAGTCAGTGCAATACTTGTCTTGAGGTGGGAGGAAGAGGCGGGTGTGGCCCCTCTGCCCCACCCCGAAGCCCTTAGCTGGGCTGCCACTCACATGTCGGAAGTTCTCCCGCTCCAGCGGGTCCTGGCCCTGCTGCTGGTGGAGCAGAGGCACTTCCCTGGGCTCCAGCCCCGTGATGGCCTGAGGCCCGTGCTCCTGGGTGTCGAAATGGACCTTCCGGACCTGGGAGGAAGAAGGGCCAATTACAAGTGAGGGGGCGGCAGTCACTCCCTGACTCTGCTTCTGCCCTTGACCTTTACAGAGCGCAGTATCTGCAGAGCAGCCAGAGGGGGTCCTTTTACAATGAAACCTGCATGTCCCCTCTCTGCTTAGAGCCCTGCAGCCTTCCCATCACACTCGCAGGGAATTCCACGTCCTCCTGGTGGCCTGCAAGGACCTGAGTGCCTCACCCTGCTCTAGCTGCTTGTCTCCTTTCTGTTCCCACCTTGAGGCCTTTGCACTTGCTGTTGGCACTGCCTGGACCACTCCTCCCTCAGACAGCTGCAACTGGAGGAGCTGGCCTCCCTCAAGTTTTTGTCCAGTGTCTCCATAGCAAGCTCTTTCCCGACCCTCCCGATTTGCAGTTGCAACTCCTTCGCTTCTAATTTATTTATTACTTACATTTTTTGAGACAGAGTCTCGCTCTGTTGCCCAGGCTGGAGTGCAGTGGCATGATCTCAGCTTCCTGCAAACTCCACCTCCTGAGTTCAATCAATTCTTGTGCCTCAGCCTCCCAAGTAGCTGGGACTACAGATGCAAGCCACCACACCTGGCTATTTTTTTTTTGTATTTTTTTGGTAGAGATGGGGTTTCACCATGATGGCCAGGCTGACCCAACAGCAGTTGGCCTCAAGTGATCCACCTGACTCAGCCTCCCAAAGTGCTGGGATTACAGGTGTGAGCCACCACGCCTGGCTTTATTTTTTTTTAGTCCAAGTCTCATTCTATTGCCCAGGCAATCTCAGCCTCACTGCAACCTCCGCCTCCCGAGTTCAAGCAATTCTCCTGCCTCAGCCTTCTGAGTAGCTGGGATTATAGGTGCGTGCCACCATGCCCAGCTAGTTTTTGTATTTTTAGTAGAGATGGAGTTTCACCATGTTGGCCAGACTGGTCTCAAACTCCTGACCTCAAGTGATCTGCCTGCTTCAGCTTCCCAAAGTGCTGGGATTACAGGTGTGAGCCATCGCACCTGGCCTCCAACTCCTTCACTTCTCTTCCTCCCTGCTTCTCCCTGTTGTATTTCCTAACCCCCGCCCCACCCCGCACTCCACCCGCTCTTATCATCTTCAAATATGAAGGAGATATTCAGAACATTCTCGCTGGATGAATGAATGAGTGTCCATTTTGGTGGTGGTGCTGATGATAAGAAGGGTGGTAATAATGAGGATAGAAATGAAAAAGATGGGGCTGGGCGCAGTGGCTCACGCCTGTAATCCCAGCACTTTGGGAGGCTGAGGCGGGCAGATCACGAGGTCAGGAGATTGAGACTATCCTGGCTAACACGGTGAAACCCTGTCTGTACTAAAAATACAAAATATTAGCCGGGTGTGGTGGCACATGCCTGTAATCCCAGCTACTGGGGAGGCTGAGGCAGGAGAATCGCTTGAACCCAGGAGGTGGAGGTTGCAGTGAGCCGAGATCGTGCCACTGCACTCCAGCCTGGGCAACAGAGTGAGACTCCATCTCAAAAAAAAAAAAAAAAAAAAGAAAAAGAAATGAAAAAGATGGGGTGAGGATGTCCATGGTGGGGGGACAGTGGTGGTAGTAGGGACAGTGATGGGGCTTGCAGGTGTGGACGGGAGTGTGAGGCTCATGGGAATGGGGACAGGGATGGGGATGGAAATGGAGGTGGAGGTAATGGTGGGGCTGGGGCAGGGAATAGAGGTGGTGGGGATGGTGGGGACAAGGATGAGGACAAAGGGGAGAAAGATGAGTGGACCCCATCCCTACAAGGTGGCTGCTCCATGCCCTGTCACCTCCACCTTGACCAACTGTTGGCAGTGCAGCCCTAGCCCCACCCCACCCTGAGGCTTCCCTCTCCTGGCCCTGGCCCAGCACTGACCTCCTTGGTGGGGGGACCCGCACTGGGCTTCTCCCGCCCATAGCCTGAGCTGGTCTGGCGCATGCTCCAGGGCAGGGGATGCTTGCCGTCAGGCACCTCCAGGGGGCGGTAGCTCTGGCTGGCCACAGACTGGAAATGGTCCTGGGCTTGTTCCCTGAGGGTGAGGAGGAGCTAGAACCCCAGGCCGCCTGCCTCTGTCCTCTGCTAAGGAGCTTCCCTCCTCCCTGCACCCTCCCACAGATGGCTCAGAGGTCCGCTGTGCCCTGAGTCACCCAGGACCCCCAGCCTAGGGCAGGCAAAGCTCAGGGTCCCCATCCAAGGAACCTGGAGTTGGTCTGATGAGCAGGGCAGGGGCTGGGAAGGGGCCATACAGACCGTACCCCCTGGCCGGGTTGTCTAAGGCCTCCAGACTGGCTTGGCATGAGACCACGGGCTGGAAATTTGATTTGTAGCCGGTGCCTACGTGACTGCCCACACGGGGCTTGAAATCCTCCCGACCTGCCAGAGGGGTAACGGGGAGACAGACCCCAAGGTCAAAAACAGGCAGGGCTTCCCAGGCAGGGCCAGCGTCCTCCGAGGGGCACAGGGGTCACAGTGACAGGGGAGGGCTCAGAGCCACGGGCAGGAGCTTTGCAAGCCTGCCCTTTCAGGACTGTGATGGCAGGAAATGGAGTGGGTGGGCTGGGGACAAGGTCAGTGTGGCAGAATCACAGTGACAGAATTGCAGGGACAGAACCAGAGAAGGGAGCAGCCGGGCAGGGCCCAGGGGACAAACGGATTCAGCAGTTGCTCTGCAGTGTGACAGCCAGAGGGTCTGCTCCTCCCTCAGAGAGAGCCCCTCCCTTCCTGCCCATGTCCTAGCAGAGGCTCCTGCGCAAAGGCACCCTCACCGTAGGCGGTGCAGTAGCTGGTGGCGTAGAATTTCAGGGGGTCCGTGTAGCCCCCCGAACTCATCTTCACATAAGGGGAGACGACCCCCAGGGGGAGTTTCCCCATCATGATGCTGTGGGGCAGGGCCCCAGGGGGCCTAGAAAGGAAGCACGGGGAGCCTCATGGGTCCCAAGCCTGGCTCGGAAGCCCACAGGGGCGAAGATCTGCCCCCCACCACCCACAACGCAGCTGGCCCCTTCTCCCAGGCCTCTGTCTCTCTGCCCCAGCTCCCAAGTCCCTAAACTAAGGACGAAACCGATCATCCACACTTATCCCAAGAGTCCTCATGTCTCCTCTCACTTTCCCACACCTTCTTATTAACTCTTCCTGTCCCCATTTACCACTGGGACAGTGAGGTTCCAAGTGATAAAGGATTTGCTCCATAATAGGTGGTAGTGCTGGGATTCAGACCTAGGTGTTTGACTACTCGGCCCCTGACCTGAACCTTACATACCCACCTCTCGGAATGAATGAGCCGACAACCCACTACCTGGGGAATTCTTGGCCCCCACCCAAGAAGTCAGGCCGAGGCGCTCACTCCCAGCCCCCGGCTCCTCTCTCTCCCTCATCTCCATGGCCTTGCCCGCCTCTGGCCTTGCCTGCCTCCCCTGGGAATTGGCTGCACTCTCCCCGAGGCCCAACCACAGCGGCCCCACCCTCACCTTTCCTCTGCAGAGGCTCTGAGGTCGGGGAGAGGCTGCAGGAAGCAGAGCTCTGCAGAGAAGCCAGCCCTCCTGGAGGAGGCCAAGCAGGAGAAACAATGTGTAGCCTAGCAACTGGTGCCTAGCAACAGCGTCCCCAGGCTTCTGAGACCTTCTAGGGCCAGGGCCCACTGAGGGGCTGACCTGGCCAGGAGGGGAGGGTCAGAAGCTGCCCGAGCAAGGCCCTGCTTCCAGGGCTCCGGCCCCAACCTCCGGCCTCCTCCACAGGGCTGGGAAGAGTTGCTGTCTGCGTGACATAAAATAAAAGATAATCCCGAACACTCACTCCCATAAAGTACCCACTTCTCGGCAGATACTTTACATCCTCTATCTCCATCCTCTGAGCAGCTCTTCAGTAGCTATGATTATCCCCATTTTCACTGGGGGAACATGAGGCTTAGATAAGCAAAATGACTTGACTCCAGAGATCTCGCAATCAGAAAATAGCCAAGTTGAGATTCAAACGTGGGTGGATGTGGATCCCGCTCTTCTGCCTCTCGGTAAATCAACATTTACTATGTTCCTCTGGAGCTGAATCTGTGCTAAGCCCTTTAACACACATTACGTCGTGTAATCCCCCAAACCACCCTGTGAACTGGGCACTATTATTGTAGGGCCAATAAACCGCAGCAGTTAAGAGTGTGGTTCAAATCTGATCTGTCACCTTTGATGAGGTACTTATCCTCTTCACGCCCCCAAATCCCCATCTTCGCAAGGGACGTGACTGCACCCACCTCACAGGGCTGCTGGCAGATTTAGCAAGAGCATGGATTCAGCACCTGACAGGTAGTAAATGCTCTTTTTTTTTTTTAAGAGAGACAGGATCTTATGCTCTCACCTGGGTTGGAGTACAGAGGTACCATCATAGCTCAGTCCAGCCTCCAACTCCTAAGTTCAAGCAATCCTCTTGCCTCAGACTCTCAAGTAGCCAGAACTACAGGTGTGCTCCCCCCTGCCTGACTTGCTTATTTATGTATTTATTTGTTGTAGAGACAGCGTCTTGCTATGTTGCTCAGGCTGGTCTTGAACTCCTGGCCTCAAGTGATCCTCCTGCCTCAGCCTCCTGAGTTGCTGGGATTGCAGGGGCAAGCCACCACACTCGGCAAATGCTCAATTTGCAAAAGCTGCTGTACTTTTAGTCTTATTTTGCAGATAGGAAAGGCGAGGCTCAAGGGGAAATAGCCCAGGCCCCACAGTGGGTGGAGACGGAGCCTGGACTCAAATCTGAGTGCGCAAACTCCACAGTGAGAATCTTCTTCCATGACAGCCTTTTTGCCTCAAATTGGCTTTCAGGCTTGTAAATGTTGTAACAGTTAGATCTCTGGGTGGGGTGGGATAGCCCTACTTTGCAGCATTTGCCAATTTCTGTGATGTCAGTGGTCCCATCAGGGCTGCTTTCAAACCACCACTACAGTGTCTTTGAACCGGGACATGGGAAGGTCGCTCACCACTGTACGGGAGTAGTCCCATCATGCAGACATAATGGGCGTAAGTAACCTCGACAGCACAAATAATAGAAAAATGTACTCACATAATTAAGGGGTGATGAGTTTTAGGTATTTTTTTTTGTTTTTAATATAATTCATTAAATTGCAGGTTTAAGTTATTTATTTATTTATTTATTTATTTATTTATTTATTTATTTATTTGAGATGGAGTCTTGCTCTGTCCCCCAGGCTGGAGTGCAGTGGCACGATCTCAGCTCACTGCAACCTCCATCTCCTGGTTCAAGCAATTCTCCTGCCTCAGCCTCCTGAGTAGCTGGGATTACAGGTGCACGCCACCACGCCCAGCTAATTTTTGTATTTTTAGTAGAGATGGGGTTTCACTATGTTGGCCAGGTTGGTCTCGACCTCCTGAGCTCAAGTGATCTGCCTGCCTCAGCCTCCCAAAGTGCTGGGATTACAGGCGTCAGCCACCGCGCTCGGCCAGTAATTTAATTTTTAACAATGGCAGAGTTAAAAACCAGCTTGCCAATTTCCTGGAAGTTTCGCCTTCAGCTCTCCTGAGCCGGTAGAGCTGGCTTCAGAGCACCCCTGCTCTCAGGGGAGAGTGAGGTATGAATGAAGGCTGAATAAAGGGAAAGGAGGCATCTCCTTTCCTCACCCAGGAGATGCCCTTGCCGCATTCATCCTGTAGTGACCTGGCCTGCCAGGGTGGAGGCTCACTCGTGTCCTCACCCAGCCCCCCATGGGAAGGCAAGCTGAAGCACGTTTGGCACCCACCCTCCGGACTAACGATTCTGTTCAGGGATCACAGGGCACAAGGACACAGGAGTGAGTGCACACAGCCCTGCCCTCCAGCAAAGTGCTCCCATTCTACTACAGAGGCTCGTGGGAGTTCCACACACGAAGCACAAAGGGTGAGACCACCATAGGTGAGGTGCTCACAGGGTGAAGGGAGAGAGGGGCCCTCCTCTAAGTGTGCCTGGATAAGTGGCTACGAGCAAGAGCTTGGACTCTGAAGCCAGATGGTGTGGGTCCTGTCTCTGCCACTAGATAACCGTAAGACAGTGCATGTTCCTTGTGCCTCAGTTTCCCCTTCTGGAGAATGAGTATAATAATGGTAACTACCTGCAGGGTTGTGGTACGCACGAAGCATTTAGCCCAGTACCTGGCACACGGTAGGTGCCATCTAAGAGCTAGGGAAAGAGGTTCCTTTTGAGTACTCACTGCCTGCTAGGCAAAGGGTTGGGCCTAAGGGTTACAAACAGGAAATCCACATGGCCCTGGCCTCAGAGAGCCCACGGTTTAGGAAGGATCTCAGATGTAGCAAAAGAAAGCTCACTGTGGGAGCCCGAGTTCAAAACCTGCTTCTGCTGTGTGTGACTCGGGGCTTCCTCTCTTTGAGCCTGTTTCTGTACCTGCAGGCAGGGATAACTGTGCCTACCTAGCAGGGTCGCTGGTGGATTTGAAATACCCTATGCACAAGAGGTAACAGGCCTGCACCAGGCAGAGATAAGGAAGGGCCCTCTACGTGGAAAGCCCGACAAACACAAAGGCGGAGACAGGTGTCCAGCAGGCTGGGAGCCCTGACTAGTGCAGCGTGGCTGGAGCACTGCGTGGGGAGGAGAGGCTCAGCTGGGAGAAGCAGCCCCCAGGTAGGCTGTAGCCAGGTTTTCCTTTTAGCAGGTGGAGGGGGCAAGGAGGGGTGGTAGAAAGGTTTGAAATCATCCCTTAGGGCTTCTCTTAGGGAGGCTCTAGGCTGTAGCCGACCAAGGACCTGGGCAGGAGTTCAAGGGTCGGGGATCAGGGTCTGGCCGGCGCTGTCCCATCAGAGCCCCCATTAGGTCCCGTCCTCCCGGCGGCCCGTGGGTTTTTTGCTGTGTGGCGACACCCAGCGGCCATAACTCGGAACTGCAGGAGATGCCGCAGATGAATCCCTAAGACCGGGGTCGGGGGGTCCTAGGAGTTGGGGACAGAGCAGCTCCGTCGACCTGGCCACAGCCCCACCCCAAGCCTCACTCACCCATCCCTCCAGAACAGGAGGGTTGCGTCTGGGCAAGGAGTGTTCCGGGAGGGCAAGCGCTGGAGCCCACAAGGAGCGGGAGCCCAGGTGCCAGGTGACCCAAGAGCAGCGTGACTTTTGGACCTGTCACCTGTGGACCTCAGTCCTTCTATCTACAAAATGAAGGAACAGACTAAAAGTCCTTCCATACTGGAAAATCTAGGCCCACCTCATCCCACTCCCTTCCCATATCTGTCCCCATTTATTCAGCACTTTATTGTGCCAGAGCTGAGCTACGAATCACCTCATCATCGCTTTTCACTCCCGGCTCTACGTGGGAACTACTATAATCCTGCCCATGTTACATGTGAGGAAACTGCCTGAGGCCTCGCAGACAGGGAGGAGTGGAGCTGGGATCCAAACTCAGCTTTGACCCTGGAATCTATGCCCCGCCCTCTGGAACACACCAGCAAATTCTCCAGAAAGCGCCGGGACCTTAGCACTGGGCTTTTCCAAAGGGATGATTTTCCAAAGGGATGGGCTGCCCTGGCCAGATGGGCAACTGCCTCCTACTTTCTAGCTCTGCCCAGTCCTGGGCAGTAAGATTCCCGTTTCCAGCCGGGCACAGTGGCTCATGCCTGTAATCCCAGCACTTTGGGAGGCCAAAGCAGGCAGATCACCTGAAGTCAGGAGTTCGAGATCAGCCTGGCCAACATGGCAAAACCCCGTCTCTACTAAAAATACAAAAATTAGCAAGGCATGGTGGTGGGCGCCTGTAATCCCAGCTACTCGGGAGGCTGAGGCAGGGAGAACTCCTTGAATGCAGGAGTAAGAGGTTGCAGTGAGCCGAGATTACACCACTGCACTCCAGCCTGGGCGACAGAGCAAGACTCCATCTCAGAAAAAAAAAAAAAAGATTCCCCTGTTTCCCTCCCATACGAAGGCAGAGGCTACAGACACACTAGGTTAGCAGAGAGGACCCAGTGAGAGGACATGCTGGGTCTCAGCCCATAGAGTTCCTTGGCTGGGATCAGTGGGGTAGGCCCTAACAGGCTCCCGAGGCCAGAGCACACCACCACTGAGTGCTGAGTCCTGAGCAGAGACAGACATCTGCGCTCTGTGCTGGGCCATGTGGGCTGCAGTTCCCTAAAAGAGGATTAACTGAAGTGAATGAGCCACACACCACCAAGTGTGTGTCATTTTGCTTTGGTTGATGTGGGTCTTTATAGCCGCCCTCAGAGGGAAGCCAGGGCTCTTGTAGGGAAGAGACAGGTTGGCATACTTCAGCTTAATGGATAGAAAAGCCTCCTAACACACAAAATAATCCAATAGGGGAACAGGCTGCCCTGGGGGGAGTGAGTTCCCCATCCCAGGAGGCATGCAACAGCTTGACAGGATGACAATAAGAGCAAACTTTCACTGGTTCGTTAGGTATCAGGGACTGTTTCTAAGCACTTCCCATGATTAGCACAATTAAACTTCACCGCATTCCTACCTGGTGGGTGGTATCAGCTCCTCCATTTTATAGATGAAGAAACTCAGACACAGAGAGGCTGCGTAACTTGTCACAGGTCACACAGCTACTAAGGGGAAAAGCCATTATTTGAACCCAGACATCCTGACTTCAAAGGTCATGCTGGTGACCACTTTGATATTGCCTCAAAGGTTGAGCTAGAGGTTCTCAGATCTATTTTCAAAATCTGACCTCCTATGACTTTTTAAATCTCTTTTTAAACCTGATTACCTCTATAGAGAAAAAAAAATAAAAAGATTTTAAGAAAATGTTTATAGAGACAGGATCTTGCTTTGTTGCCCAGGCTGGTCTCAAACTCCTGGCTTCAAGGGATCCTCCTGCCTCGGCCTCCCAAAGTGCTGGGAATACAGGTGTGAACCACCATGCTAGGCCTAAAAATCCTTTTAAAGAGTTCACCCCTCTCATGGTCCTCAGTTTGTGCTGGGCACTGCTGGGTGAAAAATTCACAGAAGAAAGGTCTGAAATTGTTCGAATCAGCTAAGATGATTGAGAAATGGGAAACAGATCCCTGGGATGCAGCTAAAGGCACTGAGCCCTCCCAGCCCAGGAGGCTGGGGGTGGCAGGGAGAGGGTAATTATACTCCTACTTTTGAAATTCCCATGCTGGAGGCTGGGACAAGCCTAGAGTAATGTTTCTTGGCTTCAGGTGATCTGAGGTTACATGCCTGCCCCTTTCTGAGCCTTTTCTAGGCTTGAGTTTGAGGTCTGGCTCTGGCACAAATAGTGCTATGTGACCCTTCTTAATTAACTGCCTCCCTCTGATCCTGTTGCCTGTGAAGAGGGGGTTGAGCCAGGATAGGAGGTTTGGCTTGCTTTAGTTTGAGATGTGTTGTTTGGCCTGGAGAACTTGGAGCTCTGTCTTCATATACTGAAGTGATGGCTGGTTCCACGTCCCCTCCCCCTGGGCCCCTCACCTGCCATCTGTGACATAGCAGGACCCCAGCCTACCCCCTTCCAAGGTCCTTCCCCTCTGCCTTATTACAGCGGGGCATGGAGGGGAGTCGGCCTCATGCCAACCCACACTCAGCCTGGCCTCTAGGCCTGCTGGACCTGCACAGGGAGTTTCTCCCAAGCCAGACTCCAAGGTGCCCACAAAGGACACAAGGGCTCACTGAACCCCTCATTCTGCCCCCAGAGTACTGTTTCCCAACCCAGATTCTTCTGAGCCCACCAACAAAGCTCACCCAGGTGAGATGCCCCAAGCTCAGCTGCTCCAACTGACCCTTTCAGGGGAGCAGTTTGAAGCTGGGACGCAGCATAAAGGGGATCATGGCAGAGAAGAGCTGACTGGGAGGACATCAAGTCTGTGAGGCCCTGTCTTCCCTGCGATGGGGAAGAGCATGGAGCCCTGGATTCGTGCAACCACCTTTCTGTCTAGTCCTGGGAGTGGGGGCTGCCCTGCTTCATGGGCTCAGCTGTGTGAGCACCAAGGAGTGATGGGTGACATAATGACCGTGGGGGCGCAGGTTGGGTCCAGGGCGTGGTCTGCAGGCAGGCCTGTCATCGATTTTGCCCATTTCCAGTTTCTCTGCTCTGTGACTTGCAGTGATTAAGGCAGGAGAGCTGCCCAGGACTGGGGCCCCCCTTCCGAAAGTGCTTTGGGGGTTCTATTCACTGAGCTGTGTCATTACCAGGAACTGAAATAGCCCAAGTCTAATGGCTAAGTCCCATCTCTCTCTCTTTCGTAAAAGGAAATGATTCCCCTGATGACCGGATTGCTTTCCCTCACAGCCTCCCACAATCCTGGCCTCACTTGTGGTTCATTTCTCCCCTCAGTGGGCATTTCCTGGAAGACTCTATCCTGTGTATCTGATGGCTGTTCTGTTCCTGCCTGTTCTGTTCTTTTACTGTCTCCTCTGGGTGAACTTGTTGATCTCACACAAGGTTTAAAAATTCATGACTCGCGGGGAAGATGAAATGAGATGAGGCAGAAAATAAGAAGCCATTCCCAATCCTCAGATGGAATGAAGATATTCTTGGCAGAGATGAGCAAGGAACCAGGACAGGGGTCAAGGGGGTGGGTTTCCAATGCACAGAGATCTGGGTTCAATTCTGCAGCCCTGCCTTTATGAGGTATGTGCCCTTGGACAACTTCCTTAACTTCTCCGAGCCTGTTTCCTTGGCTGTATGATGAGGTCACAGTAGAACTTTAAGAGACTTAGGCTTGGAATACAGAAAAGACAATATTTACATGCTTAGCACACAGCCTGGCATAGAGAAAGCACTCAAGAAATGTTTATGATTATCATTGCATTTTCCTGCCTTCCTTGCAGTTAGATAAGGGCCACATGGCTGGTTCTGTGGGTGGAATTGAGCAGTGCCACTCCCAGTCTGAGTAGTTAGAGGTGGGTGTGAGTTTTCCATTCTCTGTGGGTAGAAATCACACTTGGGATGGAAGAACCAAAAGATGGAAGCAGGCTGGATCTCTGAGTCACTGCATGGAGTCAGCTGCCCTGGAGCTGCTTTTCCTGCAGCACACTGGGATGTGATAGAGAGATAAACCTTGCTGCTTTAAGCCTCTAAGGTTTGGGGTTTTGTTTGTTACTGCGGCATAAGCAAAGAAATGAAGATTTGAGAACTTCTTAGGAAATAAATTAGGATGTGATTCTGTATTAGTCAGCATTCTCTAGCAAAACAGAATGTGCACACACACACATACACGAGAGACAGAGAGAGACAGATTTATTATACAGAATTGGCTCTGCCTGGGCCAGTGATGCCTGTAATCCCAGCACTTTGGGAAGCTGAAGTGGAGGGTTGCTTGAGCTCAGGAGTTCAAGACCAGCCTGAGCAACACAGTGAAACTCCGTCTCTACAAAAAAAAAATTTTTTTTAATTAGCTGGGCATGGTAGCATGTGCCTGTAGTCCCAGCTACTTGGGAGGCTGAGGTGGGAGGATCACTCAAGCCCTGGAGGTTGAGGCTGCAGTGAGCCATAATCGTGCCATTGCAGTCCAGCCTGGGCAACAGAGTAAGACCCCATCTCAAAAAAAAAAAAAAAAAAAGGAATTGGCCCACGTGACTATGAAGGCTGGCAAGTCCCAAGATCTTCAGGATGAGTTGGTTGGCAAGCTGACGACCCAAGAGAGCTGATGGCTTAGTTCCAGAGTAAGTCCAAAGGCTTGAGAACTGAGAGAGCTGATGTAGTTCTTGTCTCAAGGCCAGCAGGCTTGAGACTCAGGAAGAGCCAGTGTTCCCAGGCGAATCTGAAGGCAGGATAAAAGCCTGTGTCTCAGTTTGAAGGCTACCAGGCAGAAAGAATTGCCTTTCACTTGCGAGAGTGTAAGTCTTTTTGTTGTATTCAAACCTTGAGCTGATTACATGAAGCCCACCCCGGTTAGGGGGACAGACTGCTTTACTCAGTTTACCAATTTAAATGCCAATTTCATCCAAAAACATCCTCATAGAAACACCCAGAAGAATACTCGATCACATATCCAGGTACCCAGTCACCTAGACAAATTGAGACACAAATTAACTGTCACATTCAGGCATATGAAACTCACTGGAAGCAGACAGATGAGAGGCCTACTGAAATTTTGAGAAAACAGTAATGCCCAAAAAAAATGGGGCTTTTTTTGTTTGGTTTTTGTTTTTTTTTTTTTTTTTTTAGAGAAAGGGTCTTGCTCTGTCACCCAGGCTGGAGTGCAGTGGCGCAATCATAGCTCACTGTGACCTCAACCTCCTGGACTCAAGAGATTCTCCCGCCTCAGCCTCAAGTCGCTGGAACTACAGGCATGAGCCACCGCCCCTGGCCATGGGCCTGGTCTTTAAAAAGATTGTGACTATTTGAAACTTAAAACTTCCATGGGCAGGAAGTGGGCTGAGAAATCCACACAACCCTCAAGGAGGGTGGAACACACAATCCCTACTTCAGATATGATCGAGTAAAGTAAGGTAGGGGAAAAAGAGCTTTAAATGAGGGAGCCAAGCGGCCCTGAGAGCAGCGATGAAGGTAGTTCCTTCCAGAAACTTCCCTACCCCTCCACAAGGTCTGCCCAGAAGGCCTCAGCTCCCACTTCCCGGGGTATCCTTACTGTGGTTATCCTGTCCCTGCCCCTACTCCACCTTTGTGTATGGCGTGGGGGTGGGAAGGGAGAAGCAGGTAACCTGCCTTTTTTTTTTTTTTTTTGAGATAGAGTCTTGCTCTGTCACCCAGACTGGAGTGCAGTGGCATGATCTCAGCTCACTGCAACCTCTGCCTCCCAGGCTAAAATGATTCTTGTGCCTCAGCCTCGCGAGTAGCTGGGATTACAGGTATGCGCCAGCACACCTGGCTAAATTTTGTATTTTTTAGTAGAGATGGGGTTTCTCCATGTTGGCCAGGCTGGTCTCAAACTCCTGTCCTCAAGTGATCCACCTGCCTCGGCCTCCCAAAGTGCTAGGATTACAGGTGTGAGCCACTGTGCCCAGCAGGTAACTTTTAAAATTTATTTTTATTTTTTATTTATTTTTTTTTTGAGACGGAGTCTCGCTCTGTCGCCCAGGCTGGAGTGCAGTGGCACAATTTTGGCTCACTGCAACATCTGCTTCCTGCGTTCAAGCGATTCTCCTGCCTCAGCCTCCTGAGTAGCTGGGATTACAGGCACGTGCCACCACACCTGGCTAATTTTTTTTTTTGTATATTTAGTAGAGACAGGGTTTCACTGTGTTGGCCAGGCTGGTCTCGAACTCCTGACCTTAGGTGATCCACCCCCTTGGCTTCCTAAAGTGCTGGGATCACAGGCGTGAGCCACCGCACCCGGCCCCCAACAGGTAACTTTTTAAAATTCCTACATCTCTGGACCAAAAAAGGCCACCTCTAGACCTCATAAAGAGACCCTAGGGCAGCCCATGAGATCCTGGCTGGAGGCAGGAGCTGCACATCACTCTGGGTTTTCTCTCTTGGAAAGCAGTTTCATGTTGTGTGTTGTGTGTAGGAAGAAGAGCAAATCCAATGCGGTACATGGAGACCAGCAGAACAGACTGTGGTAGAGACTTCAGGCTCAGCCAGATCTGGTTCTCTTCTCCTTCCTGGGTACCAGGGAGAACCACACCTCCCAGGCTCCTTGCAGTTCCACAGGAACATGTGACTAGCTCCGGCCCAAGGGCTCGGAGAAGTGTCACGTGTTGCTTCCAGGTTGCAAGTGAATGTGAGTTATCCGCACTTTCTCATTCCCTTTAGTAGCAACCGTGGAGACCACATGTTGAGATGGCAGAGCGTGGATCCCTGGGCTGCCACAGAAAGGAGCTGTCCTGAACAGCTGCCCAGTTCACATTGGACTTGGCACAAATGAGAAATAAGGGTTGCGTTGTTAAGTCGCTGAGATTTGGGGGTTTATTTATTATCATAGTCTAGCCTAACGTGACTAGTACACCTTTCAATTAGATAGTGGCTAACTATATCATGCATAGGAGGGAAAGGAAACATCTAGAAAGTATGGTAAGTTTGTGGTTTTAAGAGAATCCTGTGGCTGGGTGCAGTGGCTCAGGCCTATAATCCCGGCAATTTGGGAGGCTGAGGTGGGAGAATTGCTTGAGGCCAGGAGTTTGAGACCACCCTGGCCAACATAGCAAGACCCTGTCTCAAATTTAAAATTTAAAAAAGTTAATTAAAAAAACAAAAAAAAAAAGCCCGGGCACAGTGGCTCATGCCTGTAATCCCAGCACTTTGGGAGGCCAAGGCAGGTGGATCACAAGGTCAGGAGTTCAAGACCATCCTGGCCAACATGGTGAAACCCCGTCTCTACTAAAAATACAAAAATTAGCCAGGCACGGTGGCAGGCGCCTGTAATCCCAGCTACTCGGGAGGTTGAGGCAGGACAATCGCTTGAACCCGGGGGGCAGAGGTTGCAGTAAGCCGAGATCGTGCCACTGCACTCCAGCCTGGGCGACAGAGTGAGACTCCGCCTCAATAAATAAATTAACCAATTAAAAAAAAAAAAGGCCAGGTACAGTGGCTCACGCCTGTAATCCCAGCACTTCAGAAGACCGAAGTGGGTGGATTGCTTGAGTCCATGTTTGAGACCAGCCTGGGCAACATGGTGAACAAAAAATTAGCTGGGCGTGGTGGCACATGCCTGTGGTTCCAGCTACTTGGGAGGCTGAGGTGGGAGAATCGCCTGAGCCTGGAAGGTTGAGGCTACAGTGAACCAAGATCTCGCCACTGCACTCCAGCCTGGGCAACAGAGTGAGACCCTGTCTCAAAAAAAAAAAAAAAAAAAAGAGAATCTCATAAAACACTCAAAACATTTTCCACTAACTTGTTGAGTCTCATTAACAACTTCCATTTGCAACAGATATCAATGGTCTTGGATCCAGCACAGGCAGCTTCATAAAGAGTCTCTACCTTCATTTATTTCATCAGTCAATTAGTCATTCAATGAACATTTAATGAGCACCAACTATGTGCCAGGCACTGTGCTAAAACACAGAACAGAATGGAACGTAATGTATGTATGGTCCTTATCCCCCATGGAACTAGTAGTAGAGAGAGTTACACATAATCTCTCTGGGCTGGGCTTGGTGGCTGGCACCTATAATCCCAGCACTTTGGGAGGCTGAGGCAGGCGGATTGCCTGAACTCAGGAATTCAAGACCAGCCGGGGCAACATGGAGAAAGCCGATCTCTACCAAAAAAAAAAAATAGCCAGGTGTGGTGGTGTGCGCCTATGGTCCCAGCTACTTGGGAGGCTGAGGTGGTAGGATTGCTTGAGCCTGGGAGATAGAGGTTGCAGTGAGCTGAGACTGTAGCACTACACACCAACCTAGGTGACAGAGTGAGACCCCATCTCAAAAAAAAATTTTTTTTTAATAAATAAATAATCTCTCTGTGCTAACCTAAGGGCCGTGTAGGGTAACAGTACAAGCATGCTTACTGGAGGCCAACGTGCCTGAGTTCCAATTCCAGTTACTTCCATGTAATGTGCTTGCTTAGAACAGTCTCTCTCTGACACACACACACACACACACACACACACAAATAAAGACACAAAACAAAAAGCAGATGAGTAAGATTCAAATGCAGGTCTGGCTGACTCCAAAGCCTGCAAGCTTAGCTGCAATGCAATGCTGCCTCTCCAATGGCCAGGTCACAGTGCTATGTGCTTTATCCATACAGTGTGCCAAAAGCATTGTCTATATTTTATTTTTTTTGAGACAGAGTCTCATTCTGTTGCCCAGGCTGGAGTGCAGTGGCACGATCTCAGCTCACTGCAACCTCCACCTCCCGAGTTCAAGCGATTTCTGGCTAATTTTTATATTTTTAGTAGAGATGGGGTTTCACCATGTTGGCCAGGCTGGTCTTGAACTCCTGAGCTCAAGTGATCCACCCGCCTCGGCCTCCCAAAGTGCTGGGACTGTGTGAGCCACCATGCCCAGCCACATTGTCCATATTTTATAGATGTGTACACAAAGGCTCAGAGATGTGAAGATGCTTGTATAAAGTCACACAGAATGTCAGCCAAGGAGCCAGGGCTCAATGCTAGAATGGTCTCATTCTTACCTGTTGAGCTCCACTTCAGAATGTGCCATTTTCTTGTATAAAACCTTCTCCCTGATTCAAGAAGCACACAGGACAGGCCCTGCACTTAGTAAAGATTCAAAATTTACTATGATGGTGAAAATCAATGACGCTCAACCTTATTTCTGACTCTCCACCACTGGAGCATGGGATGGGACTGTACTTCTGGGCTCCCTGTGGGGCTATGTGACCAGTTCTGGCCAAACGGTTGTGAGCGATAGTGAAGAAAGAGTGTCACATCCAGGACAAGCATTTAACTGCCAATGTGCCACCCTCCAGAGCTCTCATTTCCTTTTGTTAGGGACTGAACTGTGTCCCACTACAAATACATATGTTGAAGCCCTAGCCCTCCCCCCATGCGATCATTGGAGACAGGGCCTTTAAGGAGGCAATTAAAGTTAAATGAGGTCATAGGGCAGAGCCCTGACCCAATAGAATGATGTCCTCAGAGGAGGAGACGCTGGACCTCTCTTCCCGCCATGTGAGAACACGGCCAGAAGGCTGCGAGCCAGGAGGAGGTCCTTCACTAGGAAGCAAACCCTGCTGACACCCTGACCCTGGGCTTTCCAGCCTCCAGAACCGTGAGAAAATTTCTGGGCTGGATGTGGTGGCTCACATCTGTAATTCCAGCACTTTGGGAGGCTGAGGAGGGAGGATCACTTGAGCCCAGGAGTTCGAGACTAGCTTGGGCAATGTATTAGTCTGGTCTCATGCTGCTAATACGTACCCAAGGCTGTATAATTTATAAAGGAAAGAGGTTTAACTGACTCACAGTTCCACATGGCTGGGGAGGCCTCACAATCATGGCTGAAGGCAAATGAGGAGCAAAGTCACGTCTTACATGGTGGCAGGCAAGAGAGCTTAGGGAATTCCCCTTCATAAAATGATCAGATATCCTTAGACTTATTCAATACCGTGAGAACAGCACAGGAAAGACCCGCCCCATGATTCAATTACCTCCCACTGGGTCCCTCCCATGACACGTAGGAATTATGTTATGAAAGCTACAATTGAAGATGAGATTTGCGTGGGGACATAGCCAAACTGTATCAGGCAACATAGTGAGACCCCCATCTCTGCAAAATTAGCCAGGTGTGGTGGTGCCTACTACTTGGGAGGCTGAGGCAGGAGGAGATGGAGACCAGCCTAGTCAGTAAAGAGAGACCCCATCTCTACAAAAAATAAAATAATTAACTGGACCTGCTGGTCCCAACTGCTCAGGAGGCTGAGGTAGGAGGATTGTTTGAGCCTAGGTCGAGGCTGCAGTGAACCATGATCGCACCACCTGACTCTAGCCTGGGTGACACGGTAAGACTCTTTCTCTTAAAAAAAATCTTGTTTTAAACTTTAAAAATTTAAAGTTATAGCTTTAAATTCAAGTAACCAGCACACCAAACCCCTTTTCTCAGGGTAAGGCCATACAGCAGAGGGGTTAAGCAGGCTGGCCATGCAACCAGGCTGCCTGGCTCCAAGCCCCGACTCCCCCACTAACCGGCTGAGCCACGTTGGGCAAGTTGCATGACTTTTCTGCACCTCAGTTTCTCAGTTAAAGTGGGGCTGATAAGACTGCCTTTGCTCTTCATTATGAGAAAGAAATGAGATAAATTAGAAGCATGCTTCACACACAATAAGCACATATTATTAGTCTCAGGATAAGACTAAGGAAGATATTGACTTGCTAAAGGAGGCATTGTCTTGGCTGTCTTCCTGACACTGACTGGGACACAGAGCATATGACCCCAGTTCCCTGAACCTCCCAAGGCACTGTCAATGGACGATGGATGTGGCAGGGATGTCCGGTGTGGATTTTTGAGACCTGAACTTACGCACACGTCACTGCAACAAAGCGTTACCTCTGCATATTGACGACCTCTTTTTTTTTTTGAGACAGAGTGGGTCTCACTCACTCTGTCGCCCAGGCTGGAGGGCAGTGGTGCCATCTCGGCCCACTGCAACCTCCGCCTCCCGGGTTCCAGCAATTCTCCTGACTCAGCCTCCCGAGTAGCTGGCATTACAGGTGCCCATCATCATGCCCAGCTAATTTTTGTATTTTTAGTAGAGACAAGGTTTCACCATGTTGGCCAGGCTGGTCTCAAACTCCTGACCTCAAGTGATCTGCCCGCCTCAGCCTCCCAAAATGCTGGGATTATAGGCATGAACCACCACGCCCGGCCTTGACAACCATTTTTTATGTGACAAACTGATAAATACTCAGCGAAGGCAGTTAAAATCTTTTGCTCTCTCCACCCACATGCATATAGCTTTGGCATTCTCAATCCTGGCTAATATCAAAGTTCAAAAAGAAAGTTGTCTTTTGATGAAGAATTTCAAATTTTCGATATAAGTGACATCAAACTGAGCATCTTTTTATTACAGCCTAGTCACAATCAGTTCCATTTTTCTCAGTGAGGAACTGATTTTTAAACATGAATTTTTGTTAACTCAGACTACTTTTACTCGCGCTTTATTTTCACTTAATTTTTTTTTTTTCCCGAGACAGAGTCTCACTGTGTCACCCAGGCTGGAGTGCAGTGGTGTGATCTCGGCTCACTGCAACTTCCGCCTCCTGGGTTCAAGCAATTCTCCCTGCTTCAGCCTCCCGAGTAGCTTGGATTACAGGTGCATGCCACCACGCCCGCCTAATTTTTGTATTTTTCAGTAGAGATGGGGTTTTGCCATGTTGGCAAGGCTAGTCTTTGAACTCTGGACCTCAAGTGATCCATCCGCCTTGGCCTCTCAAAGTGCTGGGATTACAGGGGTGAGCCATTGCACCCAGCCAAATATTTTATTTTTAAAATATTTATGTGAGACAGGGTCTTGCTCTGGCACTCAGGCTGGAGTGCAGTGGCGCAATCACAGCTCTCTGCAGTCTGGATCTCCTGGGCTCAAGCGATCCTCCCACCTCAGCCTCTGGAGAAGCTGGGACTATAGACATGTGCCACCATGCCCAGTTAATATAGTTTTAAAATTTTTTGTAGAGACATGGTTTTGCCATGTTGCCCAGGTTGATCTTGAACTCCTGGCTCAAATGATCCACACGTCTTGGCCTCCCAAAGTGCGGAGATTATAGGGGTGAGCCACTGTGCTCAGCCTGAACATTTTATTCTATTTTATTTTTTGAGACGGAGTCTCGCTCTTTCGCCCAGGCTGGAGTGCAGTGGGGTGATCGCTGCTCACTGCAAGCTCCGCCTCCCAGGTTCACGCTATTCTTCTGCCTCAGCCTCCCGAGTAGCTGGGACTACAGGCGCCCGCCACCACACCTGGCTAATTTTTTTTATTTTTTAGTAGACACGGGGTTTCACCATGTTAGCCAGGATGGTCTCGATCTCCTGACCTCGTGATCTGCCTGCCTCAGCCTCCCAAAGTGCTGGGATTACAGGTGTGAGCCACCGCGCCCTGCAACATTTTATTTTTTAAAAAATTAAATTTAATAACTCATTGTAGTTGTTTTACATTTGTTTTTATAGTCACAGACATGTTTTTGTTTGTTTGATTTTTGAGATGGAGTCTTGCTCTGTCACCCAGGCTGGAGTGCAGTGGCGTGATCTTAGCTCACTGCAACCTCCGACTCCCTGGTTCAAGTGATTCTCCTGCCTCAGCCTCCCAAGTTGCTGGGATTTACAGGCATGTGCCACCACACCCAGCTAATTTTTGTATTTTTTTTTTTAGTAGAGATGGGGTTTCACCATGTTGGCCAGTACGGTCTCTATTTCCTGACCTCATAATCTGCCCACCTCGGCCTCCCAAAGTGCTGAGATTAAGGCGTGAGCCGCCATGCCCAGCCACAGATATGTTTTTTGATGAGATGCCAAACAATCCAATAGGAAAATAAGTTTTTAAAAATAAATGATGGGGGTTGGGCATGGTGGCTCACGCCTGTAGTCCCAGCACTTTGGGAGGCCAAGGCGGGCAGATCACTAGAGATCAGGAGTTCGAGACCAGCCTGGTCAACATGGCGAAACCCCGTTTCTACTAACAATACAAAAAAAATTAGCTGGGCGTGGTGGCATGCACCTGTAGTCCCAGCTACTTGGGAGGCTGAGGCAGGAGAATTGCTTGAACGTGGGAGGCAGAGGTTGCAGTGAGCCAAGATCGGGCCACTGCACTCTAGCCTGGGCGACAGAGTGAAACCGTCTCAAAAAAATAAAAATAAAATAAATAAATAAATGATGGGGCTGAGGCAGTGGCTCATGTCTGTAATCCCAGCACTTTGGGAGCTCAGGGAGGAAGGATCCCTTGAACCCAGGAGTTTAAGGTCAGCCTGGGCCACATAGTGAGACCTTGTCTCTACAAAAAAACAAAAAGTAGCCAGTTGTGGTAGACTCTGCCTGTGGTCCCAACTACATGGGAGGTGGAGGTGGGAGGATCACTTGAGCCCAGGAGCTGGAGGCTCAGTGAGCTATGACCATGCCACTGCACTCCGGCCTAGGTGACATAGTGAGACCCTATAAGAAGAGCAGGGCAGGGAAGAAGGGCAGGGCAGGGAAGAAGGGCAGGGCAGGGCAGGGGGGAAGGGAAGAGGGAAGGGAAGGGAAGGGAAGAGGGAAGGGAAAAGGGAAGGGAAGAGAAGGGGAGGGAAGGGAAAAGGGAAGGGAAGAGAAGGGGAGGGAAGGGAAGAGGGGAGGGAAGGGAAGGGAAGGGAAGGGAAGGGAAGAGAGCCAAGAAGAGGAGAGAGGAGAGGGAAGAGGGGAAGGAAGGGGAGGGGAGGGGAGGGGAGGGAAGGGAAGGGAAGGGAAGGGTAGGGAAGGGAAGGGAAGGGAAGGGGAGAAGGAAAGGAGAGAGGAGAGGAGAAAGACAAATCATGGACTGAGTAGAAATATTTCCAAACACATGTGCAAAGGACTGGTATGTAAGATATACACAGAACAACCACAGCTGGACGCAGTGGCTCGCACCTGTGATCCCAGCACTTTGGGAGACAGAGGCAGGCAGACTGCTTGAGCTCTAGGGGTTTGAGACCAGTCTGGGCAACATGGCAAAACCTGGTGATATGGTTTGAATTTGTGTCCCCACCCAAATCTCCTGTTGAATTGTAATCCCCAGTGTTGGAGGAAGTGATTGGATCATGGGGGTGGATTTCCCCCTTGCTATTCTTGTGATAGTGAGTTCTCATGAGATCTGGTTGTTTAAAGGTATGTAGCACCTCCTCCTTCACTGGCCATGTAAGACGTGCCTGCTTCCCCTTCACTTTCTGCCCTGATGGTAAGTTTCCTGAGGCCTCCCAAGCCATGCTTCCTGTACAGCTTGCAGAACTGTAAGTCAATTAAACCTCCTTTTTTTTTTTTTTTTTTTTTGAGACGCAGTCTCACTCTGTCACCAGGCTGGAGTGCAGTGGCGTGATCTCGGCTCACTGCAACCTCCACCTCCCAGGTTCGAGTGATTCTCCTGCCTCAGCCTCCCGAGTAGCTGGGACTACAGGTGTGTGCCACCACGCCTGGGTAATTTTTGTATTTTTAGTAGAGACGGGGTTTCACCATGTTGGCCAGGATGGTCTCAATCTCTTGACCTTGTGATCCGCCCGCCTTGGCCTCCCAAGGTGCTGGGATTAAGGGTGTGAGTCACTGCACCCGGCCTAAACCTCTTTTCTTTATAAATTATCCAGTCTCAGGCTGGGCACAGTGGCTCATGCCTGTAATCCCAACACTTTGGGAGGCCTAGGCGGGCCGATCACCTGAGGTCGGGAGTTCGAGACCAGCCTGACCAACATGGAGAAACCCCGTCTCTACTACAAATACAAAAATTACCTGGGCATGGTGGCGCATGCCTGTAATCTCAGCTACCCGGGAGGCTGAGGCAGGAGAACTGCTTGAACCTAGGAGGCGGAGGTTGCGGTGAGCCGAGATCACGCCATTGCACTCCAGCCTGGGCAACAAGGGCAAAACTCCATCCCTAAATAAATAAATAAATAAATAACCCAGTCTGAGGTAGTTATTTATAGCAACATGAGAACAGACTAATACACCCCTTCTCTACAAAAAAAAAAAAAAATGACAACAGGCTGGGCACGGTGGCTCATGCCTGTAATCTTGGCACTTTGGGAGGCGAATGCAGGAGGATCACTTGAGCTCAGGAGTTTGAGACCAGCCTGGGCAATATAAGGAGACCTCATTTCTACAAAAATTAAAGAATGAGGCAGGTGTGTTGGCGCATGCCTGTAGTCCTAGTACTTGGGAGGCTGAGGTGGGAGGATCACTTGAGCCTAGGAAGTTGAGGCTGCAGTGAGTTGTGATTGCACCACTGCACTCTAGCCTGGACAACAGAGCGAGACCCTGTCTCAAAAAAAGAAAAAAAAATGACTACAATCAAAATTTTTTTTTTTTGAGATGGAGTCTCACTCTGTTGCCCAGGCTGGAGTGCAGTGGCGAAATCTCGGCTCACTGCAAGCTCCGACTCCCAGGTTCATGCCATTCTCCTGCCTCAGCCTCCCACGTAGCTGGGACTACAGGTACCTGCCACCACGCCCGGCTAATTTTTTTGTATTTTTAGTAGAGACGGGGTTTCACCATGTTGGCCAGGCTGATCTCAAACTCCTGACCTCAAGTGATCCGCCTGCCTCAGCCTCTCAAAGTGCTGGAATTACAAGCATGAGCCACTGCGCCTGGCCCAATTTCTCCATTTCAATAAGAGTCTGGTATAAGCCTTTCAAAACTCAGCAAACATACACTTAAGATTTTTGTGAATTTCACTGTATGTAAATTTTACAGCAAAAGAATAAACTTTAAATATTGAATTCTAGTTAATAACATACATTGTGAAGCTTTTAGCAAGAGTGCTCTGATGTCTATAATTTGCTTTGAAATGTACCAAAAAGGAGATGAATAAATGGGTGGAGAGAGGGATGGAAAGATAAACTGATATGTGAAGAGCCCAGCAGAGTAAAAAATTAAGAGTAGGCCGGTGCAGTGGCCCATGCCTGTAATCTCAGCACTTTAAGAGGCAGAGATAGGCGGATCGGTTGAGCCCAGGGGTTCGAGACCAGCCTGGGCAACATGGTAAAACCCCGCGTGTGGTGGTGCATGCCTGTAGTCCCAGCTATTTGGGAGGCTGAGATGGGAGGATCACTCGAGCCCAGGAGGTTGAGGCTACAATGAGCTGTGATCACCAGCCTCGGCAACAGAGTGAGACCCTGTCTCAAAAAAAAAAGTTAAAGGTAGAAACTAGGTGGAGGCTATACCAGTGCTCACTGTAAAACTCTTCCAACTTTAGCTGTATGTTTGAATTTTTTTATAGTAAAATGTTAAAAAAAAAAAGTAACATTGAATGTATTTGTTTTTAGAGTTTTAATTTTGGCAAGAGACACTATTGATGAGATTTTTTCATTTACAGTTGTCATATAGTTTCCTTTTAAAAGTAATTCATTTAAATAAAAAAGGGGCTCTATTTAAGAAAAGAGACTAAGTAAATATCAGAATAAATGGTCACAGATCCCACAGTGCTCATGAAGGTAATGAGTGAACAGGCTAAGTCTGGGAGGATGAGTAGGGTGTTGGGAACAACGCAATCTCTAGGGCAACCTGGGTTTAAATTTCAGCCCTGCTGCCTCCTAGCGGTGTGACCTTGGACAAGCCTCATGTAGGAAATGGGATGATATAATCTCCGAAGGGAGGTTTGTGAGTATGAATGAGAGAACCCAGGGAGAGTGTAGTTTGGAGGCCTCAGTAAGCGGCACCTCCCTCGCACTGAGGGGAGAAAGGCAGAGGACATTCCCATCTGGGAAAACAGTTTGAAGAATACAACTGGAGCAGGGAGTATATGTGTGTGCACTGGGGCTAGGCAGTGGGAGAGAGTCAAAGAAGGCCCACCAGATTGAATGGGGAGTAAGGAAGCAGAGAGAGCCAGTACTGAGCACCCACACAGTTACTTAGGATGGCCAACTATTTCTGCTTCTCCAGGACATCCTCCTCATGAGAAATGTAATGCCCGCCCTCAGTGGGGGTGGATGGATCTTGGAGCCCCAGGCTCCAGGACTATGTGATGCAGCTTCTATTTCCTGGAGCACGCCTGGGTTTGGGAGTTTGCTTCTTTTAACATCCCAGGTCTTCCAGAGGCCTGGGCAGAGAACCAAGAACTCTCCACTTTGCACAAGAGAGACAGATCTAATTCATTAAAACTCTTCTCCCCAGCCACAGGGCATCCAGCCACCTGGAAAGCTGGCACTAATCCTTCAGGCACACTGAACTTGGGAGGGGAAAAAAAATCTCTCATCACAGCGGGAGGCCCAGGAGGCCTCTGACTCCTGCACCCGTACAGCTCTCACTGTTAGAAAGGTTTACTCTGAGTTCTGAAATCAGATGGATCCATCAATTGATTTTATTTTTACTTTTTTTTTTTGAGATGGAGCCTCACTCTGTTGCCTGCCCAGGCTGGAGTGTAGTGGTGCAATCTTGACTTACTGCAACCTCTGCCTCCCAGGTTCAAGCCATTCTCCTGCCTCAGCCTCCCCAGTAGCTGGGACTACAGGCATATACCACCATGCCCGGCTTTTTGTATTTTTAGTAGAGACGTGGTTTCACCATGTTGGCCAGGCTGGTCTCGAACCCCTGGCCTGAAGCAATCTGCCCGCCTTGGCCTCCCGAAGTGCTGGGATTACAGGCATGAACCATACTCGTTTCTTAAATAATTAGGAGCACCCTCTATATGCCAAGGGCTATGCTAGGCACCAGGATATAAAGTGAACAAAAGAAAGATCTAGTCCTTGTCTTCATGGGGCTTAAAATTCTCGTGGGGAGATAAGCATCCATGGGAGAACCACCATATGGATTTAAAATGGAGGCCGGGGCTGGGCGCGGTGGTTCACACCCATAATCCCAGCACTTTGGGAGGCCGAAGTGGGTGGATCACGAGGTCAGGAGATCGAGATCATCCTGGCTAACACGGTGAAACTCCATCTCTACTAAAAATACAAAAAATTAGTTGGGCGTGGTGGCGGGCGACTGTAGTCCCAGCTATTTGGGAGGCTGAGGCAGGAGAATGGCATGCACCCGGGAGGCGGAGCTTGCAGTGAGCCGAGATCGTGCCACTGCACTCCAGCCTGGGTGACAGAGCAAGACTCCATCTCAAAAAAAAAAAAAAAAAAAATGGAAGCCGGGTGTGGTGGCTCACATCTGTAATCCCAGCACTTTGGGAAGCCGAGGCAGGTGGATCGCCTGAGCTCAGGAGTGTGAGACCACCCTAGGCAACATGGTGAAATCCTGTCTCTACTAAAATACAAAAAATTAGCTGGGCGTGGTTGTGGCATCTGTAGTCCTAGCTACTTGGGAGGCTGAGGCACGAGAATCGCTTGAGCCTGGGAGGCGGAGGTTGCAGTGAGCCGAGATTGCACCACTGCACTCCAGCCTGGGTGACAGAGCCAGACTCCATCTCAAAAGTAAATAAATAAATAAATAAACAAACAAATAAATAAATAAAATGGAGAAGTTAGGCCGGGTGCGGTAGCTCATGCCTATAAGCCTGGCATTTTGGGAGGCCAAGGTAGGAGGATCGGTTGAGCCCAGGAGTTCAAGACCAGCCTGGGCAACATAGTGAGACCTCTATCTCTACAAATAAAAAAATAAATAAATTAGCCTACTTGGGAGGCTGAGGTGGGAGGATCCCTTGAGTCTGGGAAGTCAAGGTTGCAGTGGGCCACTGTAGGTCGTGTTAAGAATTTTCATTTTCTTAACAGCAATGAGCAGCCATAGAAGGGTTTTAAGGAAGTGGAAGACATGTTCAGACCAGCGTATTGAAATACATGTGACTCTTGAACAGTAAGTTTGAACTGCATGCGTCCACTTATATACCAATTTTTCTTTTGTTTTTTTAGAGACACGGTCTCATTCTGTTGCACAGGCTGGGGTGCAGGGGTGTGATTATTGCTCACTGCAGGCTCAACCCATGGGGCTCAAGCAATCTGCTCACCTCAGCTTCCCAAGTAGCTGGGACCACAGGTGTGTGCCACCATGCCTAGCTCTTTTTTTTTTTTTTTTTTTTTTTTGAGACGGAGTCTCACTCTGACACCCAGGCTGCAGTGCAGTGGCATGATCTTGGCTCACTGCAAGCTCCGCCTCCCAGGTTCACGCCATTCTCCTGCCTCAGCCTCCTGAGTAGCTGGGACTACAGGCTCCCGCCACCACACCCAGCTAATTTTTTTTTTTTTTTTTTTAGTAAAGATGGGGTTTCACCGTGTTAGCCAGGATGGTCTCGATCTCCTGACCTCGTGATCCGCCCGCCTCGGCCTCCCAAAGTGCTGGGATTACAGGCGTGAGCCAACGCGCCTGGCCTTTTTTTTTTTTTTTTTGAGACAGAGTCTGCTCTATTTATTGCCCAGGCTGGAGTGCAATGGCGCGATCTCAGCTCACTGCAACCTCTGGCTCCTGAGTTCAAGCAATTCTCCTGCCTCAGCCTCCCGAGTAGCTAAGATTACAGGTGCATGCCACCATGCCTGGCTAATTTGTTGTATTTTTAGTAGAAACAGGGTTTCACCATGTTAGCCAGGATGGTCTCAAACTCCTGACCTCAGGTGATCCGCCCACCTCAGCCTCCCAAAGTGCTGGGATTACAGCCGTGAGCCACGGCAGCCGGCCATGCCTAGCTAATTTTTTAAAAAATATTTTTTGTAGAGACAGGGTCTCTCCATGTTGTCCAAGCTGATCTTGAACTCCTGGAATCAAGCAATCCTCCCACCTCAGCCTCCCAAAGTGCTCGGACTACAGGTGTGAGCCACTGCATCTGGCCCTATATACAGATTTTCTTTCACCTCTGTCAGCCCTGAGCTCCCATCTCGGCCTCCCAAAGTGCTGGGATTACAGATGTGAACGACTGTGGCTGGCTTATACACAGATTTTCTTCCACCTCTGTCACCCCTGAGACAATAAAACCAACCCATCCTCTTCCTCCACCTCCTCAGCCCACTCAATGTGAAGACAACAAAGATGAAGACTTTTATGATGATCCACTTCCACTTAATGAATAGTAAATGTATTTTTTCTTCTTTATGATGTTTTTAAGAGACAGAGTCTGACTCTGTTGTCTAGGCTGGAGTGCACTGGTGTGATCACAGCTCACTGTAGCCTCGACCTCCTGCCCCAGATCCCCAGTAGCTGGGACTACAAGGTGTGCCACCACACTTGGCTAATTTTTAACATTTTTTTTTTGTAGAGCTGGGGTCTCATGTTGTCCAGACTGGTCTCCAACTCCTGCCTTAGCCTCCCAAAGCTAATTACAGGTGTGAGATGCTGTGCCTGGCCTGATTTTCTTAATAGTATTTCTTTTCTCTAGCTAACTCTAAGAATACAGTATATAATACATATAACATAAAATACATGTTAATCGACTATGTTCTCAGTAAGGCTTCTGGTCAATAGTAGGCTATTAGTAAAGTTTTTGGAGAATCAAAAGGTATATGCAGATTTTCGACTATGCAGGGGTTGGCGCCCCAACTCCTGTGTTGTTCAAGGGTTAACTGCACACTCATTTGGGAGCTGCAGGCAAAGAACAGATTTGAGGGAATGCCAGATGATGAAGGCAGATCAGATGGCCATACCCATTGTCCATCAGAGAGATGAGAGTAGCTTTCACCACAGTGATGGTGCTAGAGATGGGAAGAAGTGATGGATTCAAGAACTATTTTGAAGCTAAGTCAACAGGCCTTGGATGATGGCCATGGAGGGAGAAGGAGCAGCTTAGGACAATTCCCAGCTTGAGCAACTGGATGACTGGTGATGCCATTCACTGAGGCTCTCAAGATGAGGGAGTTTTTGGTGAGTAGAACAGGGAGGGAGGGTAGCCTGGCTGAGTTTGAAGGGTTTTTCAGCCTCCTTCAAAGGAGGAGTCAAGTTGGCAGTTAGATATGCAAGCTGGAGCTTAGAGGAAGATGTGAGAACTGTCCACACATAGGTGGTGATGGGTACCCCGGTATGGGTGAGATCACTAGAGAGAGTATCCAGAGGAGAGAGGAGGCTCCTAGAAGAGCACTGTGAAGAACTACAAACAGAATGACTGGGAAGAGGACGGCGTGCCTCACAGAGGCAGAAGCATGGCTGGAGAGGCAGAAGGAAACAGAATCATGAAAATCAAGGGAAGGGGAGGTGTCCATAATTGGTTAGAGGCAAAGATAAAACTTCAATAAAGCCTGTTGGATTAGCAACATGGAAGTCACAGGTGACTTTAGTGAGAGATGCTTTCATAGCATAACGAGGTGGAAACATGGATAGATTAATATAAAGAATAAGTGAGATTTTAAGAAAGTAGAGACAAGTATAGTCAACCCCTTGAAGAAGCTGGATTACAAAGGGGAGGAAAGGAAAAGAAGAGTCAGCCGAGCGCGGTGGCTCACGCCTGTAATCCCAGCACTTTAGAAGGCCAAGGCAGGTGGATCACTTGAGGTCAGGAGTTTGAGACCAGCCTGGCCAACATGGTGAAACCCCGTCTCTACTAAAAATACAAAAATTAGCTGGGCGTGGTGGCACACGCCTGTAGTCCCAGCTACTCAGGAGGCTGGGGCAGGAAAATCGCTTGAACCCAGGAGGCGGAGGTTGCAGTGAGCCAAGATTGCACCACTGCACTCCAACCTGGGCAACACAGTGAGACTCTGTCTCAAAAAAAAAAAAAAAAAAAAAAAAGAAAGAAAGAAAAAGGAGAGTCACTGGACTTGACAAAGAAGCCAGGGCTTGGGAGTAGGATTGAGCCGAGTGGGACAGATGAGCATACAGGAGGCAGGCTGCTACTGACAGTGCAGAGCAAGGTAAGGGCAGAAGCCAAAGTTCCTGTGTCACAGAAGAATGGGTGTGCAGATGTGGGAAGGCAAGGGAGCTCCTCTCTGAGGGCTTCAATGTCCTCTGATGGAAGTCAGTGAGGTCGTCTGAGAATGGAGAGAAGGAAAAGTCACAGGTTTGAGTAATGGGTGGGAGGTTTGACCCAGTCATTGTGGAACATGAAAGAGCAGATTGGCCAAAGACATACAGCATGTGCAAAGGCCCTGCAGCAGGAGGAATTCTGCAAAGGGTGAGGTTGAAAGACTGACCATCTTAGAGGCTGGAGCACAGAAACTGAGTGCCTGGCCAAGATGAGGTCTGATATACTGAGATGTGCCAGCGATATCCTATGAGCCTGCTACACTGAGAGGTGCTAGGTGCTAATCAGGATCGAATAGACAATGATGAGGAAATGAATAAAGCATGAAATCCCCCTTGACTTAACACAGTAAAGGCTTCTCATTCACAAGCAGTTTGCAAGAGATTAGGTGGCCCTCCTCCTTCGTGTGCCACATTGTCTGGACGTGTGGTCTCTGGGATGTCTGCAGCAGGGTAACAGTGGGCTGCAACCACTCAAGATGTTTCCAAGGGCCAGGCCTGGAAGTGGCTTTCATTGCTTTCACTCACACTCTCTCTGCCGGACTCAGTCGCATAGCACCAGCCTTGTTATCAGGGCAGCTCCTTCTTTTTTTTTTTGAAACGGAGTCTCGCTCTGTTGCCCAGGCTGGAGTGCAGTGGCACGATCTCAGCTCACTGCAACCTCTGCCTCCCGGGTTCAAGCAATTCTCCTGCCTCAGCCTCCCGAGTAGCTGGGATTACAGGCGTCCACCACCACATGTGGCTAATTTTTTACATTTTTGGTAGAGACGGGGTTTCACCATGTTGGCCGGGCTAGTCTAGAACTCCTGACCTCAAGTGATCTGTCCGCCTCGGCCTCCCAAAGTGCTGGGATTACAGATATTAGCCACCGCACCTGGCCCGGAGAGTCTGCTTCCCACATGCTCAGGGCATTTCCTGGATGCTATAGGAAATGGTCTTTCTATATGCTCAGGGAGATCAAATGGTGTGGCGGGTGGATACCATCATCTCTGCCACGATCCACCGTTCTGTTTGCCAAACCAAGTTTTTCTTTTCACTCAGGGAACACACCCTCTTCCCAAGGGACCCAAAGTCCTATCTAGTCCCGATATCTGGCTCAAAGCCCAGGGTCTCTGGTGATGTGCAGTAGTCACTTCTCATCCAATGTGGCTCTTCTCAGTCCAGTAAGCCATGACCAAAAAGACAAGCAAGTTGCTCCCCTAACCCTGTGCCACACAGTGGTGGAGCAGGGACAGGACTCAGGGGTACCCGTTCATTACACCCCGGTGCTGCTTGCCGGGAGACACTCTCCTTATCCACTCTCCACATTGGCCCTGGCTCTTCTCTCTGGGAGATTCCTCCTTTTCCATCATCCTCTCTGGCTACAGCTGAAATGAGAGTGGCAGAGCCTGCCCTCTCTGGGGGCTGAGCACCGTCCCTCCTGCTCATGGATGATTGGAGGCCCAAAGGTTGTTTTATAGCTGGAACTGTCCAAAGGGCTGGCTCCCGGTTCCTTGGCAATACAATTCTTTACATAGTTAGTGTCTAACCTACTTGCCCTGGTCAGCTTTGTGGGCCAGTGGCCACGCTCACGCACGTGCCAAGTCTTTTCCTAGATCCAGTTCTTAGGTCTAATATGTTTTGCCTGTTCATCCTCCATGTCTCTCCCTTTCTACTCAATGGCTAGCTTGAGGCTATTTGGAACAATAAATAGGAGGCCCACCTTTAACCTGATGCTTGTCCTGAGTAACTGCATCCAAGAGAAAAGTTTTACCAGGCTTTTCTTGCCCAGATGAGTCTTATATCTCATCTCTTCCTATTTGGGGTGTAGCAGATTTTCCAACCCTGAAAGACCGTGGGTTTCTGTACTTTATTTCCTTTCATTACTGCTCAAACACCAGGTAATCCTCGCCTGAGCTCATCCCTTCCTTATAAATCCTCAACAAATACAGCCTACAGTAGCCAAGAGAGATGACAAGTTTTCTGCTTTCCAACTGCGTTGCCTTTGGCTGTCAGCCTGGAAAGCACATGGGATACCCTCCCAAGCTACAGTGGGCTGTAGTTTTATCAAACATTTTGCTAATGCATAACACAGACCTCCAACTTTCCAAGGGTCCTATATCAGTTTGTTTGCTAAGTGCTAAGCCACTGTCACCATAGGTGAGTAACTCAGTCCCTCTGGGCCTGTTTCCTCTTTGGCAAAATGAAGACAACAATACAAGCAACTTCATCAGACTGCTATGGAATTCAGCAGGACAAGCCATGTATGGTGTTAGCCTAATGTCTGCTCTGGAATAAGTGCTCAGTAAATGTTATTGCTGCTGTTCAAATAGATCAGTAGGAATCATGTGTGTTCATAGGCGATTGCTATACTAAGTTCACAAGAATCTGATCTATACTAAGCAGCTGCCTTTTTAAAAATTCAAGGGCCGGGCACGGTGGCCCACGCCTGTAATCCCAGCACTTTGAGAGGCCGAAGCGGGTGGTAAAGTCAGGAGTTTGAGACCAGCCTGGCCAACATGGTGACACCCCATCTCTATTAAAAATACAAAAATTAGCCGGGCGTGGAGGTGCATGCCTGTAATCCCAGCTACTCAGGAGGCTGAGGCCGGAGAATCACTTGAATCCATGAGGCAGAGGTTGCAGTGAGCCGAGATCACACCATTGCACTCTAGCCTGGGCAATAAACAGAGCAGACTCCATCTCAAAAAACAAAACAAAACAAAACAAAAAAACAAATGAGAGATTGACCCATCCAAGGGACAGGATGCTCATTCATGCTGGCCAGTCAGTGATTTTTCTCCCTATAAAGCAAATCTACATGGACAAGCCCTGTTGCCATCTGTATCTGTTATCAATTGCTACAATAATGCTGCATAACAAATGACCCCAAAACTTGATAACTTAAAATAATAAGCATTTCCTTAGCTTAAAAGTCTGCGGGTTCACAATTTGGACTGGGCTTGGCCGGGTAATTCTTCTGGTCTTGACTGGGCTCACTTAACTGTCAGCTGACTTTGGCTGAGGCAACTGGGGTGACTGGGACACACATCTCATCCTCCAGAAGTCTACCATGGGCAGGTTCTCACGTGGTGGCAGGGGTACAAGAGCTAAAGGGGAAGTGCTTTCTAAGGCTGTGCTTGCTTCACAATGACTGATATCTCATTGACCAAAGCAATGAGTTGACCCCAGCGTCTGGGCAGAAAGCCCTAAAAGCTACATGGCAAACAGCATGGACACAGGGTAAGAATCTACCAGACAGACCTGGCTCAGTGGCTCATGCCTGTAATCCCAGTGCTTTGGGAGGCTGAGGTGAGAGGATCGCTTGAAGCCAGGAGTTCCAGACCAGTCTGGGCAACACAGCAAGACCCTGTCTCTACAAAACTTTTTTTTTTTTTTTTGAGACGGAGTCTCTCGCCCAGGCTGGAGTGCAATGGTATGATCTCGGCTCACTACAACCCCCGCCTCCCGGGTTCAAGGGATTCTCCTGCCTCAGCCTCCTGAGTAGCTGGGATTACAGGCACGTGCCACCACGCCCGGCTAATTTTTTGTATCTTTAGTAAAGACGGGGGTTTCACCATGTTGTCCAGGCTGGTTCGAACTACTGACCTCTTGATCTGCCCACCCCGGCCTCCCAAAGTGCTGGGATTACAGGCGTGAGCCACTGCACCTGGCCCAAAATAAACTTTTTTTAAAAAATTAGCTGGGTGTGGTGGCATGCGCCTGTAGTCCCAGCTTCTCAGGAGGCTGAGACAGGAGAATGCCTCGAGCCCAAGAGTCAATCACACCACTGCACCCCAGCCTGGGTGGCAGAGTGAGACCCTGTCTCTATAAAAAGGAAATCTACCAGACAATCGTAACTGATTGCTGAGGGTGAATTCAGAACAAAAGAAGTTATTTCTATATTAAAAGTAGGTGTCTCAGAGCTCAGTGGCCTGGTGTCCTCATCCCTGCTGTGAGGATAGACCTGGCATACAAGGCTAGATGTCCTGCTGCCTGCTCTCACAGGGTCAGTGCCTGAGGCCCATAGACAGATCCTTTCGTGCCTTCCATTCACTTATCCCTTCTTCAGAGGACCTCTGCGGCACGAGCTCCATCTCATTGATCTCCGCGTCTTCTGTGTCTGGCACTGGGTGTAGCACATTGTGCTATGCTAGTGCAGACAACTTCTGCTTGGCAATCAATGAAATAAAGCACCAAGAACAGTGAGCTCCTCAAGGACAGACAAGATGCATTCTTCTCTATCCCCAGCATTTAGTGAAGACCATGACAGTGTTTTTCCAATTAGCTTTCTCTTTTTTTTTTTTTTTTGAGACGCAGTTTCACTCGTTGCCCAGGCTGGAGTGCAATGGCGCGATCTCGGCTCACTGCAACCTCCACCTCTCGGGTTCTAGTGCTTCTCCTGCCTCAGCCTCCTTAGTAGCTGGGATTACAGGCACGTGCCACCACACCCGGCTAATTTTTTTTGTATTTTTAGTAGAGACGGGGTTTCACCATGTTGGCCAGGCTGATCTTGAACGCCTGACCTCAGATGATCCACTCACCTTGGACTCCCAAAGTGCTGGGATTACAGGCATGGGCCACTGCACCCGGTCTCCAGTTAGATTTCTAGGCATCACTTCTCCTATTTGGACCAAGACAACTACCTGTTTCTGCTTCTGCTGCAAACAGTATCTAATACACCATCTATGAAAACCTTCTCACTTCTGCATGACTCCGCTGAGATGGGAGCCCAGAGAAACAGGTGAGTGAGGGTCCTGCTCACAGAGGGCCTGGCCTCAGAGCCTTGGGCCTTAGGAGGAACCAGCACTAGTTTGTCAGCAAAGGCACTGGAGCCAGTGGGTGCGATAGAGGTTGTGCAACTCATCTTGGGACCCTGGAATGAGTTCTATGTGGGCTTCCTAACAGGCACATCCAACTCTCAGAGGCAGCCTCCCACTTGGATACAAAGGACAGCCAGTGATGGGACGGCCCAGAAAGCATAAGAGCTCATCTCTGCTGCTCAGGGTAAGGAGAAAACGCTTGAAGCTGGGTAGAACTTGAGCCCTTCCCTCTGGCTCCCCTCCAAATCCACAGGAAGTCTCTGAACTCCAAGCTCTCACCTGGAGAGCTAGGCTGCACATGTCCTCCTTGGAAGGCTCAGATGGTTAAGTCTAGAGCTGCTGAGGCTGTGACATATGAGTCATGGTCCCCAGGTCCTATAGGGAACCAAGAGAGGGTGGCCCAATCTGTGCAAAGTTGTCCACACCAGCAGTCTGCCATGGACCAAGACAAGATTCAGGATGAGAGGTCGTTAGAAGAGAGATGATGATGCTTTTCATGTTTTGAGGCAGGGTAGCACATGGTACCTAAGTGCAAGGGCCCTGGGGCCCACTGCCTGGCTTCAAACCCTAGCCCAACCGCTTCCTATCTGTGACTTTGAGCTAGCAACTTTATCTCACCGAGCCTCACTTTCCTCATCTCTAAGACGGGAATAATCATTGCACCTATCTCACGGTATTGTGGGATGAAATGACGTAAAGCACTCAGCAGCACTGGGTACACAACAAGCCGAACTATTAGATGTTACTACCAAGTATTACTGAGGGTACAGGGGCTGTACTAAGCTCTCCAGGGGCAGGACTTTATTCAGTCCTTATACCCACACTGTGAGGTCGGGTTCCTTTTCTTTCCTTTCCACAGATGAGAAACAGAAGCTTGGAGAGGTTAAATAATGTGTTTCAGGTCACCCAGCTAATCAATGGGAGCTCCAGGATTCTAGGTTAGGCCTGATTCCTAAACAGCTCCCCTTAACTACTCTGTTCTATTTCCCCTAAACACGTGTTCCAGGGCATCACCAGAGGAGAATATTTTATTAAATATTAGCCAAATCACCTGAATCCACTGAGAAACAGAATGTACATCTTAACGTTCTCACTTGCTGAAAGTTCCATGCTGTGATGTGTTGTTACAGAAAATGATATATCCACCCTCCCCCACTTTTTTCCTTTTATACTCTAATCTCATGACAGATTATACAATCCCCTTCTTAAAGAAACATTCTCCTTTTTGAAAGGAATATTTGGCACTTTGGGAGGCTGAGGCAGGCGGATCACATGAGGCCTGTAGTTCGAGACCAGTCTGTCCAACATGGTGAAACTCCGTCTCTACTAAAAACACAAAAATTGGCCAGGCATGGTAGCGTGCACCTGTAATCCCAGCTACTAGGGTGGCTGAGGCATGGAATCGCTTGAACCCAGGCAGAGCTTGCAGTGAGGGGAGATCCTGCCACTGCACTCCAGCCTGGGTGACAGTGAGACCCTGTCTCAAAAAAAAAAAAAAAAAAAGGAGTATCTGGGGTCTGAGATCCGGGATCCAACAAAAGGCTTTTAACTCTTCTTTTGCAGCTATAGGTGATGATAAATCTACCCATCTCCTTTAAAGACTGATGTTGTCCTGGATAGCTTAAACTTTCTACCACCCCTCTAACAAACTGCTAACAACACTTGTTTCTTAAGCCACAAAAAGTACTGCTGGCCTGAAGCCACCTATCCCACCAATGCCATCTTCCCTGACAGGAAAATTCGAACACCACTCCTCATTCCCAGAGGGTTCACTGGGAAACTGAGGTGTCAGGAGTTAGTTTCACTGGGTACTGATCAGTGTCATCAACTTGATAGCTGCGGGATGGTGAGTCCACTGTCCTCAGATACTACAGAACATACTATTAAGTGGGGCTGTCAGCTCAAAAATCTCACAGACCTGCTTGCCATCTACAGCTGTTTAGCTTATCATTAAACCTTCCTCTCTTTGTCTAGCCACAAATAGCTGCAGATGGACTGAAGGATAAATGAGAGACCCCAACTATCCCATCGGAATCTTTTCCCAGTGATGTTTAAAAATATGAACCAGGTCTGTATTGGTGCCACCCTGGCTGGAGCAGAAGACATACCAGATGACCTCCAGATAACACTCAAAGCCAGTAAGAGTGCTTCTACAATGACCCCCAAAAGACACACTCTGTCTAAGGCACAGAAAGCTCCAGCACAAGGTGTTTGGCTTATGGATTTTTAAGACTTAGGATGATTAAAAGGAAACGATGGAAAGAGAACAGCCTTTCCTGACCCAATTTAAGGTGTCACGTGGAGAGCCTGTGCAGGACTCACAAGACCACTTGAGTCGGTCAGGACAGGGCCAGACGCTCATATGCCCCACACAGGCTCTGAATGAGGTCAGTAAGCAGGGATGTGTCAAAGTAAAAGGAATGAGTCTAGCTTCTGTGCATTAGCGATCCTTCGGGGGCTGCTGGCCCTTGCTATATGTTTATTAATTCCTAAAAAAATGCACTGTGGCCGGCCTAGTTTTACTTAATGCCTAATAAAGGGAAAAACTGTTTACATAGCATCCCTGGGCCTGACAACTGAGCAGGTGAACTTAGCAAGATCCTTCACTTTCAAAGATGACACAATCCAGCAGCCTGGGAGGAAAACAATTCCTCTAGAAGCATGCCATTCCCAGGTGAAAGCGGCAGCAATTGAACATTGTGTTAAATAAGACAAAATCAGGATAAGAAGGGATCAAACCCGAGGGGGAGAAAAGTTCCAACTACATCCTTGGCTACTGGGGTTTGTTGCATAACGTGCAAAGGATAAATGGGTAAGTCACCGCCCAATTCATGTGCACTTCGTACAGTCCAGATCTATGTCTATATATAAACTCCCGGCCTGCTTAACATTCTCCCCAGGGTACATAAATGCAGCCCGAGAGAATAGCCAGAGTCTTCAGCAAGCTCCCAGGGAGACGTCTCCTTCCTCGCCTGCCCTGCTTCTGCGAGTCTCACTTCCATTCCTTGCTTAGGGGAGAGTGCTAGATTTTTCCATCAAAGGTCTTGTCACCAGGGTCTGTTTTCTCTCTCGTCTTCACTGGGAGGTAAGACATTCTGTGGTTCTATTAATAGGCTCAGCTTTCTGACCTGCAGATGAGAAACCCTGGATGTAGCTATGGTGACCTCATTGATATGCCAGGCAATTTGTGTTAGGGACAGGTTTTAAGTCTCAGACTGAGGCTATGACTAAATGCTGACATTCATATCTAGAGTACATACTGTGCAAGTTACCATGTAAGAGCTTTGTGTGTTTCATCTCATCAACTAGCTGAGACAGGAAGCATTGTCATCCCCATTTTATAGATGAGGCAACTGAGGCTCAGGTCAATTCATGTATCCAGCAGGTAAGCAGCAGAGCCAGGATTTAAATGTGTAACCAGTGCACTGCGCTGCTTCCTCACAGAAGCTTCACTGGGTGATCAAGTTCAGATCTACTCACTTGGCGAAGCACCTGGCAGATTCCTACCCACCATGTAACACAGAGGTCATGTCTCAGAACTGTCACATCTATTTGCCACAGCTTTCCCAAACAGAGACTTCTATTAAATTTCCAGCAGTAAGGCAGTGTGTTCTAGTAGAAAGTTCAAGAGCTTTGGAGGCAGACTGAGCTATACTAAATTCTGCTTTTTCGACTCAATAGCTACCTGACCTTGGACAAATTACTTCCTCTCTCTGAGCCCACTTTCTTATGTATAAAATACAGGTAACACCACTAGTCTAGAGTGCTGTGAGGCTTAACTGTGATTACGTAAAGGCTAGATCTCTTCCCTTCCCTCCTGAGCCACCAGGGATACTGAAGAGCAGGCAGGAACCATGAGGTGGCTCTGTAGGAACCCTGGAGCTCAACAATGCTGGAAACATGTGCGTGTGTAGTCCCTGTGTGCGGCTCCTATAATCACCAACCACCTGCTCATCAAATCTGGCCGACCTTCTTCTAGTCAACACCTTTAGATGCACCTGGTCCAGTCTGGGTGACTGATTCTACTGCCTAGATTACAGCTCTGAGGGCAAAACCCCTCCAGGGAGGGCACCACTAGCAACACAGAAGTCACACAGCCCTAGAGCTTTTAAAAACACTTCTAACTAATTCATTCTAATATATTATTTCTTATGTATTATTATTTAGTCAACTAATTGTGAAGACTGTAGGAATGAGGGGGAAAGTTTTCTATAGTGCTACATGAAAATAAAACCTGTAATTGTGAACTTGTAAAACTCTATAAACATGACTATGGGTTATATGAAAATAGACAAAATTAAAATTAATTGTGAGGGCTGGGAAATTGTAAATTTCCTTTTTTCAGTATGCTTTAATAATTCTCTTTCAAATTACAAAGTGCACGTTTTAAAGAAAGCCCAATGATGAAGATGTTGACTCCTAAGCAGTGTGCCCACACCACTCCTGCCTGTGGCCCTCATTCTGCCTGCTGTGCCTTTGAAGGATTCAGCTCAGGAGGCTGGGATCAGCTTCCCTTCGCAGAAGGAGCCATACCAGGTTGGAAGTGGGGAGTTCCACTTCAACAAAGCCCTGGGCCACTGAGGGCGGGGAGCTGCAGGGAGGGCGGGAGGCTTTCCATACAGCACGCACAGCTGGCTGCCTCTTTTCTTTGAGTACACTTGGGCTGAGGCAATGAGCAAGCACAACTGCTTCGCCTGCAGTGCCCTCTCGTGGCAGACTTGCCTCTAGAGATAGCAGCCAGGCAAAGCCTGCATGCCAGCGCTGCTGACAAATCACTTTTGAGGCTCAGAGCTGAACAAAAAAGTATGAGAATGAGTCACATTGTGCATTTACATGTATGTCCTAGGAGAGGGTTATGTCCATCACTTGAGGCAGGACCAGTGGTCTGGGGTAGGGCAGCTGGGCATCTAAGAAGCCGGAAGCAAGGCTAACGTCCATCATAAGTAGTTACCATCCACAGACTGAACCCCCATGCCAGGCCGTGGAGCACAGCTCAACGTGGCTTTTCAAAGAGGTACTCAAGATCTGGGGCACGCAGTCTCTGCTCTTTGTTTTTGTTTTTAGCAAAGTCTCTCAGCAGGGCCATGACTTCATTTTCAAATATTTCTGGGGCTGGTTTAGCTTCTGCAAGAGAAGAGTGGGCAGAAAAAATTATGCCATAGTCAGTCAATGCTCAGGTATGAGAATCTTAAAACTCGAAACACTGGCCAAGAACCACAGATGGATATATAGACTGTCTCCATCCTTCTTCTAAATATACACGATGTTAGCCTATACCAGGGGGTGGCAAACTGTGTGAGCCTATATTTGCAAGTCGTTTTATTGGAACAGCTGCTCCCAATGGTTTACATATTACCCATGCTCCTTTTGTGTTATGACAGCAGAATTGGGTACTTGCAACAGAGACCATATGACTACAAGTAAAATACTTACTATCTGGTCCTTTATGAACAAGTTTGCTGACCCCTGGCCCGCACAATCTTGGCTGTACTATTTTGCTTTGCATTTGGCAATTCCATTGTTCCCCAGACATTGTGTTTTCCCTTGCAATGTATATATCTCTTGAAACAAAAGCTCTCTCCTTTGTCTATCAGTTAGAGGTCCTCAGTTTTAAGAGACAGAAACTAATAACTCTAGTAAACTTAAGCAAAAAGGAATTTATTGGAAGGATATTGGAGGCACACAGAACTGTCATGAGCCTAAAGAACCAGATTTCAGTGAACGGGCAACATAGGCACTGAGTCAGAAGAATGAGAAGGCCAGCCTCAGTCTACGGCAGTGGGTCTGGCAGTGTGCTGCTCCCCCTGACCTTTCTCTACACCCTTGGGACACTTATTTAAGATGCCAATTACAAGCAAAGCCTCCCACTGCCAAAGCCGAGGCAATGTGCTCCAGAATTACCCTTCCACCAACACTAGGTACGACGCCAGGAGAGAGAATTCCTCAAAACCAAGTCAGATTCTCCCTTACTCAGCACAGGGCCTGGCATCTAGTGAGGGCTCTGTTTTCATGTGACAATCAACATAAGATCAAAGAGGTTTTGGCTTCCCCCAAGAAAGTAGAAAGTTGGAAAGAATATTGCACTCACTGTAACAACAAGAAAAAGCCAGATAAATTACAAATATTATGACTTTTCTCAAAGATATCAGAGAACTGAGGTCACGAGGCAACCCAACAGACGAAACCTAAGGAAAAAGAGGCCCTTCAAAGGAGAAACGAGAGCCATGCACTTGCTCACCTGTGGCAGGCACAGGAAGAAGAGACACTGGACATCATACAAATGGGTAAAAGGAATTCAGCTAAAAAAATTTTTTTTTTTGTTTGAGACGAGTCTCACTCTGTCGCCCAGGCTGGAGTGCAGTGGTGCGATCTGGACTCACTGCAAGCTCCACCTCCTGGGCTCACGCCATTCTCCCGCCTCAGCCTCCCGAGTAGCTGGCACCACAGGCGCCCGCCACCACGCTCGGCTGATTTTTTGTAATTTTTTTTTTTTTAGTAGAGATGGGGTTTCACTGTGTTAGTCAGGCTGGTCTTGGTCTCCTGACCTTGTGATCCGCCCACCTCTGCCTCCCAAAGTGCTGGGATCACAGGCGTGAGCCACCACGCCCAGCCAAAAAAATTTGTTTTAAATTAATACAGACAGGGCCAGCCTTATGTTGCCCAGGGGAGACTGCAGTGGCTAGTCAGAGGTGCAATTCCACCACTGATCAGCACAGGAATTTCGACCTGTCCCATTTCCAGCGTGGGCTGGTTCACCCCTCCTTAGGGAATCGGGTGGTCCCCTGCTTCTGAGAGGTCAACATACTGTTGCCAACTTTACAGCAGACACCTGATTGGTATAGAGCACTGCAGCCAAGAATTCCTGGGCTCCAGCGATCCTGCTGCCTCAGCCTCCAGGGCAGCTGGGACTGCAGGCCTGTGCCACTAAAATTTGCAATGAATTGTTAAAAGCCAAGTGTGGGCTAGCATGAGTGTATAAAACCACAGACACAGGCTGGGCACAGTGGCTCACGCCTGTAATCCCAGCACTTTGGGAGGCCGAGGCGGGTGGATCACGAGGTCAGGAGATCAAGACCATCCTGGCTAAAACGGTGAAACCCCGTCTCTACTGAAAATACAAAAAATTAGCCGGGCGTGGTGGCGGGCGCCTGTAGTCCCAGCTACTCGGGATGCTGAGGCAGCAGAATGGCATGAACCCAAGAGGCAGAGCTTGCAGTGAGCCGATATCGCGCCACTGCCTCCAGTCTGGGTGACAGAGTGAGACTCCGTCTCAAAAAAAAAAAAAATTAGCCAGGTGTGGTGGCACGTGATTGTAGTCTCAGCTACTCAGGAGGCTGAGGCAGGAGAATCGCTTGAACCTGGGAGGTGGAGGTTGCAGTGAGCCGAGAGGGTGCCACTGCACTCCAGCCTGGGCGACAGAGCCAGCTTCCACTCTAAGCACACGTTAACGCTAGACACTAGTAATGCAATGAAGGTAACCAAAGCAAAAACAACCCAAGCTGAGCTTACCTCCCAACTCACTGACTTGATCCCCACACTAACAGTAAAGTAGAAGAAGCATCCCCAATTGTAAGCATAAATACAATTATGAGAAAATTACGAGACATATACACAAAAGAAGAAAAAAACAACACACTGTCAAGGGACAAAGAAATCAACAGAAGCAGACTGAGGGATGACCCAGATGTTAGAACTATCAGACAGGGAATTTAAAATGACTATGACTAATATTAAAGGCGCCAGTGGAAAAAGCAGACAAAATGTATGAACAGATGAGAAATTCTAGCAGAGTTGGAAACTCCAAAAGTCAAATGGAAATGCTAAAAACAAATACAGTAGCAGATATGCAGAATGGTTTCAACAGGCCCATCATGAGATTTGACATCATCAAGGAAAGAATTAGTGGAAGACAGGTCAATAGATATTATCTAATACAAATAACCCAAACTGATGCACAAAGAGAAAAAAGAATAAAAAACACAAAACAGAGAACCCAAAAGCTGTTGGACAGACTGAGCACAGTGGCTCACGCCTGTAATCCCAACACTTTAAGGGACTGAGGCAGACGGATCACTTGAGGCCAGGAGTTCAAGCCCAGCCTGGCCAACATGGTGAAACCCGTCTCTGTGAAAAATACAAAAAAATTAGCCAGGCATGGCGGCACGTGCCTGTGGTCCCAGTTGCTCAGGAGCCTGAGGCACAAGAATCGCTTGGACCCAGGAGGCAGAGGTTGTAGTGAGCCAAGATTGCGCCACTGCTCTCCAGCCTTGGTGACACAGCAAGACTGTCTCAAAAAAACAAAAAACAAAACCCCCACAACAGCTGTTGGACAATATTAAACCATTTAACTAAGTATAACTAGAATCCTAGAAGGAAAAGAGGGAGAAAACAAAGCAGAAGAAATAGCTGAAGGGGTAACAGCTGAGAATTTTTCAACAATAATAAAAGATATGAAAACACAGATCCAAGATGCCCAGAGAACCCAAAAGCACGATAAATATCAAATGCCTACATATATAAATATCAAATAAATACCTATGTATATAATATTGAAACGGCTAGAAACCAAAGACAAAATATTGAAAAGATTCAGAAAGAGAAGACACATAAAAAGGAACAAAGATACAGCAGACCTCGTCACAAACTATGGAAATGAGAAAACAGCACATGGTAACACCGGAGGGAATATGAAGCTGGTGATGCACTGAAGGTAACCAGAGCAAAACCAAAGTCCAAACCCAGCGGAACTCCTGACTACCCGATCTTGTACACTAAGAGCTGGCGGTAGAAGTGTTTCTATTTAACAGAAGAAAAAACATTGTGACCCTCGAATTCTATATCCAGTGAAAGTATCTTCCAAAATGGAAAATCTGGCCAGGCATGGTGGCTCACACCTGTAATCCCAGCACTTTGGGAGGCCGAGGCAGGTGGATTGCTTGAGCTCAGGAGTTTGAGACCAGTCTGGGCAACATGGCAAAACCTCATCTCCACAAAAAATACAACAACAACAAAAATTAGCTGGGCATGGTGCTGCCGGCCTGTAGTCCCAGCTATTCTGGAGGCTGAGGTGGGAGGATCGCTTGAGCCCAGGAGGTGGAGCCTGCACTGAGCCATGACTGCACCACTGCACTCCAGCCTGGGTGACAGAGTGAGATCCTGTCTCAAAAAAAAAAAAAAGGGAGGAGTGGTGGGGGGCGGAATTTGAAGAGACATGTCACCAAATATACATAAAGGGCTGATAAGCCCTTGAAAAGATCCTCAATATTATTAGTCATTAGGGACATGCCAATTAAAACTATAGTGATGTACCAATATATACTTCTTGGAATGGCTAAAAACAAAAACAAAACCCTGATAATACAAAGTGTGGGTAAAGATGTGGAACACCAACCCCTCCCTTCACATCCAACACCCTGGCAATCACTGATTTGTCCCTGTAAGTTTTGCCTTTTTCAGATTATCATGTAAACAGAATCACATTCTTGGAGTCCAATTATGTACTGAGTATGTACTTGTTGAGTCTGATCTTTTTTTTTTTTTTTTTGAGATGGAGCCTCGCTCTGTCACCCAGGCTGGAGTATAGTGGCATGATCTCGGCTTACTGCAACCTCCGACTCCCTGGTTTAAGAGATTCTCCTGCCCCAGCCTCCCAAGTAGCTGAGATTACAGGCGCCCACCACCACGCCCAGTATTTTTAGTAGAGACGGGGTTTCACCATGTTGGCCAAGATGGTCTCAATCTCCTGACCTCGTGATCCGCCCACCTCAGCCTACCAAAGTGCTGGGATTACAGGCGTGAGCCACCGCGTCTGGTTGAGTTTGACCTCTTTTGCTTAGCACAGAAGCTGGCAAACTATGCCCTGTGAGCTAAGAATGATTTTTAGAGATTGGGTCTCACTCTTGCCCAGGCTGAAATGCAGTGGCGTGATCATAGGTCATTGCAGTCTCTGAACTCCTGGGCTCAAGTGATCCTCCCAAGTAGCTGGGAATACAGTGTGCACCACCAAGCCCAGCTAACTTATTTTTATTTTTGGAGATAGGGGGTCTATGTTGCCCAGGCTGGTCCCAAACTCCTGGCCTCAAGAGATCCTTTGCCTCAGCCTTCCAAAGCGCTGGAATTATAGGTGTGAGCCACTGCATCCAGCCAAGAATGATTTTTTAATGGTTGGGGAAAAAAAATCAAATGTATATTTCATAACTGGTGAAAACAGTATGAAATTCTATTTTCAGTGTCCACAAATAAGGTTTTATTGAAACACAATCATATTCGTTTACCTGCTATCTGTGGCTGCTTTCATGCTACAAAGGTCGAGGTGAGTAGTTATGAGAGGCTGTATGGCCTGCAAAGCCTAAAATATTCATTATCTGTATTTACTATCTATATTTACCTATTATAGAAAAAGCTTACTATCTATATTTACCTATTACAGAAAAAATGTACTAAAAGTTTTATTTATTTATTTTTGAGACAGAGTCTCATTCTGTCACCCAGGCTGGAGTGCAGTGGCCCAATCTTGGCTCACTGCAACCTCCACCTCCCAGGTTTAAGCGATTCTCCTGACTCAGCCTCCCGAGTAGCTGGGACTACAGGAACCCGCCACCACACCCAGCTAATTTTTTGTCGTTTTAGTAGAAACGGGGTTTCACCGTGTTAGCCAGGAAGGTCTCGATCTCCTGGCCTCAGGTGATCCACCCGCCTCGACCTCCCAAAGTGCTGGGATTACAGGTGTTGACTCACCGCGCCCAGCCCTATTTATTTTTTTGAAAGAGTCTCACTCTGTCGCCCAGGTTGGAGCACAGTGGCGTGATCTTGGCTCACTGCAACCTCTGCCTCCCGGATTCAAGAGATTCTCTTGCCTCAGCCTCCAGAGTAGCTGGGCGCACCACCACACGCGGCTAACTTTTGCATTTTTAGTAGAGACGGGGTATTGTCATGCTGGCCAGGCTGGTCTCGAACTCCTGGCCTCAAGTGATCCACCTGCCTCGGCTTCCCAGAGGAGGAGCATGTGATCTCATGCTGAAATTACAGGCATGAGCTACCACACCTGGCCCTATTATAAAGTTAAACATATACACTTACCACATGACCCAGCAAATCCTTCTCCTGAGTATTCACTCAAGAAAAACTAAAACCTATGTTCACAAAATCTGTATGCAAATGTTTACAGTGGCTTCATTTATAATCACCTAAAGCTGGAAATAATCCTAATGTCCCTCAGCTGGTCAAAAGATGAACAGACCATGGTACATCCACACAATGGAATATTACTCAACACAAAAGAATGAACTATTGATACAAGTAACAACAAGGATACGCATCTCAAATGCATTATGCTAAGTCAGGGCAAACTTGTTCTGTAAAGGGTTGGAGAGTAAATATTTGGACTTTGTTGGCTTTCCAGTGATTGTATAAGGCTCCAGACTCTGTCTTATCACTCTTCATACCTGGAACCCATAGACAATGGCTGCTACTTTCTGATACAAATATTGAGTGGAGACACAAAAACAGCAGTCCCGGAGTGTGGCAGAATGAATGACACGTCCCCTAATATCCAGTTTTCATCGATAACAGAATCTCCAACACAGCTGGGCAGATGGAATAGACTATATTATTTTTCCTTATGGTTAGACGTAGCCAAGTAACTAAGCTGTGGCCAATGGCAAATAAGTGGAAGTATGCTGGATAATTTCCTGAGCGGGATCTACAAAGGAGGGGTATGCACTTCCACACACTTTTTCCGGGCTGAAATATGGCTGTCCTGGATCAAGAAGTAGAAAACACATGCTAGGATGAAAGAGCAGCAAGTAGGGGGGACCTGGACCCATGACTTTTTGAAGCCCCTCTATGAGCTCTGGAGTGTGCCTTCCTCTGGACTTCTGTCATGAGAAAGACAGTTCTACCTTGTTTAAGCCATTACTGTTTTGGATGTTTTTTTACTCATAGCCAAAGTTAATCCTAACTATACACAGTTAGAATTCATTCCTCATAAAGGTAGTGCCTGAATGAAACTTTTTTTTTTTTGAGACATAGTCTCACTCTTTTGCCCAGGATGGAGTGCAGTGGTGCAATCTCAGCTCACTGCAATCTCTGTCTCCCAGGCTCAAGCGATTCTCTTGCCTCAGCCTCCCAAGTAGCTGAGACTGCAGTTGTCCGCCACCATGTTCGGCTAATTTTTGAATTTTTGGAGAGATGAGGTTTCGCTGTGTTGGCCAGGCTGCTCTCAAGCTCCTAACCTCAAGCGATCCATCCGCCTCAGCCTCCCAAAGTGCTCAGATTAGAGGCATGAGCCACTGCGGCCGGCCAGAATGAAACTATTGAGGAGCTTTGGCTATGCAGACTTAGTTGTCTGATTCCACTCCATTCCCAGAGTGGTTCTTCTTCAACCTTTGATACTGTGAGCTTCATATACCCTTCCACTAAATTCCTTTTTGCTTAAGTGAGACAAACAAGTTTCCACTCTGTCTCGCAAATAAAGAACTTTAACTGATAAATTTTGTACACTTAACAAAAATTTGAACAGTGTTTGGGTTGAGTGTCTACTTCATGAATAAAAGAAAAAAATTATAAGCCAGGCACAGTGGCTCATGCCTGTAATCCCAGGATTTTGGGAGGCCGAGGCGGGCGGATCACCTGAGGTCAGGAGTTCGAGACTAGCCTGACCAACACAGAGAAACCCTGTCTCTATTAAAAATATAAAATTACCCGGGTGTGGTGACACATGCCTGTAATCCCAGGTACTCAGGAGGCTGAGGCTGGAGAATCGCTTGAACCTGGAAGGTAGAGGTTGCAGTGAGCCGAGATCATGCCATTGCACTCCAGCCTGGGCAACGAGAGTGAAACTCAGTCTCAAAAAAAAAAAAGAAAGAAAAAAATTATCTAGGATACAATTCTAGACTCAAATCAGCCTAAACTGTCCTATTTTCACATTATGCTGCTTATCATACCCAGTACCTGTGGCCCAGTAGTAAATATCCCAGTCATTACTAGGCTCGTTAATCAGGCGGTCATAGAGGTTCAGCTGCTTTTCTGTCATGTGCTGCAGATGTTCTTTAGCAAAAAGACTAAAAACAAGAAAGAAAAAAAGAAAAAGAGGTTGAGAAGGCTGTGTCTAATAAAAGAGAAGTGACACCAAGACTCCTACTCCTGGGAGTCTCTCTGAACCTACTCTGGCTCAGGAAGCTGCCCGATTTAAAAAAAAAGACTCCTAGTCCCATACCTAAGAAGAATGCAGTTTTCCAACATTCCCCTCTTTCTGCTCTCATAGAGCAGGCGGGCTCTTTTGGTTTCTATGGATTCATCAGTTCTCTCCTGCCATGGAGGCAAAGGGATTTCAATCATGTCCTTTTGGGAATCTGTTGGGCTGTCACCTCTGTAGAAGCGTCTGAATGATGTCACACTGAGCAAAGGAGACAATAGGCTGTGCCTTGACAGAGCAAGCATCTGAAATGAACAAACCACAAACATCTTTACAATAATGACGACTATCATCGCTATCATTTACTCAATGCTTACTAGGTGCTGAATGCATTCAATCACATTTAGTCATGAGGAAATTACACTGCTGGCCAGGCGTGGTGGCGCACACCTGTAATCCCAGCACTTTGGGAGGTCAACGCGAGCATGATTACTTGAGTTCAGGAGTTCGAGACCAGCCTGAGCAACATAGCGAGACCCTGTCTCTACCAAAAATACAAAAATTAGCCAGGCATAGTGGGGTAGTCCCACCATGGTGCCTGTGGTCCCAGCTACTCAGGAGGCTGAAGTGGGAAGATCATCTGAGCCTGGGAAGGTCAACGCTGCAGTGAGCTGTGATCGTACCACTGCATTCCAGCCTGGGCAACGGACCCTATCCCCCTGAAAAAAGAAAAGAAATTATGCTGATATTGTCCCCACTTTATAGCCAAGGAAACAGAGGCTCAGGAAGGTTCAATAACTCACCCAAAATCATCCAAATAGTAACTGCAATTAGAATTAAAACACAGTCCTAACTGCAAATGTGTCCCTAACCAGTGCCTTTCCAGAAACTATCCCAGCAGAAATAATTTTTCCTTCCTTTGCACTCCCTTAAAATTCTTACAGTGTGGTTTATACTCTACTCACTCACCTGTGTCAAATCCTGAGCACACAGAGACAGCATGATCCCTAATCCCCCAAAGGCTCCCAATCCAGAGAAGTTGACAACTTATCAAGATATGATGTCAAGGTGGTGACCTCAGCAAGAGGTGAAGATGGTGGAGTAGGAAACCCCAGATCCTCCTTCCCCGATGGAGACACTGAGCCAACAGCAACAAACAAACCAATTCCCTGTGAGAAATCCAGAAACCAGTAAGAGGCTCCTGCTCCCCAGGTGAGCACAAAACCAGCTGCATCGAATCCAGCAGAAAAATTTGTAGCACTCATTTGCCATAGTCTCTTCCCTCCCTGCTCAAGCATGATCATGAGATAACCCCCAGCTCCTAGCTTCTACCTGAGACAGAAAGAGAAGACTGAAAAGTATGTATAATGTTCGGACTTTTGGGGGGATCAGGTTTCTGTTTTGTTTGAATCTAAGTGCTAACAGAAAAGGGCAGCAGGTTGAGGGAGAACAAAGAACCATGGAGAACAAAGGTGACAGTTTAGACTGGCAAGCACTCACTCCCTCATCACTCATCCTTGGCTCAGTGCAGAACAAGCAGGAGAAAACTCCCACCTCCCAGCTTCTCCCTAGGGAGGGAAACAGGTGCAGTATGCATCCAACATTCTAGCTTTTTGGGGCTCTCTGGGGGACTGGTTTCTGTCTCTAAGCACTTGAAAGGATCTAGCACACTCTAAATGCCTGGGTGGCCTGCTGCTGATCCAGAGGATCCCTGAAACTGCAGAGAAAGGCCAATACAGCCCAGTGGCCTCTCCCAGGGTTGAGGGGAGTGGAGTGTGCATCTAATATTCTGACTTTTTTTTTTTTTGAGACGGAGTTTCGCTCTTGTTGCCCAGGCTAGAGTGCAATGGCGCGATCTCGGCTCACCACAACCTCCGCCTCCCAGGATCAAGCAATTCTCCTGCTTCAGCCTCCCGAGTAGCTGGGATTACAGGCATGCCCCACCACGCCCGTCTGATTTTGTATTTTTAGTAGAGACAGGGTTTCTCTATGTTGGTCAGGCTGGTCTCGAACTCCCGACCTCAGGTGATCTGCCTACCTTGGCCTCCCAAAGTGCTGGGATTACAGGCGTGAGCCACCACACCCAGTCGTAACATTCTGTCCTTTGGGGAAGCTACCAGAGGGACTGGTTTCTGTCTTGCCCAGCTTGGGGCACTGATGGGACATGGCATACTCTAAAAGTCTGGAGGCCACCGACAGCTGGGAGACTTGTAGCAGCTCCAGAGAAACTGCAGTATCATACGCAGACACTAGAGGGAGCAAGAGATTATGGGCTCCTGAAAAAGGAAACCGGCAAATCCCTCTAAATGGGAATTTACATCCGCAAGTCCAGAAAAGACACATCCTCAGTAAAGGATTGAGAGGCCCTTGGAATCTCTATCCATGCTGACTAGTGAAGGCCAATCACCAGTACAAAGACCAGGAGAGACAGATGATTTTTCAAATGTAGAAATCACCAGTACAAGTTACCAAGCACATGAATAAAGAGGAAAACATGGTCCTATTAAAGGAACGAAATACATCTCCAGAAACTAACCTTAAAGAAACAGAAGTATATGAATCACCTATAAAGAATTCAAACTAGCCATAATAAAGATGTTCAATGAGCTTTGGAACATTGAGAACTTGAACATTGAGCTTGAACAAAATGAGAAAACCAAAAAAAAGACAGAAAACATTAAAAAATAACCAAATGAAAATTTTGGAGCTGAAGAATACAGTAACTGAATTGAAAAATTCACTAGAGGAGGCCAGGCACGGTGGCTCATGTCTATAATCTTAGCACTTTGGGAGGCTGAGGCTGGAGGATCGCTTGAGCTCAGGAGTTCGAGAACCAGCCTGGGCAACACAGTGAGACCCCGTCTCTAAAAAATAAAAATACATAAAAATTAAAAAATTAGGCCCGGCGTGGTGGCTCATGCCTGTAATCCCAGCACTTTGGGAGGCCAAGGCGAGTGGATCAAGAGGTCAGGAGATCAAGACCACCCTGGCTAACAATGGTGAAACCCCGTCTCTACTAAAAATACAAAACATTAGCCGGGCATAGTGGCGGGCGCCTGTAGTCCCAGCTACCTGGGAGGCCTGAGGCAGAAGAATGGCGTGAACCCAGGTGGCGGAGCTTGCAGTGAGCTGAGATCGTGCCACTGCACTCCAGCCTGGGCAACAGAGCGAGACTCCGTCTCAAAAAAAAAAAAAAAATTAAAAAATTAAAATAAATTAAAAAATTCACTAGAGAAAATCAATAGTAGACCTGATCAAGCAGCAGAAAGAGTCAGCAAACTCAAAGACTGGTCATTTGAAATTAGTCAGGGTTTTTTCTAAAAAAAAAAAAAAAAAAAGGAATGAGAAGGAGTGAAGAAAGCCTTAGGGACTCCATCAAGGAGATCAATATACACATTATGAGAGTCGTATAAGAGAAAGACAGGGGCAGAAAGCTTATTAGAAGACATAATTGGCTGGTCTCAGTGGCTAATGCCTGTAATCCCAGCACTTTGGGAGGCTGAGGTGAACGGATCACCTGAGGTAAGGAGTTCAAGACCAGCCTGGCCAACATGGCGAAACCGTCTCTACTAAAAGTACAAAAAGTAGCCAAGCATGGTGGCGCGTGCCTGTAATCCCAGCTACTGGGGAGTCTGAGGCAGGAGAATTGCTTGAACCCAGGAGGCAGAGGTTGCAGTGAGCTGAGATTGTGCCATCGCACTCGTCTCAGTGATAGAGTGAGACTCCATCTCAAAAAAAAAGACATAATGGCTAAAAACCCCCAAAGTTGGGGAAAGAAGTGGACATCCAGATTCAAGCCTAACAGATCTCAATTAACATGAACCCAAAGAAGTCCATACTGCGACGTATTTTAATCAAACTGTCAAAAGTCAGAAAAAGCTGGGTGCAGTGGCATGACCCTATAGTCCCAGCTACCTGGGAGGCCGAGGTGGGAGGATTGCTTGAACCCAAGAGTTAAAGTACAACCTGAGCAACAAAGCAAGATCCTATGTCTTTAAAAAGTCACAAAAGAGACACCAAGGATGTGCATGCACAGAGAAATGTGAGGACACAGTGAAAAGGTGGCCATCTGCAAGGCAAGGAGTGAGGCCTCGAAAGAAACCAAACCTGCCAACACCTTGCTCTTGGACTTCTAGCCTCCAGGACTATGAGAAAATTAATTTCTGTTCTTCAAACCACACAGGTTATAGCAGCCCTAGTAAACTAATACAGCATGCGATGAAAATTCAGATTCCCAAGCCCCACCATAAACATTCTGGATGAGAATCTCTAGGACTGGGCCCTGACGAATGAATTTTTAACAACCCTCTAAGAGATTCTGATGCAGACTGAAGGCAGGGATTCCTACTTTCTATACTAAAATAACATGATTGAGTAATTTCTACAGAAATGAATGCGGATGGGGAGGACTATCCTCATCAGTACAAGGAAATTGTTCTAATAATTGGGATGTCTTATTATTTTAGCCAAATTTCACCCATTTTTTTCTGTTAGTATCAAGGCAGCATTCCATAAAAGAAACAATAATGGTTGTCACATAGTTCCAGGGAATTGTGTGATACTGGTATGAGTTGTGTTAAATTATCACTGGAGGCCGGGTGCGGTGGCTCACGCCTGTAATCCCAACACTTTGGGAGGCTGAGGTGCGCGGATCACGAGGTCAGGAGATGGAGACCATCCTGGCTAACACAGTGAAACCCCATCTCTACTAAAAATACAAAACATTAGCCAGGCATGGTGGCGGGCGCCTGTAGTCTCAGCTACCCGGGAGGCTGAGGCAGGATAATCGCTTGAACCCAGGAGATGGAGGTTGCAGTGAGCCAAGATCGCGCCACTGCACTCCAGCCTGGCAACAGAGCGAGACTCCGTCTCAAAAAAAAAAAAAAATTAAATTAAAAAAATATATAGAGAGAGACAAGTACAGAATACTATAATACTGTAACTGTGGTATGTAAGTCACTTTTAATTTTGGTATAGAAATTAAAGACAAAGGTATAAAAACAACTATAAAAATTTGTTAATGGAGACAATATAAAAAGATGTAATTTGTGACATCCACAACATACAAGGGGGTCATAAAAGAGCAGAGTTTTTGTATGCAATGGAAATTAAGTTATCAAAACAGATTGTTATGTTTTATATAAGCCACATGGTAACCACAAAGAAATACCTGTGTAAGACACACAAGGAAATGAGAAATTCGTTTCTCAAAGTATGTCACTACAAAAAAAAAAAAGTCAACGAAATATAAAGGATGACAAGAGTGGAAAAGAGGAGCAAAAAGGTTGTAAGACAGAGAACAGTTTACAAAACGGCAACAGCAAGCACAGTTGGCCCTCCGTATCTGTGGGTTCCACACCTGTAAATTCAACCAACTGCACACTCAACCAACTGTGGATCAAAAATATTCAAAAGAAATAAATAATACAACAATTAAAAAACAACTAAGATATAGTATAACAAGCATATACATAGCCTTGACATTGTTTTCGGTATTATAAGTAATCTAGAAATAATTTAAAGGATATGGAAGTATGTGTGTAGATTATATGCAAATACTATGCCATTTTATATAAGAGACTGAGCTTCTGCAGAGTTTGATATCCACAGCGGATCCTACAACAGTCATCCCATGGATACAAAGGGATGATTGTACTTCCCTATTTTATTTATTTTTTGAGACAAGGTCTCACTTCCAATGCCCAGGCTGGAGTGCTGTTGCAAAATCAAGGCTCACCGCAGCCTTGACTTCTCAGACGCACTCCCGCCTCAGCCTCTCAAGTAGCTGGGACTACAGGTGTGTACTACCACACCTGACTAATTTTTTTTAGTAGAAAAGGGGTTTTGCCATGTTGCCCAGGCTGGTCTCGAACTCCAGGACTCACACGATCCACCCACCTCGGCCACTATTTACTTTAGGTATAAATGGATTAAACTCCAGGCCTGGCGCGGTGGCTCACGCCTGTAATCCCAGCACTTTGGGAGGCTGAGGCGGGCAGATCACGAGGTCAGGAGATCGAGACCATCCTGGCTAACACGGTGAAATCTCGTCTCTACTAAAAATACAAAAAATTAGCCAGGCGTGGTGGGGGGCGCCTGTAGTCCCAGCTACTCCTAAACCAGGAGATTGGCGTGAACCCAGGAGGTGGAGCTTGCAGTGAGTCGAGATCATGCCACTGCACTCCAACCTGGGCGACAGAGCGAGACTCTGTCTCAAGAAAATAACATAACATAACATAACCTCCCCAACCAAAAGACATGAAGTGGCTGAATATAATGAATTAAAAAAAAGATTCAACTATATGCCGCACAAGAGACATTTTATTAAAATCTGGAAATCAATGGCAAAAGAAAAGGTGGAAAATTCACAAATATGTGGAAATTAAACAACACACTCTTGAACAATCAATGAGTCAAAGAAGACATCAAAAGGAAAATTAGAAAATATCTTGAGACACGCCGGGAATGGTGGATCACACCAGTAATCCCAGCACTTTTTGGAAAGCTGAGGCAGGAGGATCACTTGAGGCCAGGAGTTTGAGACCAGCCTGGGCAACATAGTGAGAACCTGTCTCTACGAAAAAAAGAAAAAAGAAGGGAAACAACAGGCCGGGCGCGGTGGCTCACGCCTGTAATCTCAGCACTTTGGGAGGCCGAGAAGGACGGATCACCTTAAGTCTGGAGTTCGAGACCTGCCTGGCCAACAAGGTGAAACCCCATCTCTACAAAAATACAAAAATTAGCCAGGCATGATGGCGATGCCTGTAATCCCAGCTACCTGGGAGGCTGAGGCGGAAGAATCGCTTGAACCCGGTAGGTGGAGGTTGCAGTGAGCCAAGTTCGTGCCATTGCACTCCAGCCTGGGCGACAAGAGCAAAACTCCGTCTCAAAAAAAAAAAAGGAAAACAACAAAAAACAAACAAAAAGGAAATATCCTGAGACAAACTAAAACCCAACATATACAAAATTATGAGATGCGACAAAAGCTGTACTAAGAAGGAAGTTTATAGTGTAAACGCCTACATCAAAAAAGAATAAAGATCGAGTCCCTGGGTCTGCAGGAAAAAAAAAAAAGAATAAAGATAGGGATGGGGGTAGGAGGGGAAGATAGAGGCAAAGTTAGTTACTTTATAACAGCAGGCTAGGAAAAAAGAATAATAAGTTCCAGTGTTCTATTACATATTAGAGTGACTACAGCTAATAACACTGTACTGTATATGTCAAGATGCTAGAAAAAGATCTTGAAAAGTTATTACCGTAAATAAATGATAAAGATTTGAGGTGATGGACATGCTAACTACGCTGATTTGATTATTCGATGTACACATGTATTAAAACATTATACTGTACCCCCATAAACACGTACAATTATATGTCAATTATAAACAAACAAAAAGCTGAAGATACTATGTGAAACCACGAAAAGCATTAAAGACTAAAGAACGGGGAGAAGGGGAGCCCAGGGAAGTTGGGCTAATCCCGCCTGGGACGTAGGTGAGAGGCGAATTGGGTCTTGGACGATGACTGATCGTTTAAGCAGATATTTCCAGACCGGCACACAGTAGGCTCACCAAAGAATGGAAGCGACCTTTATTTCCTGAGTTGCAGGATCGGCCTCTCCCTGGGCCTGCCCTTGCCCTGCGCTATCGGGCAGACGAACTCTCCCCAAGATAGAGACCACAGAGGAAGACAAAGGGTAATCCCCGCTGCCGCCCGCCCCGGACGCTAGAACGTTCTCTCTCCTCACCAGCGACGAAGTCGAGAACACTGTAGACACCGCCATTTTCCCCACCTGCACCGGAAACCGGCTGCGCGGGCACTTCCGGGAACTCCTAGCCGCCCGGCCAGCCGACCACGGCAGCCACGGAGGAGCTGAGCCGGAAGGTGCGTCCCTGCGCATGCCGGAAGTGGCGGTGCGTGTGACGCCGGCGGCGGGGGGGGCGGGACCTGGGGCGGAGAGCGGTTCGCGCGCTTCGGGCCTAGTCCGGACTCGCCGCCGCCGCCGCCATATTCCCGGTAACGGGGGCGCGCGGTCGGGGGCAGGTTGGGCCGGAAGAGGGGTCCGGGCCGGCACTGAGGCGGGAAGGGGGTCGGTTGAGATGGGACGGCCGGAGTCTGCGGGCGGAGGGAGTCGCGGGCCTTTTGAGGGAGGAGGCAGAGCGCGCCGGGCCGGGTTTGTCGGGAGGGAGCGGGGCGGGCCTAGCTGGGGGCGAAGAGTAGGCCTGGGTTGGGGGCAGAGGCGGCTGGAGCTGCTTGACACCTGGGGGCTCTGGCCGGAGCCGCCTTGGGGGCTAGGCAGGTGCAGCGGATAGGGGCTGCGGGCTTCGCCGCGGTCATTCTTCGCAACGCCGTCCTAGGGCCACTAGGACCCGAGGGTGGGACTTTTCCGTCGCGCCATAGGCAGCTGCGGCGCAGACGCGGCGCTACCCGGGTCGGGCCCGAGGGTGATGGGCAGCGACCCCCGGCGGCCTGGGAGAGCGGTGGGCGGCGCGAGGCCGGGGGCGGGGCGGAGCGGGTGGGGCCGAGCTGGGGCCGCCAGGATGCTGCGTCTCTGGAGATGGGAGGTTAGCAATCATTACCCTCTTCCCAGCCCAGGACCCTCGTGCCTTCTAATTCTTGCATTTTTCCGAATCCCGCAGTGGCATCTTCCTTACTTTGTCCATCCTCCGGACTCGCGATCTTCCTTCCGGAGCCATGTCAGAAGGAGTGGACTTGATTGATATATATGCTGACGAGGAGTTCAACCAGGTGAGGTGTCATCAGGAGCTTTGGGATTTTCCTTGATCATCTGAGGAATCATTTTCAGCAAACTGGCAGTGGTTTCAAGCTGTACCAGTCCTAGGCTTGAACACGCGTCTATCCGGTCTAAAATTTTTCTCCTGCAGAAACTTTAAAGACTACACTCCATTCCTCTTTATGTTAATTTGAAGCTCCAGGCTTAATTTTAAAGGCTTTGATTTAAGAGCAAATAAAAAGCAGGTGTAATAGAATGGTGAATCAACCTGTGGAATTTACTCCCCAGGAAGCCAAAGGTGGGTGTCAGACTAACCACACTTAAAAATCAAAAGTACATTTGCTACGGTATTCATGAGGACAGTGTTGATACCGGTTCCTTTACATTCTCAACCTGCAGCTGGAGAAGTGTAGTCCCCTCCATCGTGACAGTGCAAAAGCAAAGTAGAAAAGATGACTTTAACATTTAGTTTCAACTCCATTCCAATTAAGTTTTACTTCCTTTTATAAGTAGGTTGACTCCAGTCATGAGAAGTCCACAGGCATTTTGGTATAATAAATTGTATTGGTTACCTTTAGTCTTTCTAGAGGGAATAAAAGAGTAAAGACGTTAGACAAACCAGTTAGAAAACTGATAATAGACCCATGCACATACCCTCAGTTGGATTTGTTTTTATTGTACCAGGGAACATTATACAGAAATTTATCTAGAGCTGGGCAAGGTGGCTCTTGACTGTAATCTCAGCTGCTCTGGAGCCTGAGATGGGAAGATTACTTAAGACCAGAAGTTCAATACCAGCCAGGGCAACATACCAAGACCCAGTCTACAAAAATGTAAAAAAAAACAACAACGAGATATGGTGGCTTGTGCCTGTAGTCCCATCTACTCTGGAGAGTGAGGCAAGAGGTACTCCCTGAGCCCAGGAATTCAAGGCTGCAGTGAGCCATGATTGGGCCGCTGCACTCTATCCTGGGCAACAGAACAAGACCCTGACTCTTAAAAACACAAGAAAAATTCTCTCAAAGAAATAATCTTCCATGCAGTTAAGTTTTTCAGTCTTGAGGTCAATTCTCAAGAATGTTCCAAAATTTCTATTGAAAACGTACTAATATCTTGCCTGGGTTATTTTCAGCACCATTCTATGTAAGTAAGCTGGCTCTTCCCATTTGCATCTTCCAGTGGGTACACATAAGGACCTGGTAAGAGCATGTATTGAATGGGTTAGAAAGGGAAAGTTCCCTGGTTTGACCCTGACTTTGATATGAGGCAACAGAAGAGGCGGATACATGCCATTTATTTTTCACTTGGCATAAGTTTACATGAAAATCTATTTTTTGATGTATTATGGTTTTATAACATGGAAATTATAAACCATACACAAAAGCAGAATAATGTAATGACCTTGTACCCATTATACAGCTTCACCAATTATACTTTTTAATGGCAGGTTTCTTGTCTCTGTTGTGGTTAACTGTGGTCCTTTAAATATAGCTGCTGATTATCTTAAATAGATGAATTTTCCTTTTTTTTTTTTTTTTTTCTTGAGACAGAGTCTCTCTCTGTCACCCAGGCTGGAGTGCAGTGGCGCGATCTCGGCTCACTGCAACCTCTGCCTCCCAGGTTAAAGTGATTCTCCTGCCTCAGCCTCCTGAGTAGCTGGGACTACAGGCGTGGGTCACCTCACCTGGCTAATTTTTGTAATTTTAGTAGAGACGGGGTTTCACCATGTTGGCCAGGTTGGTCTCGAATGCCTGACCTTGTGATCCGCCCGCCTTAGCCTCCCAAAGTTGGGATTACAGGCGTGAGCCACCGTGCATGGCGAAAAAATTTTTTAGTTTTAAATAAGTCCAATAATTATGGATAAAAGAGAAAAGTTCTAGATGTTAATTTAGTTACAAAATCATTGTTTTCCTGAGTTTTCCATATTCATTTGAATCAGACTTTTAATACCTTAAAAAAAAAAACACACAGTCTTGCTGTGTTGCCTAGGCTGGTCTCTCAACTCCTGAGCTCAAGCGATTCTCCCACTTCAGCCTCCCAAACTGTTGGGATTATAGGTGTGAGCCACTCTGCCCAGTTCAGACTTTTTGCAGATTATGTTTTTCCCCCACCAAGATAACAAGAGCGGTCCTTAGTTCTTCTCTTTTTTTTTTTTTTTTTTTTTTTTTTGAGACAGAGTCTCTCTTTGTCGCCAGGCTGGAGAGCAGTGGCACCATCTTGGCTCGCTGCAACCTCCTTTTCCCAGGTTCAAATGATTCTCCTGCCTCAGCCTCCTGAGTAGATGGGACTACAGGCGCGCGCACCGCCATGCCCAGCTAATTTTTGTATTTTTAGTAGAGACGGGGTTTCACCATGTTGGCCAGGATGGTCTCAATCTCTTGACCTTGTGATCTGCCCACCTCGGCCTCCCAAAGTGCTGGGATTACAGGCGTGAGCCGCCGTACCCAGCCACCTTTGTTATTAATGAAAAGCTTTTCCCCTTCTAATTTCTTATCTGTGGATTGATAATAGTGCCATTCATTTCACTTTGAGAAATACGCAGAACTCATTGTCCAGTGGTCACTGCTTTGTTAGAGTATAAGTTATTGGCCTCAATAGTTTGTTCTCTGGTCTCCTCAGTTAAAAAGGACTTTTTTATGGGTCTAAGACAGGCTAAAGGTAGTATGTGGACTTTAATAGATACATATATCCAACGGGCAATATTTGACACTAGGCAAGCTGAAGAAAGTGTGAATTTTGAATATCTTATGTTTTGTGGAAGGTGAGGGATGAGTGCTTCCCCCCCACACACATATCAATTAGTTATTTTTGACAAAGTTAGTGTTAGTGTCATCTGGAAGCTACAGAAATTATTTAAAAAACAAAAAAACAAAAAAACTTTGGCTAGAATTGTTAGAAGCTGGCTTAGTCTGAAGGCACCCAGTACAAATTGTGTTTTAGAATGTTTTAAGAATGTTACTGATTTCGCCCCAAGCTGGCCCATGCACAGGAAGCCCTTCATGTGCACTTTGCTCCTCAAGGAAAATTAATATTTTTCCTAGATGGAACCCTATGGTGCTTATTCCCTGATCTCTTAGAGCATTTGCTGCAAAAGCCTGTTTTTGCCAGAGCTACTTTATTCCTGTAACACAGGGAGTCCTGGGATTCACATTGGCTCTCTTGGGCCAGGGAGAACTCTGGAAAGGTGACTGAGATCAGTTGCTCTGCTGGGAGTTTTGGCTTTTCATACTGAGACAGGCTTTGCACAGTGTCCAGTTCTCTTCCTTATGTCCATCAATAAGTATTTATTTATTGAGCTACTTGTGTTTGCTAAGCACTGTGCCAGGACTAGTGAGGTAAAAGGAAAAAAAAGTGGGTCCCTGTACTCAAAACAGATTCCACTCCTGGTGGGTAGGGGTGGTGGACAACGACAATGTACAGTGAAGGACAAGGAGGGTGTGAAGTGGGAACTGTGGAAATGGTCATTATAAAGCCAAAATTTTTGATTAAGCCTTGGTTACAATTAAAAGAAACAATGGTATCAAGTTGGTTGCTCTGAGAAAAATAAATCCTAGGCTAGTTACTTCCCTCAGTGGGATATGAGGAAGAAGAGGGTGGAGGTTAGGAACACTGAGCAGACAAGTGGAGAAGATCTTATTTAAATTGAAAATCACACATGTTCTCTTTTGTTTACAGGGAAGCAGGAAGTTTCATGAGACAGTCACAGTTCTTTCTGTGCCATTAAACACAAAATTCTTTGAGATAGTTATTCAGTATTAAATATATGTTTCATGTTTAATCTCCCTGGAATGAAACTTTGAACATCAGTGCATGTAAAATGTACTTTTCACTTAATTTGTAGAATTTGATTTTACTTTAATCTATTACTGCATAAATCCGCTGAGAAAAATCTCCGGCCCTTAACTGTGTTTCTGTCTTACTAGCTGAACAAGTAAAATGAATTGTGATGCTGGGGGATTAAAATCCAAACAATTTGATACCTTGTTTCTTCAGTAGAACCCTCAACAGACCTGCCCTGTGCAGTTCCCACCAGCTTCTTTGAACTGAGGCTCTGTGGCCCAGAGAGACCATTTAAATCTTGTGATAATTTTGTATTCATTCAATCCTTTTGTTTCTAAAAGTGGTAGCCATACCAAGATTCTCCAGGATCTAGTCTATCCTATTCTTAAGGGATCTTAAAACAGTGGATTGGTTGCCTAAGCATATAGTACGAAGGGTTTCCTGGTGATGCATTTGGTCTCTGAGCTGTCCAAATCTGCATGTTAGTCCACTACTCAATTTTCAGTGATCATTTTTACATTACAAATTTTAGACACATATACCTGAATTACAGATACTGCATGGAAGGGAATCTCAGTTTGGTTCCATTCGATTATCCAAGATGATGTGTTTCCTTATTCTGTTTACGTGTCATTTGAAAATCCTTGATTTAAAAAAAAAGAAGGCTGGGTGCAGTGGCTTACGCCTGTAATCCCAGCACTTTGAGAGGCTGAGGTGGGAGGATCACCTGAGGTCCGGAGTTAGAGACCAGCCTGGCCAACATGGTGAAACCCCATCTCTACTAAAAATACAAAAATTAGCTGGGTGTGGTGGTGCACACCTGTAATTCCAGCTGCTCGGGAGGCTGAGGCAGGAGAATCACTTGAACCCAGGAGGCGGAGGTTGCAGTGAGCCAAGATTGCGCCACTGCACTTCAACCTGGGTGACAAAGTGAGACTCTATCTCAGAAAAAAAGAAGAATCTTGGTGTGAAGTAGTGCTTTCTAAGGATTTGAGCATTGGATGGGATCAAGTGATGTATATAAATCCTTTCTCTACCTTGAACCACAGGAGCAACTCACCATACCTGGTACATGAATAGAAGAGTGATTTGTCTATAGAGTTGGGATAGTTTGAGACGTAACAGCTATGAAATATTTTATAGTGATTACTTACACACAAAATGTTTTCCCACTCATTAGCCCTAGCTGACCTCACCTTACTTTATTATCCACCCTGTCCTCTCCAGTGTTAGCTTCTCTCCTCATTCTTTACATGCTGACCCTTTTTATGCACAATCCTTTTTGATGGATTTGACTACATGGAACAAGCTTCCTGTGCTTATTTGCCTCACTAATTTCTTGTTGTTAAGTTGCCCCCTAAAAGTTTACTGTCTCTTGATATTCTTTTTCTAACGTTTTTACAAGGGTTAAGCCCTCCTGGTGGGTTTCTTAGAGTGTTTTAATATTTGAAATTATTTATATGCTTTAGGAAGTAGAATCCTTCCCCCTTCTCTATCAGAACAACCCAAGATTATTCTCTTAGTGTGCATTTTCTTCCACTGTACTTCAGATAAACTGAAAAACTGAAAGATTGTTTCCAAAGGTTCTTATAATACAAGGACTGGTCTAAGAGTAAATTTTTTAGTGAGTCGTCTTCAGATCACTTCAGAATTAGCAGTTATTGCCGTGATATTGGAGGGAGAAAGTTAAGGGAGCCGCCTGTCTTTAGTTGCCTTGGAGAAACTGTTTCTTCAGGGTACTAGACAAGTTTCCCAACTTAGGTGCCTCCTTTATTCCCTTTTTAAAAGAATAGCAATATGAAACTGCCGTAGCATCCTTAAAACACTGAACTACTTGCTGTCTCTGTCATTTTGGCAGCATTATCTTTAGCATTGTTTGAATGTTTTGTCTAATTCTTGTAATAAAAATAAAATGCTTGTCTAATCCTTAAAAAGATTTCTCTGAGGCTAGGCACGGTGGCTCACGCCTGTAATCCTAGCACTTTGGGAGGCCGAGGTGGGCAGATCACGAGATGAAGGGTTTGAGACCAGCCTGACCAACATGGTGAAACCCCATCTCTACTAAAAATACAAAAATTAGCTGGGCATGGTGGTGTGTGCCTGTAATCCCAGCTACTCAGGAGGCTGAGGCAGGAGAATCACTTGAACCCAAGAGGCAGAGGTTGCAGTGAGCTGAGATGGCGCCACTGCACTCCAGCCTGGGCAATGGAGCAAGACTGTGTCTCAAAAAAAAAAAAAAAAAAAAAGATTTCTCTGAGGTAATTACATTGTAGAATCCTGAACCCTTTTTTTTTTTTTTTTTTTTTTTTTGATATGGGGTCTCACTCTGTTGCCCAGGCTGGCTCACTGCAACCTCAACCTCCCGGGCTCGAGTGATCCTTCTGCCTCTCGAGTAGCTGGGACTATAGATGTGTGCCACCATGCCCAACTAATTTTTGTATTTATTGTAGAGATAGGGTTTCACCATGTTGCCCAGGCTGGTCTGAAACTCTTGGGCTCAAGCAGTTTGCCTATCTCTGCGTCCTAAAGTGCTGGGATACAAGGCGTGAGCCACTGCACCCAGCCTGTAAAATCCTAAACATTAAGGTCCTGTATCGTAGTAGTAGTAGTTGTAGTTTTAGGGGTTTTGGTATATAGTAAGTAAGATATCACATAGGCAGAATATGTATTTTGCACATTTTCCATAATACATATTCATATTGTAAATGCTTACTGTGTGATACAGTTTATGTTCTTGTCCTGTTTTCTGGCCCTTATATTTTAGAGAACTTTAACTGTTTTTTGTATATCATTGAATATTGGCTGGGCATGGTAGTCACCCCTGTAATCCCGGCACTTTGGGAGGCCGAGGCCAGTGGATCACTTGAGTCCAGGAGTTCCAGACTAGCCTGGGCAACATGGTGAAACCCTGTCTCTACAAAAAAAATTTGAAAATTAGCTGGGCATGGTTGCGCATGTCTGTAGTCCCCAGTTACTTGGGAGACTGAAGTGGGAGGATCACATGAGCCCAGGAGGTTGAAGCTGCAGTGAGTTGTAATTGCACCACTGCCCTCCAGCCTGGGTGACAAAGTGAGACCCTGTCTCAAAAAAAAAAAAAAGTCTCCTAGATACATGTCATGGTAATGCATTGGGCCTGTATGTCATTTAAGAAATAGAACTTAGTAGGGGAAAACCCCTGTTGTTATTCCCTTCCCTTTTATTTATTTTTTATTTTCTCCGATGGAAAGATGGGATTGTGTACAATGAGTTTAGAGCTTTCCTAAATCATTTATACCAATCAAGGGATTTAAATCAGTAACTCCCAATCTTTTCTGCATTTTTGTACCCACTTTCATGCTTTTCCTCTGCATTCTGTTTCTAAATAAATTTATTATTAAATAGACAAGTGAATTTTATGTAACACTTGATTTTGGAAATAGCATAAGATACTGAAAATAAGTTTTCATTAGCTTATCTTAGATGTGGTCTTTAGAAGCTGACCTTATTGATAACAGCAGCCCATGCATCTCATTATGCATTCTTTCTTTGCTTGCTTAATCACCCAGTGCTTTTTGATTCTTGCCGTTGGCTAAAGCCAGAAACTTTACAGACTATTAACAGAATCTTGAGGGGAAAAAAATGTACATAAGCATAATTAAGTGATACAGTTTCAAAAGGAGGTTTTTCTTACTTTGTTTCCTGGGGTAGGACAAGGAAGTTTTGTACATGTTTTACCAAGTATTTAACTGGATTCTAATAAACTAGAGTGAAATAGAATGAACAAAATGAAGTTTGCAGACCTACCTTTGCCAACCCCTCATCTCTTAGGACCCAGAGTTCAACAATACAGATCAGATTGACCTGTATGATGATGTGCTGACAGCCACCTCACAGCCCTCAGATGACAGAAGCAGCAGCACTGAACCACCTCCTCCTGTTCGCCAGGAGCCATCTCCCAAGCCCAACAACAAGACCCCTGCAATTCTGTATACCTACAGTGGCCTGCGTAATAGACGAGCTGCCGTTTATGTGGGCAGCTTCTCCTGGGTGAGTGTGGGTAACCAAAAATGCTTAGGGGTGGGCTGGAGGGAGAGCACTGGGAGGTGATGGCATTTTCAGAAACTACTGTTGCACTGTTTTGTGCTCTGATGGGGTTGGATTTCTTTTTCCTGGGATCAGGTTGGATTGATCTCTGAAAGAGAACTATCCTGAGGACGTACTGGTGCCGAAGAAAGCAATGATTAAGTGGGTAGTTGCTTTTTCTGCCATCTTGTTACTGCCCCTGACCCTGGGGCTTTATGTCTAGCAGGGTCATCTGAGGGACGAGATTTCAGAGTGAACACCTTGAACTCTTGGTGGTCATTAGATGGTCCTGTGATAATGGTGGGTGATGGGGATTAAAGACCTTGATAACTCTAGTATACTTGGGGTAGGTGGTGACTGTTGTTCTGCAAGTTATTTTGTGATGTTTTGGGGCTGGTGGTGGGGGTGGTTTTTCCAAATTAGGAAGTATATTTACTGTGGGGGAAGTTCTGGCAATGGTCAACTCTAGCCTGACAGATCTATAATTAAAAAATTGCTAGCTGTCAATGTTTGAACTGATGACCAGCCAGCCCAAACGGCAGTCAAAGTTACAATAAGTTTTAATCTTCGTAATCTCTAAAGATGGAGATTGGGGGTGAGTGGGTTTGGAATTCTGTATGGGTGAGGACAATAAGAAAAGTCTGCACTAATTGAAATATTGCCAGGCTTTTGAGTTTCCTCTGGGGGGACTTAGTTGTGACTAGAATCCTGGGTTTGGGACATTGGCGGGCGGGGGTGTAGCTCTTGACATCTCTTCCTTTTCCATCTTGCCGGCCCCAGTGGACCACAGACCAGCAGCTGATCCAGGTTATTCGCTCTATAGGAGTCTATGATGTGGTGGAGTTGAAATTTGCAGAGAATCGAGCAAATGGCCAGTCCAAAGGGTGAGGTCTGGATTTGAGAAGCCCCTTTTAATTTGTAACCATTGGGATAAAAGATCTGTACTATATTTTGGCCCTGGATTTTAATCACTCCCACCCCTGGCCCAGCTTACTGCCTTGGTTTTGGCAAACTGCCTTAGAAAGGGACCTAGCTGCAGTGTAGTAGAATATCCATCTGTTAAGGGGCGAAGAATACTGATTTTTAATTCCAAAAAAATAAAGATTTAGGCTGTCTCTTTGTTGTTAGTGCTGTATGTGTGTTTAGTTTAGCAAGATGTCCTTTGCTTTATCAATTTTTACTAAAAGTGGAAGAGAATTTCTTTTTTCTTCTCTTGGCTGTCTACAGATTTCATTCATTTTTAATTTTTCTTTCCTAAGGTATGCTGAGGTGGTGGTAGCCTCTGAAAACTCTGTCCACAAATTGTTGGAACTCCTACCAGGGAAAGTTCTTAATGGAGAAAAAGTGGACGTGAGGCCGGCCACCCGGCAGAACCTGTCACAGTTTGAGGCACAGGCTCGGAAACGTGAGTGTGTCCGAGTCCCAAGAGGGGGTACGTGGAGACCATCTGTATGAGGGGGGGGTGTTTGTGGGTTTGTTTTCTATGGTGTAGGCTTAGCCTACAGTGTGGGTGAGTTTGGGGGAGGGTGATGGTGGTTGTGAGTGGTGTCATGGTCGACAAGTAGTCCTCAGAATAGGTCTATATAGAAGAAAGAGCATTGTGCTGGGAGTCAAGTAGGTTCAGGTTGTAGTTTGGTTCTGCCACTGACTCGTGTGACCTTGGCCAAGTCACTTTACTACTTAGGGCCTGTTTCCCCATCTGGACTAGTGACATGATGTTTAAAGTTCCATCACCTCTAAATTCTGTGTTTCTGTCTAAAACTTGGCATTAGGTGAATGGGCTTAATTTTTAAGACATGCCTCTCTATAAATTATCAAGAAGCAGCCACCCTAAAATGTAACTAAAAGGTGCCTATAATCTTTTCATAAACGTTGATTGGAAGGATACTGTAAGGAATCAACCAAGAGGAGTGTTGGAGAATAAGACTTGAACAATATTTCTCCAGCATTGTCCAGGGGAGAGGGTGCTCTTTTGATTACCAAATGTTTTAGTCTGCTTGGCAGTTATATCCCATTAGTAAAGAAAGTTACAGGCCGGGCGCGGTGGCTCACGCCTATAATCCCAGCACTTTGAGAGGCCGAGGTGGGTGGATCACGAGGTCAAGAGTTTGAGACCAGCCTGGCCAACATGGTGAAACCCCATCTCTACTAAGAATACAAAAATTAGCCGGGTGTGGGTGACACATGCCTGTAATCCCAGCTACACGGGAGACTGAGGCAGGAGAATTGCTTGACCCCGGGAGACGGAGGTTGCTGTGAGCTGAGATCAGACCACTGCACTCCAGCCTGGGCAACAGAGCAAGACTCCATCTTGGAGGGAAAATAAAAAAGTTAGGGGCTGGGCATGGTGGCTCACACCTGTAATCCCAGTGCTTTGGAAGGCTGAGGCGGGCAGATACCTGAGGTCAGGAGTTCGAGACCAGCCTGGGCAACATGGCAAAACCCTGTCTTTACTAAAAATACAAAACTTAACCAGTTATGGTGGCACATGCTTATAATCTCAGCTACTCGGGAGTCTGAGGCAGGTGAATCTCTTGAATCCAGGAGGTGGAGGTTGCAGTGACCTGAGATTGCACCACTGCCTTCCAGCCTGGGTGACAGAGTGAGACTCTGTCTCAAAAAAAAAAAAGAAAAAAGAAAGTTACCTCAGAACTACCTTAGTTTGAGGACAGTTTCCCCAATGTCCATCTTACTCTCTTTATTCTGACTGTACTCACTAAGCCACTTTCTGATGCTAATTTGGTTTCCCAATTAGGGTCTCCTACTAGGAAGAGAATTCGCTGACCAGCCGACACAAGTATTCTGGTCTGCTTGGCAATTACATTTCTCATTGTAAATTAATAAATTGGTGTTATGGTTTATGAATCAGTCTCTTGTGAGTTTGGTTAGCATGAATCAGTCTCCTAGGGCCTAGTCACCCCAGTTGAAGCAAGTTTCTGAACCTGAGAAACCTGAGGACTAGACCTTGGATTTTCCTGACCTCATAAAGTGCAGCCACCCTGCAAGACCTTCCCTGAGACAGCCAACCACCCTTATTTTCTTTTGCTACAGTGGGAGGAACAGCAAAGTTTCATCACTGATGTTCTGTCACTGCTTAGGTCCAGCTCTCAAAATAGTGCCTTGTATTGATTGGGTGTATCCTCCAGGTAGAAATAGGACCACTTTGCTCTTGCATAGGAACAGCTGTTCTTTTAACTAGATTGACAGCCTAGATAGATTTGGTGTGAACTCTTGTTGTTCCATGTTAGAAAGGACACACTCTTCTTCCTTGACAAGTTGTATTTTCAAGTCCCCTCTGTTTTGGAGTCTTTCTGTAATTCACCCCTGACTTTCCTTAGGTATGTAATTTTACAACTGTATTGGGGGTAACGTTCTACTTCTACTCAGCTACTTTTCATGTTACTTTTTTTTGCTGAAAAGATTGTGTAACTGAGTGCTGTTTTTCTGCTCTGTCATGCTGATGGACCTGGGCTCTGTTAATTCACTAAGTAAAGCTGGTGGACTTCCTCTGCATAGAAATGTTGCGTCTTTTGGGACTTGTAGCCATAGATACAAAACAACCTTTGCAGATGTGACAACAGTAGTAGCTGGGAAAGTGGTTAACTGTCAGATGACACTTGCCTTATACCTTTTTGTTCTTCAGTTTGAGAGAACTCTAGGAAAGAGCCAGTTGCCATGTGTTTGAGACCTGAAGAACAAGACAGCACTGGCACTGTTCTGTAAGAGAAATCTAGGTGGTTGTCAACATAATTGATTCCACCTTAGGCTTTACTCAGGAGCTGGGATTAACTATCATATTCTAGTTTAAGGAGCACTCTTTCCTCCACACTTGCTGCCAGTGGCATCTTTCTATCTCCAAGACCCCCCCAAAGCCATGTGATCTTGTTCTTCTATTGGATTCCACAATAAACAGGCTTAGACTGTTAAACTGGAGAGAAGGAACAAGTTTAACCAAGTGACTTGACAATGTCAGAATCCATGCTTCCAGCTGTTTAAAACATGTTCTGAGCTCCTGTTGTGCACAGCACCATACTAGCATGTGGTGATGGTGTTCCTGTTAGGCTGCCCTGAAGGGTAGAGGATTTTGGCCATTGAAATGTAGCGGGAGTTCCCCAGATTGGAGACATGTTTTGTAGCAAGCTTTTGCTAAGCATCCTTACTGTCAGCTGTGTGCTATCTGCTTGTGCTGTGGGCGGATCTTTTATTGGCGTATCTCCCAATTTTTCTTATCTTTCACTTAACCTCCAGTTGTCTAGTCTTCATGTGTGTCTCTTTCTCACCCTGATTACTAGTTTTAGTATGTAAATAGAAGTGCCATCCAGTTCCTGCCACTCCCTCTCTTCCCTTAAATTCCCTAGCCAACACCCTGTGGCAAAGAGAACATTTTAAGTGTGCAACAGGAAGAGGTTAACTAGTATTAGTTTAAGGAGAGAGGTCCTGAACTCTTCAGGAGATGTGGGGTTTCAAGTCAACTGCAATTCACCTGAACATCAGTGAACACTGTCATTTTCTCGTGGGCTATCAGGATCCTTCTACATTTAAAAATAGAAGATACATATAAGGATAAATTAAATCTGTTCTGAAGCACTTCTGGAGTTATGGATGGAAAACATTCTTTGACAGGATTTAGGACGATATTGTTTTTTGGATTTAATGTCTTCACTGAGTTGCTTCTGACCTCTGAAGCCAAAAAAAAGGCAGTAGATGATTTTACCTTCTCAGCCTCTTTAGTCACCTTCCTTTGTAGGGTGTCTGATAACTTCTGAAGGATGAACTGGTCCTGTGGGTTTGTGTAAAGCCTGGGCAGTAACATCAGTTCTGTTTTGCTTCATAGGAATACCTCCACGGGCCCATTCCCGAGATTCTAGTGATTCTGCTGATGGACGGGCCACACCCTCTGAGAACCTTGTACCCTCATCTGCTCGTGTGGATAAGCCCCCCAGTGTGCTGCCCTACTTCAATCGTCCTCCTTCGGCCCTTCCCCTGATGGGTCTGCCCCCACCACCAATTCCACCCCCACCACCTCTCTCCTCAAGCTTTGGGGTCCCTCCTCCTCCTCCTGGTATCCACTACCAGCATCTCATGCCCCCACCTCCTCGATTACCTCCTCATCTTGCTGTACCTCCCCCTGGGGCCATCCCACCTGCCCTTCACCTCAATCCAGCCTTCTTCCCCCCACCAAACGCTACAGTGGGGCCTCCACCAGATACTTACATGAAGGCCTCTGCCCCCTATAACCACCATGGCAGGTAAGGACTATTGTTCCTTTCAGATTTGAGCCAGGGTAAATAAGTGTATTAAGCATTTTATTCTCCCTGAGAAAGTGAGCACTGAATCCTTGTTCTTTCCCTTATAGACATTCTGTTATCATAGCATTGACTCCTGGGAAGTAGTACCATGTCCTTTATACCCCTTTTTAAGGTGCTTAATTAAATGCGGGAGCAGGTGTTATGAATGCTACAGATGTCTAGCATTGTTCTGTGTTATGCCAAAATTACCAAAGTGTTGTAGAGTACAGTAAAAATAATAAGGGATGTGAGCAATCAAGGATGGTATTTTCTCTGTACAGCCGAGATTCGGGCCCTCCACCCTCTACAGTGAGTGAAGCCGAATTTGAAGATATCATGAAGCGAAACAGAGCAATTTCCAGCAGTGCCATTTCCAAAGCAGTATCTGGAGCCAGTGCAGGTAACTCAGTGCTTACCTTTGCTGCCTTCTCCTTAACCTTTACTTTTTTTTCCTGATTTTGTCATTTCTACTGGCAAAAGTTCAACAAGATAAAGTTGGAGTACTGTAGATATCAAGAGCGGCATACTTTGAAGAGCAATATGTAACCTGATTTCTTGGCCTTGGGGAAGCTCCGGCAGTATTACTTAGTCTGTATCTAGGCCTGCCCTCATGAAAACCAACTTAATGCCTAGAATATAAATAATTAATACCATCTCGATGTGGTGTTTGCTGTAGAGTGAAATTCCTGCCTTGTGGAAATCTCCATCTCAGTGGTTGATCTTTAGATCTAGTGTCTGTGTAGTAGACCCAATACCAGATATAGACCCTGGGTCTTCTTTAGGAATGATGTTTTGACTGGATAATGTGTTTTTTTGTTTGTTTGTTTTGAGAGGGAGTCTTGCCCTGTCGCCCAGGCTGGAGTGCAGTGGTGCAATCTTGGCTCACTACAGCCTCCACCTCCTGGTTTCAAGCGATTCTCCTGCCTCAGCCTCCCAAGTAGCTGGGATTACAGGCACTTGCCACCACGCCCGGCTAATTTTTGTATTTTTTTGTAGAGACAGGGTTTCATCATATTGGCCAGGATGGTCTTGAACTCCTGACCACAAGTGATCCGCCTGTCTCGGCCTCCCAAAGTGCTAGGATTACAGGTGTGAGCCACCACGTCCAGCCTAGATAATGGTTTGCTATGAAATCTGATTACATTTAGGAGTCTAAGCAGAGCTGGTAGGTAGCCTATCCTAAAAAGAGGCAAGTCTGTAGATGTCATCTTAAGGCATGTTATGCCCTTACAGCTAACTTTTGCCCTGCTCTCATTATTAAGTGGGTAGAACCAGCAGCCATGATTCTGAAAGCCCTGAGCATAAGATCTTTAGTTTCTAAAAGAAGAGGCTACAGGAAGTTTCAGAGTTCTGGTCCGGTTTTCACATCGTGACATTAGCCATATTCACTTCCTTCCTGTGAGTTTCCTACATGAATGTAAATGTCTGTAGATTATCAGATCTCCTAAGAAATAAGTTAGCCCTAAATATTATCATCTGCTTTCCATCAGTTTTCATCTTTGCATCATCTTGCCAAACTTGAATCCACAGAGAAGGTTAAAGACAGAAAGTACATATGTTCCCTTCATTTTTTTCCCACCAGAAAAATCTACATTGACATCTAAATTAGTCTTTTTTAGGCCAGGTGCAGTGGCTCATGCCTGTAGTCCCAGCACTTTGGGAGGCCAAGGCCGGTAAATCACTTGAGGTCAGGAGTTTGAGACCAGCATGGCAAAACCCCATCTCTACTAATAATACAAAAATAAGCCAGGCATGGTGGCACATGCCTATAGACCCAGCTACTTGGGAGGCTGAGGCACGAGAATTGAGAATTGCTTGAACCCAGGGCGTGGAGGTTGTGGTGAGCCGAGATTGTGCCACTGCACTCCAGCCTGGGTAACAGAGTGAAACTGTGTCTCAAAAAAAAAAAAAAAAAAATTAGTCTTTTTAAATTAAAAAGTAATATATACCCATGGGTTATATGGGTTAAATACACAGAACAGTATAAAGAAAGTACTCATTGTTCCTTCTTCCTCATCAACCCTTTCACACTAAGATGATCAATAACTGAATCTTGATCTCCTGTTGTTCTCATTCCAGTCATTCAAACCACAAATACTTATTGAAGATACTACAAAAACAGGCAAAAATTCCCTGCCAGGATGGAGCTGATGTCTTCATATTCTTGTGCCTCCACTGGACAGTTTCTCCATAGTTTCTGTTCTTGTTGCCTTGCACAGAGGAAGCTGCCAGGCTTCATTTTCACTGGACCCCTGCCTGAATTCATATTTTCTTTGTATTAACTTTTGTCCTTAATGCTCTTGACTTAGCTTGGAAAAGCAAAGTGTAGGTACCCGCCCCATGACCACTATCCCTGAGCCAGGCATTACTCAGAGTTGGGAAATGAAAGGCCTAGTTTTTTATGACAGCATAAATTTTTTTTTTTTTTTTTTGAGACGAAGTCTGGCTCTATTGCCCAAGCTGGAGTAGTGCAGTGGTCTGATCCCGACTCACTGCAACCTCTCCCTCCCAGATTTAAGCAATTCTCCTGCCTCAGCCCCCCAAATAACTGGCATTACAGGTGCATGCCACACTGCCTAGCTAGTTTTTGTATTTTTAGTAGAGACCGGGTTTCACCATTTTGGCCAGGCTGGTCTCGAACTCTGGCTTCAAGTGATCCGCCCACCTCGGCCTCCCAAAGTGCTGGGATTACAAGTGTGAGCCACTGCATCCAGCCATAATTTTTTTAATGTATACATATACTACGCATACATGTTTTATGTAAATATCATATATATACACACATACATCTGATGGTAGGTTAAAAATAACTTGTAGAAATACACATTATTTAGAAAGTCTCATGAGGTACAGTGGCTCATACCTATAATCCCAGCACTTTAGGAGGCCCAGGCAGGAGGATCACTTGAGGCCAGGAATTCAAGACCAGCCTGGTCAACATAGTGAGACCCCATCTCTACAAAAAATTTTTGAAAAATAAGCCAGGTGAAGTGGCATGCAGGAGGATGGCTTGAGCCCAGGAGTTCAAGGATGCAGTGAGCTATGATCATACCACTGCTCTTCAGCCTGGATGATAAAACAAGACCCATCTCAAAAACAAAATAGTCCTCTATACAAGGACCATCAACCAATAAGACCACCTTTTATAGTTTATATTCCTCCAGAATTTTTTCTATGCATATGACAATTTATATAATTTTTATTGTTTTTACAAAAACAGGATATGGTTTTGAAACTTGCTTGTTTCAATTAGTATATTCTGGACACCTATTATATCAACATATAACATAACATTTATTGATCCTTACTGTGTGCCTGGCACTGTGCTAAGGGCTTTACATGGATTACTTTGTTTACATACAGGTTTACCTCCTGCTTTTTTAATTGTTAATAGTACATTAATAATGTAATATTCTGTAGAACCAATGTTCCTTTATATAGCCAGACCCTATTGAAGATAATATAACAAACAACACTGGCCGGGCGCAGTGGCTCATGCCTGTAATCCCAGCACTTTGGGAGGCCAAGGCGGGCGGATCACAGGGTCAGGAGATCAAGACCATCCTGGCTAACACGGTGAAACTCCGTCTCTATTAATAATACAAAACATTAGCTGGGTGTGGTGGCAGGCGCCTGTAGTCCCAGCTACTCAGGAGGCTGAGGCAGGAGGATGGCGTGAACCTGGGAGGCGGAGCTTGCAGTGAGCCGAGATCACGGCCACTGCACTCCAGCCTGGGCAACAGAGTGAGACTGTCTCAAAAAAAAAAAAAATGAAAAAAAATAAACACTAAAACACTGTTAAACATACACACTTGTGAACAGAAGTAGAAAATTTTTAATAGAATTGCTGGCTCAAAAAATATGCACATTGTTTATTTTAATAGATGTCAAATAGCCCCTGGACAACAGTGTGTCAGTTTGTTCATCTGACAACATCTGTTAAATTCCGAACTGCTGGAATATAGGTGTCATCCAGTTTTACACTTGCAACATCTGCCTTGTCTCTTTTACCGCGGTTGTTTGGGACGGCTAGCTACTCTTGGTTTGTGTCTGCCTGAGTTCTCCTTTTGGTCCAGTTAGTTTACCATCTCTCCTCACCCTTGGCCTTTCTCCTTCATCCTTTATCAGGGGATTACAGTGACGCAATTGAGACGCTGCTCACAGCCATTGCGGTTATCAAACAGTCCCGGGTTGCCAATGATGAGCGTTGCCGTGTCCTCATCTCCTCTCTTAAGGACTGTCTTCATGGCATCGAAGCCAAGTCCTACAGTGTGGGTGCCAGTGGGAGCTCTTCCAGGTGAGTTGGTGATTGTGTCCTCACCTACCAGCCCCAAGCAGCACTCTTCCAGGGATAGGGAGTGGGGACAAATGGAGCCCAGGGAATCTGGGAAAGACCTGGCCGAAAGTCTGGACGTTAGCCTTCATGTCTTTTTGGGGAAGAAACTAATCAGATGCTTTCATTAATAAGTGTTGTAACATCTGGAATCTGGTGGGTGAGGCAGTGGGCTCATGTAGGAAAAAATACAGACAGATATTTTTAAGAACATGGGTTTTGGAGCCCTACAAGCTTGGATTGGAATCCCAGTTCTGCTGCTAACTATCTGTATGACCTTCTTGTGTATGGAAGTTAGTCAACTTTCCAAGCCTTATTTTTCTCATTTTCTAAAAAAGGGACACTGATAGTATTTATCTTACAGACCTGTTGTAAAGATTAGGTCAGATAATCCATACAAAATTATTAGCACTACACCTGATAAATTAGTTCTCAACAGATAAATTTACCTGTTAATCATCTTCCCAAAAAAGAGTAGTCCTCAAAGAGCTAAAATCCTCAGACAGCAGGCCCATGATAGAGTAATAGAGGAATAGTTTAGGCAAATATCAGAAGACACCAAAACACCACATTCTTGGAAAGAAAGTGGTAGGCCTTCTGAGTGAGGCTGAAGGATCTTTCTAATAGGAAAAGACATCGCTCCCGGGAAAGGTCACCTAGCCGGTCCCGGGAGAGCAGCAGGAGGCACCGGGATCTGCTTCATAATGAAGATCGGCATGATGATTATTTCCAAGAAAGGAACCGGGAGCATGAGAGACACCGGGATAGAGAACGGGACCGGCACCACTGAGAAAGGTGGGGAGAAGCCCCGTTCCTGGCTGCTGGGGGATTTTTTATTAAAAAAAGATTTATAGTGAAGAATTCTCTCTCTTTAAAGCAAAAGTAAATGCAGCAAGGGTAGGGGGAACTTCTGATTTACATAACTGGAATTTCAGGGCAGATTTTCTGCACATTTATGGGGAGTCTTACCCTGAGATTCAGCTGTTTCTGCTTGTTTCTTGACTGCCTTAACCTGGTATCTGAGTGAGAGTATGGTGTCTGCATTCAGGTACCAATTTGAATCCCAGTTTCTCCACTAATAATTGGCCATATTACTTTCTGTTCCACAGTTTCATTTGTAAATGAAGATAATAAAAGCAACTGTCCCAGTGACTTGCTAAGTTTTAGTGAGAGAGTCCATGTAGACCATTTAGCACTCATGGTACCTGTCACATAGTAAGTTCTCAATAATTAATAGCCATTGTTATTATCATTATGAACTTTCAATTTAAATTAGGAAAATTGACTAAGAATAGTAAAGCCATTGCCACTTAGTTTTCAAGCTGCAACATTAATGATTTTAAGAATTAGGCTTGGCATGATGGCTCACACCTATGATCCCAGCACTTTGGGAGGCCAAGATGGGAGGATTGTTTGAGCCAGGAGTTCGAGACCAGCCTGGGCAACATAGGGAGACCCTGTCTCTACAAAAAATACAAAAATTAGCCAAGTGTGGTGGTCCCAGCTACTTAGGAGGTGGAGGTGGGAGGGTTGCTTGAGCCTAGGAGGTCGAGGCTGCAGTGATCTGTGATTGCACCACTGCACTCTGGCCTGAGCGACAGTGAGACCTTGTCTGAAAAAAGGTAGGGAGGAGGGGCGGGTGGGTGCCTCATGCCTGTAATCCCATCACTTCAGTAATTTGGGAGGCAGAGGCTAGAGGATCACTTAAGCAGGAGTTTGAGACCAGCCTGAGCAACATAGTGAAACCCTATCTTTTTTTTTTTGAGACAGAGCCTCACTTTGCCGCCCACGCTGGAGTATAGTGGCATGATCTCAGCTCACTGCAACCCCCACTTCCCGGGTTCAAGCTATTCTGCCTCAGCCTCCCCAGCAGCTGGGGCTACAGGCGCGCGTCACCACGCCCGCTAATTTTTCTGTTTTTAGTAGAGGCGGGGCTTTACCATACTGGCCAGGTTGGCCTTGAACTCCTGACTTCGTGATCAGCCCACCTTGGCCTCCCAAAGTGCTAGGATTACAGGCGTGAGCCACCATGCCTGGCCGAGACCCCATCTCTTTAAAAAAAAAAAAACGGTTTATTTAAAAGATTTTGAAAATTAATATGCTTTAGTCAGAGAGGAGAAAGCTGATCTGAAAAATTATCTTTAACAGGTTTAGAGGCTTTGTGGTGGATAATTAACTTCAACGGAAGGGTTTTTTGCTTTTGGAAAAGACTTAGTGACAAGGTTGTTTATTTTGTTGTTGTGTTTTTTGTTTTGTTTTGTTTTGAGACAGAGTCTCACTCTTGCCCAGGCTGGAGTGCAGTGGCGCAATCTCGGCTCACTGCAAACTCCACCTCCCGGGTTCAAGCAATTCTCTGCCTCAGCCTCCCGAGTAGCTGGGATTACAAGCGCCCACCACCACGCCCGGCTAATTTTTGTATTTTCAGTAGAGACGGGGTTTCATCATCTCGGCCAGGCTGGTCTTGAACTCCTGACCTCGTGATCCACCTGACTCGGCCTCCCAAAGTGCTGGGATTACAGGCGTGAGCCACCGCACCCGGCTGTTTTTTTGTTTTGTTTTGTTTTGTTTTTGTTTTTGTTTTTTTAATAGACACATTGTCTCACTCTGTCACCCAGGCTGGAGTGCACTGTCATGAGGCACCATCATGGCTCTGTAACATCAACCTCCTGGGCTCAGGTGATCCTCCTGCCTCAGCCTCCTGAGGGCTAATTTTTAAATTTTTTGTAGAGTCTTGCTTTGTTGCCCAGGCTGGTCTTGAACTCCTGGCCTCAAGTGATCCCCCTGCCTCAGCCTCCCAATGTGCTGTGGGATTATGGGCATGAAGCCACTGCGACTGGCTGTAATTTTCTTTTGAAGCAAAATGAAAGCAGGAAGGTTGGGATAAAAACTCTTAAGTAATGGAGAAGTTCAGTTAAGATTGGTTGGATCCAGGGGCTCTGGCTGTGTCATCCAGACTTTATCTGCATCTCTCAGCTCTGCTTTTCTCTGTTGCTTTCATTCTTAGACAGGCTCCATATTGGTAGGGAGTCAGAGGGGGTGCTGTGTCTTTAGGTTGCATCCTACCAGCTTAGCAATCCCAACTGAAGGAAAACTTCTGGAAAGATTGTTTCTATTATATAAGCATATAGGAGCAGGTGTTGTCTCTGCTTCTATGGAAATCTTTAAAATAGGCCAGAGTGGCTAGGGGTCTGTCTGTAGTTCTTGGAGGCTACTGCGTGACCCAGGTAACTTCAGGGTCCTTTCTTAATTTTGTGGTTGCAGATTTATAAGTCTCTAGGACTTCCCATTTCTCTGTCTCACATCAAGTACATTAGGAAGATGTCCTTGGCCGAGCACGGTGGCTCACACCTGAAATCCCAGCACTTTGGGAGGCCAAGGTGGGTGGATCACGAGGTCAGGAGATTGAGACCGTCCTGGCTAACATGGTGAAACCCCGTCTCTATCCCGACCGAGACCATCCTGGCTAACACGGTGAAACCCCATCTCTACTAAAAATACACACAAAAAAATTAGCCGGGCATGGTGGCAGGTGCCTGTAGTCCCAGCTACTCAGGAGGCTGAGGCAGGAGAATGGCATGAACCCGGGAGGCAGAGCTTGCAGTGAGCCGAGATCGCGCCACTGTACTCCAGCCTGGGCGACAGAGTGAGACTCTGTCTCAAAAAAAAAAAAAAAAAGATGTCCTTGATTATTTGCCTGCTTGATCTAAAGTAATGGTAATTGAAAAGGAAGGTGAGGGGAAAGAATAGTAGTTCTTTTTGGTGTCTTTGGGATGGCGATATCTGGATGAAGAAGGACAAAGAAACTCACCACCTGTGAGCCCCTATAGTTCATGAGCAGTAGCTGGAATGTAAATAGTTGGAAAATTAGCAGTATTTTGCCCAGTGACAACCTACTAAAAACCAAAATACTCCTTTTAGGTTTGGCTACTGCCCTCTGTCTTGTTCTTTGGCCATTAGCTTAAATAGATTTATAGCCAGGAATTGTTTTTATCTTCTCCCAAACAAGTAAGTGGAAAGATGAAAAATTACTAATATTTTTTGTCTCTGTTCTCTGTTGTTAGCCACTCATTTATTCCACAAAATCCTAGAGTGCTTAACATCATTGAAATCTAGGTTAACTCATGTAGAATCAACAGTTAGGCTGTGGGCTCCAGGTACTTCTTTCTAGATTTTGCAACAGGTTGAGTTTGGGGAGATGCCCATGTATCCTCTGGAAAAGCAGACGCTATTGTAGATGGAGACCACAAACAACTTTGGCCTAATTCAGTCTCAGGTGGGCATGAGGGCAGGCATTAGAGTTGGTCTTGGTCCAGTCCTAACTCCCTTTTCTTGTTTGAGTCTGCACAGTTGCTAGTGTTACTTGTGGGTTGAAAAGCACATGTAGGCTACAGTGTATGTCTTTTGGAGCTGACTGGGATAAGAGTGAACAGGAAGGTGATGATTGACCTGTGCAGAGCATGCACTGTCGTCTTTGGGGCTGCATTCAGTTTAGTAGTTAGAACATAAATGCATGTCACCATTCCTGATGGCTTTGCTCCTGACAGCCTTATGACAGGGAAATTACCAGCGAGATCCACTGATCCAGCAGTAGTTTGAGAATTAAACATCTCAACCTGAGTCTTTAGCTGTCACTTTGCATTATTTCTTCCACTTATAAAATGGGGCCAGGCACAGTGGCTCATGCCTGTAACTTCAACACTTTGGGAGGCCGAGAGGGGCAGATCGCTTGAGCTCAGGGACCAGCCTGAGGAACATGGCAAAACACTCGTCTCTACCAGAGATACAAAACTAGCTGGGCATGGTGATGTGCTCCTGTAGTCCCAGCTACTTGGGGGTGCTGAGGCAGGAGGAGTCCCAGCTACTTGGGGGCACTTAGGTGGGAGGATCACTTGAGCCCGGGAGATAGAGGCTGCAGTGAGCCATGTTTGTGCCACTGCACTCCAGCCTGGGCAATAGAGCAAGACCCTGTCTCAAAAAAAATAGTAATAAAAATAAAATAAGATGAGACTATTTCTCCCATTATGAGGATAACTCTCTTTTGGTAACTTTGAAAATGCTGTAACAATATTGCCTAGAAAACAGTCATTTGACTTGTGTAGGCCCATGACAAGATGGGAAAAATTAACTCTGAGGCAGGTTTTCTACTTCCTCACTTTTCCTGGTCACCCGTTTGATATAGTGGTTATTGCATCTGAATAATAGTCTGAAAGAACTGAATCAGGCACCCCAAGAATGTCAATTTCTTACATTCTCACCCTAAGGACTCTTAATTCCATCTGTAGTGACCAAGTTATGGCTTAGGAAGTTTCATGTTGGGAAGATGGTACATGGTCCTCATTTATAGCAACCTTTTAGTTAGAAATGAATCATATTTATATTCTATGATGACAGCTGTTCCCTGAGAGTGAAAGGTACATTTTGTCCAGAGGCAGCAATAGAACAGTAGCCTTCTTTGTCCATCTTTTCTCGGCGTAAGACCCAGTTCTGGGGCCTGAAGGCTAATTGGCCCACTTGAAGGAATCTCTGATTTCTGCCTGCATTCCAACATTGGCACCAAAATGTAGCCATGGAGATTTAAGAATTCAGTGCTATGGCTTGCTTCTCTTGGTGTACAAGTTATCCTCTGCAACCTGTGTCTTCAACTTTTTGTAGTTCTCAACTATGTCAGTTATCTCATTATTTTAGGACATTATCCTACTTGAAATATAGTCATTCTCACGTCATTCCTGTCCTCGTTATCCATTGAAAACTGAGCTTTCTCTTCAATTTGGATCGAATTCAAAGATTCAGAAGCCCTAATGGTATGTAATTGAGTGCACTGAGGGCTTCAGTTTTCCCTTAGAGAAAATGGGACAAATACCAGCCTGCGTAGGTGTTTAGACAGGCCAGGAAGGCTTAGGCCATATAGATTCTGAGGACCCAAGCTGAAAATAGTGTCATTTCGGTGTGTACAAGGATCAGGGAGGACGTAGATGTCTCCTCTAGGTTTTATAAGGCCACTTTACAGAAGTAGTTATATAAAAGGTAAACATTTGTGCGTAGGCTGTGTTGCCAGTTTGGGCATTAGGAGAAATTCTAATTCCTCATTTTCCCTTTGGCTATTAATTCTGTTTAATATGCTCAGACTGACCATACCACCACCCGCAGATGGGTATTGCAGCATTGGAACAGGTGCTGAGTATAGTAGGAACTTTGTTTGGTGGCCATGTGACAGGTGGCTTAATAGACCCTTTTGGGTAAAACTTCTTAACTGCATTTAGGTTTCTTCCATGCTCTGCTTTCTGTTCTGGCCTGGCCACGTGACTCCTGCTTAGTGTTAGTATGTTTCCTGGTTCCTCACCTATGGCTGTCATGCGAGGAAAGACTTAAAATCTCGAGTTTTAGTACACTTGGAAAACCTCTGGGGCTGTGTTTGTGTACACACATACTCATAAAGGCACTTTTAGCCAGGACTCCTTTAAAAAGAAAAAAGAAGGATTTAAGAGTTTCCTGTGTATGTGCATCCTGCCTGCTAGGGCCTCTTGGGTGTTTGGGGATTAATGGATTTGGTTGTGTACATACTTGTTTTCTTACCACTAAACCTCCCATTTCCAGATTTTTCCCCCTCCCCTTAAGGTAAGCTATGACTTGCACAGAATAGACTTCTTAACCTATATTTAAACTCACCTTATTCCCTTTTAGCAACTTTTCTTGAAATATGTCACAGTTTCCATACTTTTGCAGCCAAAGTCTCCTTTTCAGTCGAACGTTCAGAGACCTCATTTTGTTCTGTTTTTTCACCGAATCTTTATAGTGGATGTCACTGCTTTTTTTCTCTCTACTCACAGTAGCTTCTCCTCCAGCCATTCCTCACCACTTCTAGTGTCAGACAGTCCTGCTTTGTTTTCCCAGACTTGCATTCTCTGTCTGCATTCCTTACTTCTTATGTTGTAGCGTTAGAATATGTGTGTTTTATATAAGCCCCTGTCATTCAGAAAGTAACCTCTAACTTGTGTTTTCTTTCTTTTCTTCTGATGTTCTCATTGCAGGAGTCTGGTTGGAAGCAAATGTTTTTTTAATGGACTTGCATCTCCTCACCTTGATCAGGACTAAAGGACGGAGGCCGCCCCACCCCCTTCCCTTTCCTCCAAACCCCTAACTCCCTCCAGACACCCAGGGAATACCCTCTGCCCCACAGGATTGAAGACTGCTTGGCAGTCCTCCCAATCCCACACCTCCTGTTTGCCAGGGGAAAGAACCTAAAGACTTCGTGTGATTGGGAGGGGTGGCAGACAGGAAGAAAACATGTCCAGGCCCCTGGTCTCCATAGAGAATGGTGCTTTGTCCAAGAAAACGTATGAGTTTCTGATTCTCCGGGAGCCGTTCAATGGTGAGGTTGATGGGAAGACTTCCTTCCCAAAGAAAATAGATCCTCCATGCAGGATCTAGGAGAGTGACTGGGTGTGCCAAAATATGCCCAGGGTCCTGCCCTCAGCACTAGATTTAATGGGGCCAAGAGGGTCCAAACCCCTTGCTAACATACCACTTCTTTGTTTAACTCCTTTACCTTTCCAGCCCTTTGAGGAGGGACCATGAGAACAGAAATTACCTTATGAAAAGCTACTTCTGTTCCTGCTTTCCCTCTCACGTATTGACGGTTTATTTCTTTGACCTCCCAGAGGGCTGAACTCTTTCAACTCTGCGCTGCCCAGCCTTCTCAGTGGACTTGCCCCTCCTAAGCAGAGAAGGCCTATGAGGTTGCTTGCTGCTGGGAAGCCTGGCAGAGCCAATTACCACCCTCTGCTGCTTAGTGCTTGGGTACCTCTTGCAATAACCAGCTCTTAGTTGTTCCCTTTCCCTGGGGCTTTTCCATTTAACACATGGAGCCCTTCCCCCAGAAGGCTACTTCCTTGTTTTAGAGGAAGGTACTGCCCATTGGGAGATGGGGACATTGGGACCTCAGCAATGAAGAACCCTTGTGAAGTAACCAGGAGGAATGGGGAAAGAAGCAAGTTGGGCAGGATATGGCCTACTTCCATAGGCTTTTCTTTTTTCAGGTTTGATGTAAGCATGGGCTTACATCCCCCAGGTACATACTTTTACTTATTGTGGGATAACCTGGCACTAGTAGGCAGGTAAAGTCACAAATTTGGTGTCTTTTCACCTTTTGACTGTTGACTTAATAGCTCCTCTCACTCTGCCTGGAGATACTTCCTGCCTCAGATGAGGAGCCAGAAGAAACAGAGCCCGACTTGAATGAACTCAGCTCAGAGTTCTAAGGACCAGCATTCTGGGGGCCATTTTCTCTACAGGCAAATGGAATTGCTTTTCCATAACATCCAAATTGTAATGTGGTTGCTGCTGAAGGAGGAGGCAGCAGCGAGGTCCTGCGGTACCCATGGGGTGATGCTACTTCTGCATGCATCTACAGGGCATCTGACACCTAACATGAGACGTGGCATGTGAGATGAGACTTGGCATGTGAGACATAGGGTCACTAGAGACCCTTCTGGGTCAGAGGAGAGAGACTGAATTGGACTAAACCCGTCCTCTGTTCCCAGCACGTTTCTCATATAGCCCTCAGTCACTGAGGGAGTCCCCCGCAGGATTGGAGAGGCACATTCCCTTGGGACAGAGGCTACAGGTTGGAGCTTTTTTTCCCCTGTCCCCCAACCCCATCCCCACCTCCACTTCAGAACATGGCACCCCACCCAACTGGCCAAGTGTTAAGTGATGTGCTTATTGAGAGCAACTCCGGGTGTCTTTTAAAATGTAGAGAAAAGGTGACAGTTTAAGGAAAAATATATATAGAATACCAGAAATGCCGTTTACCCGGAGAATTTTTTTCTCCCCATTTGTTTTGTTTTTACTCAATGACACCATTTTTAGTTTTATTTCCTGATAGCAAAAGGAAAAAAAACACCCATCCCTCAAAAAGGCCAAGGTCCCGTCCCCCTGTTGTCGGTGATTTGTTTGTCTTTCTGATAGGTTGAAAATTGTGTAATAAACTTGATGACGCTGTCAATCTTTTATACTGCATTGTATTTTTTTCCTTTTGTAACAAAATATTTTTAAATAATAAATGGGGTGTGAGCTGTTTTATGGATTCTGCATTGAATAGATTTGTTGAGGTGTCTGGGGCATGGGCATGGGCTGATGTAGACACTCGAATGATGGTGAAATGCCAAGTTCTTAGCTAGGATTGCATGTCAGGCAGTGATACATGGCTTTAGTTGACTGTGGAAAGCCTCCTAAGAGACCTCTAATGCAAACCTTTGGAGGCATCCCTTAAGGTTTAGCTTTTTTCCTTGGCCATCTAAACAGCTGGTTAAAGAAAACTTCTAAGTTATCCTTTACCCTTCAAGATTCCTAAGACTTATTTTCAGAGCAAATGTTCTACCTTGTGCAGTTAAATTCCAGTATCAAGTTCAGGAAGGGAAGAATCCTTTGATAGGAGTTAGAAGATCTGACTGGTAGTGCCTAGTTTACCACCTGTTTATCTAAATATGGACAAGCAGTGTAACCCTGGTCTTTTTCACCTACAAAATGAAAATAATAGCTGTTGTGCCTTCTACACAGGGATGTTTTAAGAGTCAGAGATAACAAATGTGAATGTTTTGTAAACTGCCTAAATATGAGGAAGTACATAGTGTGGGTGATCTTGGGGCTCCAGAAAAGCTTTTGGCTTTAAAAAGCCAGGTGAAGGAGGGTTCAATGATTTAAAAAAAAAGTGAACCACAGACCAGATGATAATGTGTATGGTACCAGGAATGGCAAGATCACTGTAAAAACAAGCTTTAGGAGAAGAGATTCCGTAGAGGGTCTATCAAGATGTGAAACTTAAGGAAAAAAAATAGTTGGAATACCTTAGAATGTAAAACTATTACTTTCAAATTGGGTTCCATGGTAACCCACATCTTAGTTGTACGTCATGCTTGCTAAGACACCTGTTCCTGTGCTGTAGCAATCTCTACATAAGGTCTAGGTGTCTGGTTTTTATGCCCCAGATGACTTGTAAACTAAATTGTGAGGACTAGTAGCTTAGAGGCAAAATTCAGCTTCATCTAGGAGGTACCATGGTGGTGTAGAAAAGGAAGGATTTTATGGTTACTCTAGGTTCAAATCCCAGTTCCATTTCTAAGCTGAATGCCCTTGGACACATGACTTAACATCTGATTAATTTCCTTCTGCCTCATAGGATCATTATATGAATGAAATACACTTTGCCAGGCACTGGATGATTAGTAGTCTCCACAAGCTGCTGCCATGGTATGGAGCTAGAATCAATCTGCCCTAAATGCTTCCTAAACTGGGCGAGACCACTGCAGTCACTTGCTGGTTCTAGCCATGAGTGTGAGTAGCTGAGCAGGCCTCTGCCAAGCTTATGACCAGGGCCTGTTGCTTTGCTCAGTTCTCTCCACTGTCCCAGAATTTTGGTACCTCCAGCTCTGTGTGGACTGTAAAGCAGCTTCCCTTGACTCTAGTGAGCACAGCCTCTGGCCACGATAAATCTGAAAGACTAGCTACACTGATTTCTGTGATCCCAAAATGTTGGGATCACAAGTGTAAGCCACTGTGCCAGGCCTCCACTGCCTCAGTTTCTGTTGTATGTCCTAATTATGTGACTAACTGCATCTACACAGGTGGTTCCAACAAGCATCAGGAAAAATGAACATTTATCACGCAACCCACAGGAAGCACAATGCACTAAACTTCCACATAACCACCCAGTAAATGAGAGGACTTCCTATTCCTAATCACAGCCTCATTTTCAACCATCATCCTCATTCTCAAGTATGAGGAAATGGAATTTCCTTGATCCAGACAGACTCCTAAGGCAAGATTTCTAGTTCCACCTGTTAATAACCAGATGTGTGGTGCTGGTTATGTCACTTCTCATCTCTAAGCCTGCAAAGTCGGGGGTAAGACTTGGTTCATCTCTAAAATAGGTCTTTAAATTCTAATGGATTTTATAAGGCACCCTTCAACTTCCAATTGAGCCTTCCAATCATTTATATTGCTGTGGCAGTGAGCTTAACCAGTGAACCTCTAAATAGGCCATACAGAATGGGCTCTCTTCCAGTTTGATACCAGCGATTTCTTCAACACAGGGAGAAAGTAGCAGAAAATTGGTATTAGTGGGATTTGTAATTATCAGGGCAGTTCCTATTGAAGGTTTTGTTACTGTGTCATGGCTGATTAGACCTGTCTACTCTGGTTTTTGGATAGTCCCCAAGGGCAACTGGGAGGCAAGGGCACAGAAGGGGTAGGAAACAAGAAAAAACATCAGTGCTTTGGACAGCAGAGCCCCTCAGGATAAGAATGAGCTTGATCATAGAAAGTAAGAGTTAAAGCCAGCATAGAATGCTTAAAGTTACATTTTACTTCGAGTAAGAGCAGATAATCTAGGATTCATCTGAAAACAGAAGAGCCTCAAGGTTTTCTGAAGTGGATTCCGTCATGGCTCCTCGTGGCTTCTTGGAATTAAAAAACATGGCCACTACCAAGGAAATGAGGAATAATTTTAAAGATGCTTACTTGGAGAAAGAAAGTATACATTGATCTAGAGTGACAGTTCTCCAGCTTAAAAAAAAAAAAAAGTGTTCCTTTTATGTTGACTCAAAATTTTATTTTTGAGACAGGGTCTCACTCCTGCACAGGCTGGAGTACAGTGGTACAAACATAGCTCACTACAGTCTTGACCTCCTGGGCTCAAGCTATCCTCCTGCCACAGCCTCCTGAATAGCTGGGACTACAGGTGCGCATCACCACACCTGGCTTGTTTTTAAATTTTTTGTAGAGACAAGGTTCTCACCATATTACCCAGGCTGGTCACAAATTCCTGGAATCATGCAATCCTCCTGCTTCAGCCTCCCAAAATGTTGGGATCACAAGTGTAAGCCACTGTGCCAGGCCTCAAAATACTAAAATAAATGACCAAAAAAAAAAAAAAAAAAACATCAGCTGGTTGCAGTGGCTCACACCTATAATCCGAGCACATTAGGAGGTAGAGGCGGGAGGATCGCTTGAGCCCAGGAGTTACAGACCAGCCTGAGCAACAAAGACCCCATCTCTACAATAAATACAAAAATTAGTGGGCTGGGCACGGTGGCTCATGCCTGTAATCCCAGCACTTTGGTAGGCCAGCAGGCAGACCACGAGGTCAGGAGTTTGAGACCAGCCTGGCCAGCATGGTGAAACCCCGTCTCTACTAAAAATACAAAAAAAAATTAGCCCGGCATGGTGGTGCACACCTGTATTCCCAGCTACTCGGGAGGCTGAGGCAGAAGAATCACTTGAACCCAGGAGGCGGAGGTTGCAGTGAGCCGAGATCATGCCACTGTACTCCAGTCTAGGTGACAGAGCGAGACTCCGTCTCAAAAAAAAAAAAAAAAAGCCAGGCATGGTGGTGTGTGCCTGTAGTCCCAGCTACTTGAGAGGCTGATGTGGGAGGATCACGTGAGCTAGGGAGGCAGAGGTTGCAGTGAGCCAAGATCATGCCACTGCACTGCAGCCTGGATGACAGACTGAGACACTGTCTCCAAAATTAAAAAAAAAAAAAAAGTTAGTTTAGAATATGCTTCTTCCAGTTTCACATGGCCCACTGGAAAAAAGCTAACAATTATCTGTAAGAGGAGTGAGACAAGATGCTGACTTTGGGGCAGAGTGAAGCAAATAAGCAGTCTTTTGCATGACGAGAGACTTGAAGATACAGAGGATGGCAGTGCATTTAGGGTTTAATTTAGGCTGCAGCTTGGGGAAGAAAATCAGTGGTCATCACTGCCTTTTGTCCACACTGTATCACTAAGCAAAGCTCCTGAGAACAAACTGCTGGGATAGTCATGACCCTCTCTTGGAGTGGATGAATTCTAGGGACAGGTGCCATAAGGAAAGGCTGCAACCCCCACAACAGAAAATACATATTTATTATAAAATAAAGTTAGTTTCATGAAGAGAGTAGAAAAATAACACTATGAGCTACTAAAAAAGTTGTGGAACTCAGTCTCCGAGGATTGGGGTGAGAGGCTTTCACATCACTCTGGAAACCCACCAACATGAGGCTCTCCGTGCTCATGTGGGACAGGTATAGCACAGCTCGTACAGGGAGCATGTGGCTCAGGTCCTGCTTGAAGCCCAAGGAGCCTAGATGGTCCACACGAGATGCTCTGGCCACGGTGATCAAGGAGGAGAACTTGAGGTCAGCAGGGGACTGGTTCTGAGAAGGGGCAGGATGGGAATAACCTTGCCCCTCCCTATACTGGAGTGTAGAAGAGTCTCTTGGGCTGATGGTCCTGGTTTAGAAGATGGTACCCACTGGCCTTATGCTGAGTTGCTTGCCCAAATGTCTGTGCTGAAGAAAAGCCACACAGCCTTTCTCAGGACAACTTGCCCCACCAATTCTCACTGGTGTGGCTAAAGTACCAGAAGCAATATGTGTGGTGTCAGCCTGATGGGCTGCTGGCTGAAATTCTGTACTTCAAATCCTGTCCATACGATGGCAGAAAGAAAGAAAATGTTAAAAGACCAGTGAATGAGAGCAGCTGGCCTCGACTGTTCTATATTCCAAGCCTCCTGGCCCCAAAGGATAGGGAGAGTATCTTCCCTGAGTGGGAAACGATCTACCTACCCTAAACAGGAAAGGCAATCCCATAGCCACCCCTTCCTCCCTCTAGAAAAAAGTCTTCTAGACCCCTTAGGCTTCAGAAGAATACTGAATCCCTCCCTGGGATGGGAACCCAACCCTCTAGTGATGAGAAATGGTCCCTCAGCAGCAGTACCTGGAGAAAGCAGCCAAGGTGAGCACCTCAAGTAAAAGCTCTGAGCCACAGAAGAAGAGCAAGATGCCATTCATGATGGCTTCCAGGCGGAGTACGTAGGTCTGCAGCAGCAGGTAATAGGAGGCCATCATGGCAGATGGGAAGGTCAAGGCCACGCTAATACTGAGCGGCATCTTTCGCTGGCAGAGGTTTCCCTTTGTACCTGTCAGACACAGCCCATGGAGTCATCTCCAAATGGTCTGCTTTTCCTGGCCCAGGGGAAAGGCGTGGGAGATGTGATGGAATGGCAAGGCACAAAAAATAATCCTGAGTGGGGGTGTGCAGATTTATAAATGGGGTCCCACTGTACTAAAAGTTTGAGGCTTAGGAGAGCTACAAGATTAAAGTCACTTAATCCAGAGGTCCTGCTTCCAGTCTGGTTCCCACTCAAGGGACAATGGGATCTTTATTTGGGAAAAACAAAATTTTTAATTATAAAAATAATATATAATCATTTAAAAATTTTCAATGGCCGGGTGCAGTGGCTCACACCTGTAATCCCAGCGCTTTGGGAGGCCAAGGCAGGTGGATCACAAGGTCAGGAGATGGAGACCATCCTGGCTAACACGGTGAAACCCCATCTCTACTAAAAATACAAAAAAAGTAGCCGGGCGTGGTGGCGGGCGCCTGTAGTCCCAGCTACTCGGGAGGCTGAGGCAGGAGAATGGTGTGAACCCGGAAGGTGGAGCTTGCAGTGAGCAGAGGTCACGCCACTGCACTCCAGCCTGGGGAACAAAGCAAGACTCCGTCTCAAAAAAAAAAAAAAATTTCAACACAGAAAATAATTTTTGAGACTATAGAAAGTGAAAGACCTCCATGTCCCTACACCCTGAAGATTATTAGAGAATGACGTGTATTGTTTCAGATTTTTTATACGTATATATTCACATATTACTATTTATTATTATAAAAATAGAAGCATACCCTACATCCTGTTTTGCAACTTATTTTTCCCCCACAAACATTTTTCCACACACATAGCTACCTTAATTTTTTTTTTTTTTTGATAGTGTTTAATTCTGTCACCCAGGCTGGAGTGCAATTGCATCATCATAGCTCACTGCAGCCTCGAACCCCTGGGCTGAAGGGATCTTCCCACTATAGGTACACGTCACTATGCCCAGCTAATTTTTTTTTTTTTTTATTGAGACGGAGTTTCTTGTCACCCAGGCTGGAGTGCAATGGAGCGATCTCGGCTCACTTCAACCTCCACCTCCCAGGTACAAGCGATTATCCTGCCTCAGCCTCCCAAGTAGCTGGGATTACAGGTGCCCGCCACCATGCCCAGCTGATTTTCGTATTTTTTAGTAGAGACAGGATTTCACCATGTTAGCCAGGCTGGTCACGAACTCCTGACCTCAGGCAATCCGTTCGCCTCGGCCTCCCACAGTGCTAAGATTACAGGCGTGAGCCACTGCACCTGGCCTTAACTGTTCTTTTTAATTTTTTTTAATTTTTTGAGACAGAGTCTAGCTCTCTCGCCAGGCTAGAGTGCAGTGGTGCAATCTCGGCTCACTGCAACTTCCGCCTCCCGGGCTCAAGTGATTCTCCTGCCTCACCCTCCCGAGTAGCTGGGATTACAGGCACGTGCCACCACACCCAGCTAATTTTTGTATTTTTAGTAGAGATGGGGTTTCATCATGTGGGCCAGGATGGTCTCGATCTCCTGAACTCGTGATCTGCCTGCCCCAGCCTCCCAAAGTGCTGGGATTACAGGCGTGAGCCACCATGCCCAGCAACTGTTCTTTTTTAATGGTTATATACAAGTCCGTTGAATCAGTGCCGTAACTGATTTAACAATCCCGTATGGACAGATGTTTAGTTTGTTTACAGTGTTTTGATGTTACCAAATTTTTGGCAATAAACATTCTCATATAGCTATCTTCGCATATCTGTGGAATTTTTTTTTAATCTAGTTTTAGAAGTGAAATTGTTGGGGCTAACAGTAAAACATTACACAGTAATAACTACTACCCAAGAGTTGTACTAAATTAAATTACCACAAAAGTGTATAACAACCTGTTCCCCACACCCTAATACTGGGTGTTATAAATCTTTCTTTGCCAGTCTGATGGGTAAAAAATGTTACTTTGTTTCAATTTGATTTTTATTAGCGAGTTTGAGCATCTTGTCAAGTTTTACTGGTTCTCTGTAATTATTTTTACATGAACTGCCATTAATGTCCCTTACCAATTTTTTTTTTTTTTTGAGTCTCACTTTGTCGCCCAGGCTAGAGTGCAGTGGGCGATCTTGGCTCACTGCAACCTCTGCCTCCTGGGTTCAAGCGATTCTACTGCCTCAGCCTCCCAAGTAGCTGGGATTACAGGTGCGCGCCACCACACCCAGCTAATTTTTGTATTTTTAGTAGAGACGGCCACCATGTTGGCCAAGCTGGTCTCAAACTCTTCACCTCAAATGATCCACCCACCTCGGCCTCCCAAAGTGCTGGGATTACAGACGTGAGCCACTGCGCCCAGCCAATTTTTAAAGTTATTTTGTTTTTTCCTTAGTGATTTATGTGAGCCTTCTTTTATCCTTTCTTATATGTTGCAAGTAATTTTGTTCCTAAGTTTGTGCTTTAACGTTGATTTCAGGGATGACATATTCTAACAAATAAGGGTTTTGCTCTGTATTTCTGGGGTTATAAAACTTGTCCTACAGGCCAGGCATGTTGGCTCACGCCTGTAATCCCAGCACCTTGGGGAGGCCAAGGCAGGAAGATTGCTTGAGGCCAGGAGCTTCAGACCAGCCTGGGCAACAAGGCAAGACACTGTCTCTACAAAAAACACAAAATTAGCCAGGTATGATGTCGCACACCTGTGGTCCCAGCTACTCAGGAGGCTGAAGTTGGAGGACTGCTTGAGCCCAGGGCTTCAAGGCTGCTGTGAGCTATGATCGTACCACTGTACTACAGCCTAGGTGACAGAATGAGACCCTGTCTCAAATAAATAAATGTTTAAAAAACAAAATCTGGCCAGGTGTGATGGCTCACACCTATAATCCCAGCACTTTGGGAGGCCAAGGCGGGTGGATCATGAGGTCAGGAGATCGAGACCATCCTAGCCAACATGGTGAAACTCTATCTCTACTAAAAATATAAAAACTTGCCGGGCATGGTGGCAGGCGCCTGCAGTCCCAGCTACTCAGGAGGCTGAGGCAGGAGAATTGCTTGAACCCGGGAGGCGGAGGCTGCAGTGAGCCGAGATGGTGCCACTGCACTCCAGCCCAGGTGACAGAGTGAGACTCCATCTCAAAAAAAAAAAAAAATCCAACCAGGTGCAGTGGCCCACATTTGTAATCCCACCACCTTGGGAGGCCGACACAGGCAGATCACAAGGTCAAGAGATCGAGACCATCCTGGCCAACATGGTGAAACCCCGTCTCTATTAAAAATACAAAAATTAGCTGGGAGCAGTGGTGCACGCCTGTAATCCCAGCTACTCAGGAGGCTGAGGCAGGAGAATCGCTTGATCCCGGGAGGCAGAGATTGCAGTGATCCGAGATCGTGCCATTGCACTCCAGCCTGGGGACAGAGTGAGACTCCATCTCAAAAAAAAAAAACAAAAAACTCCTACAGAGATCCTTATTCAGAGAATTGTTAGGGATCTTAGTACTGATCTGTACAGGATACACTGCCTGCCCTGACGTGGAGTTACAACTGAACCTATTCCCCTAAGAATACTAGTGAGAAGAACCAAGCACTCTTCTTGCAGTTAGGCAGCTGGGAAGGAATCATCTAATATCCCATTCTATTGCCCATCTCTAGCCTTACAGAGCAACAAACAGGTAAATCTTGACCCAATGTATGAAGCAGCAACTTGAAACTTCAGAGACGGAGTAATAGGATATACAGATCCAGTCTATGATAGTCAACCTAGGTTATGTACTTTTCTTGTTAATCAAGTTACAGATACCAGCTTGTCTCATAAGGAGTGGAAATATTCTCTGGACAACACTTACCAAAAAACAGGCGAATTACTTCAATTCCAAGATAAAGGAGGAGCATCACCACATCCAGTACTAGGTTAGCTGTTGGATATGGTAGCAGGACACCTGCCAATACAAAAGCCAGAGTTTGCAAACAGCATATAACAGCACCCACAAGAACTGCCACACACTTGGGAAAAAAGAGGACATCAGTCTCAGCTTTCCATGAACTAGTTAGTGAGATGTGGGCATTATTACAGCAGCAGGATACATAAACTCACAATGCGACTCAGGCTCATTATTATGGTGTTTTACTCCTAACTCCAAAAGTCTCTGGGGACTCCACTCTCCAAAATGATTGGATGTACATGGGTACACAGGCCACTGAATAGTTTCTAAGGGTCACCAGTGGGCTTACAGTGGAGCTCAGCAAAGAGCAGTGATGTGGGCAGAGTCAGAATGGAGAAGCCCACATTTCTCAAACTCAAGAAATTCTTGCTGAGGGGCTGCCTATGGAATCATACTCAAAGAAGCCATCTGATGAGGAGGCCTGCCTTGCAGCGACAAAGAACTGCAGGGGGCAGAAAAGAACGGAAAATAAGAAGGTTCTTGGTAGGAATTGGCTCTGAGCTGAAGTGGGGAAGGGATGCTGTCGTCAAGCCCCAAGCCTTCCTTACCTTTATACAGAAATATGAAAAGTTCCAGCAGGAAATAGGTAGCATTATACCACCCGTTCAGAAAGAACAGGATTTCCAGCGGGGTGGAGGACAACCGTTTACCTGAAAAAGGAGCACAGAGAAGTGGGATGGGCCGGAAGGCAGCTCCCTCTCTGCTCGTATGGGTTGGTGTCTAACTTTGGGGAAACTAGACGCTGCAACTAATGGGACCGGCCACTCAGGGGCACTTCTGGTTGCTGATAATGAGGGGGCGAGGGTACGGGGGTGGGAGTGGAGGGGGCTTCCCTCCTTTCCTAGGAATCACCGTGAAACTCGACTCTTCGGCTTCAGGAATAAAAGTCAAGAGGTAACTCGCAGCTGACAGACATCTCAAAGATCTCACTCTGTCACTATTTGGGAGGGGAAGTTGGGGCGCAGAGACCAACAGATTCGCACCTGAGCCAGCCTAGAAGTGGCCCAGCCAAGGATCTGCGTTTATTTGAGCTGTGCACCTTGAGACCTTCAGGCACCCAGGGTGGGCGGGACCGCGGAAGCCGGCTTTGGACCAGGGAGGCGCGACGTCCCTAACGCTAGAGAATGGAGGGTTTAGGTCAAGCTCTGGGACAGAGGTGGGAGGGAGCGACCGAAGGGAAAGGGACCAGCGACTCACACACCTCCGGAATCTCACCTCGCGGCGCCATCTTCAGTCCCCGTGGCAGCATACGCTGCCACAGCGGCTCCCGGAGCAGCGCGGCGCTGCCGGAAACAGGGACGAAGCGGCCTGGGTTTCCGGCCCCTCTGCCCGCCCGCGGCACTCTGTGGTCACCCGGAGCTGGACGAGCTCGGGCCTGGCCGCAAGTGGCCCTCGCTCGGATGTCCCCTCTCCAGACCTAAGGGATAACGGTGACCACCCACGACGCCGTCGTCTGCAGGACCTCAGGGGTGCGGGGGAGGACCTTGGAGGCTCTCAGACTACCGGGCGTTGGGCGGAAGTGGCCAGTTGTGATAGTGTTACCAGGAGATTGGCAAATAGGTCCTACTCCCACGATTCTCTTTTTTCAACGGAAGACAAGAAAAGGTGTGAGCGACGGATCTCTGCAAATGCAGGGTGGAGTTAGCATTGGTCTTTTCTGCGGCCGATTTACCTACCAGGTAGAGACACGAAGGAAATAGAGCGTCCTTTCCAGGAACACACATAAATAAAATGAAACGAGTCACCACGCGATCCATAAAGTGGTGCAGTGGGAGCTGAGAGGACAAAGTGCTCCCAGGTGGAAATCTAAGTTAGTTTCCAAGAGACGGCCTGTGAGCTGGGCTTCAAAGCCTGCCTGATCCGGATTTGCAGCGGTAAAAGCGTGTTGCTGGCCGGGCTTAGTGGCTCACGCCTGTAATCCCAGCACTTTGGGAGGCCGAGGTGATGGATCACCTGAGGTCAGGAGTTCGAAATCAGCCTGGCCAACATGGCGAAACCCCGTCTCTACTAAAAATACAAAAATTAGCCGGGCGTACTGGCGCGCGCCAGTAGTTACAGCTACTTGGGAGGCTGAGGTAGGAGAATCGCTCGAACCCGGGAGGCGGAGGTTGCAGTGAGCTGAGATCGCGCCACCGCACTCCAGCCTGGGCGACAGTGAGACTCTGTCTCAAAAAAAAAAAAAAACAGAAAACTGTGTTGCTGCAGGCAGGGGAGTGCAAAAAGAAGGGTTTTGAGAGGACTCAGGTTGACTTGACTTGGCTGTTAGCCCGTTGTCAATCAGGGTAAAGCAGGAAACAGATGGCACGCTCCAACCAGGTAGCCTGAGGAAGGTGACTAAGCTTTATTTTATTTATTTCATTTTATTTTTGAGACGGAGTTTTGCTCTTGTAACCCAGGCTGGAGTGCAATGGCGCTATCTCTGGTCACTGCAACCTCCGCCTCCTGGGTTCAAGCGATTCTCCAGTCTCAGCCTCCCAAGTAGCGGGGATTACAGGTGCCCCCCACCACACCCGGCTAAATATTTTTGCATTTTTAGTAGAGACGGGGTTTCACCATGTTGGCCAGGCTGGTCTGGAACTCCTGACCTCAGGTGACCCGCCCCCCCCCCCCCCCCCCCCCCCCCCCCCCGCCTCCCAAAGTGCTGGGATTACAGGTGTGATTAATGCCCCCGGCCAAGAGTGACTAAGCTTTAAGCAAAGTGCTGTACCCCTGGCTAATTGGGATGTGGTGGGGCGGTAATTGTTACTTCTAGGCTTAAAAGGGAAGGGCCTGAAACAATTCCCTGAAGCTGGAGAGTAATATGTGCATAGAAGGCCTCCCACTAGGAACCCTCACACTCTAGGAGGCTAGTGGATAAATATAGCAGGGACCTCCATTTCCCTTCTCCCATCTCTGATCTCTGCTTATGTCTCCCGCTGACACAACTTAACTGCAAGCTGGAGGGCAAGGAAGCCCTTTAGGGTAAGTAGGAAAGCGCAGAGCACAGAGGTTAAGGTGGAAAGGAATCCAGATCCTGCTTCCCCATCTTCGCTGCCTGCAAGACAAGAGACATTAGAAAAGTTCCTGCTCTGAGCCTGATATGGAAAGAAAGTGGGCCAGCTGCACCTGGCGCGGTGGCTCACACCTGTAATCCCAGCACTTTGGGAGGCTGAGGCGGGTGGATCACTTGAGGTCAGGAATTCAAGACCAGCCTGACCAACATGGTGAAACCCCATCTCTACTAAAAATACAAAATTAGCCGGGCATGATGGCACATGCCTCTAATCCCAGCTACTTGGGGGGCTGAGGCATAAGAATCGCTTGAACCTGGGAGGCGGAGGTTGCAGTGAGCTGAGACCAAGCCATTGCACTCCAGCCTGGGCAACAAGAGTGAAACTATGTCTCAAAAGAAAAACAAAGAAAGTGGGCCAGCTGCTTGTTTTTGTAAATAAAAGTTCTTTGGAGAACGTCATCATGGTCACTTACTTACATGTTATTATATATTGCAGCTTTCATGCTATTATGGCAATGTTAAGTAGTTGCAACAGAGACCACATGGCCCACAGCCTTAAATACCATCTGACCCTTTAAGAAAAAGTTGGCTAATCTATGTCAGAGTATGCCACAACTTCATAGATGCCAAAAGCTGACAGTGAGGCCAAATTACTTATGGCAAACAGCAGGAACATCAGCATGGCAACCTGGGGGCCCCCTGCTCCCAAGTCCTATGAGTGACACAATGACCCCAGATGGTGCTGCACTCAAGGAGTTATGCCACAGCTTGGTGGAGCCCAGAGCCAAAGGCTCAGTACCCTTTTTAGCAAGCAGCAAATAAAGCCAGGCCCTTTCCACTGGGGAGGGAGAAATTATACTATCATCACACTATAGTCACTTTGGTCTACTTAATTGCTTCTGTGCTCAGTATCAGGAGACAGACTTTCTGGTTTGACATAGTAAGAACATGCAGGGATGCTTAGGACCCATGCAAGACTGTCCCAACAGCCAGTGCCCTTGCTAAATTGATTATTTCTAGGAGGCTTGTTATGTACATGATCACATCATCAGTAAATAAAGACATTTTTACTTCCTTCTCAATCTCTATACCTTCAATTTCTTTTTCTTGCCTTATTGCACTGGCCAGGACTGGCAGTGTAATGTTGACTATAAGTGGTGATGATGGATAGTCTTGTCTTGTTCCTAACCTCAGGGGAAGCGTTCAATATCTCACCATTAATATGGTGGCTATAGATTTTTTTTGTAGATACTCTTTATCAGATTAAGAAAGTCCCTTATTATCCTAGTTTGCTAAAAGGCTTATGATATATTTTATTAAGTGTGTTCTCTTAATCCGTTGAGAGGACTATATGATTTTTCTCCTTTATTCTGCTAATATGAATTACATTGATTTTCAGAGGTATGACCAACCATGTCTTCCTGGAAAAAATAAAAAACCCATTTGCTTATGAGACTGTACAGAAAAAACTTAACATAGCAGACCTGAGGCTGCTGTCTTTGGAGAGGCCCAACTGCAAGGTTGACCCTTGCCTGGCGTAAGGGAACTTGGCTTTTGGTAGTGTTCCCACCAGTTTAAAGTGGCTCACAGTGCCTAAACTGTACAAACAATGTGGCTTATGCTAAATACCTGTTCTCCTTCTCAGAGTCTGGAGTTTTGAAACATGTTAGGCAGAGGGTGCCTTCATGATCAGCTCCCAGTAAAAACCTTGGGGGCTGGGTCCAGTGGCTCATGCCTGTAATCCCAGCACTTTGGGAAGCTGAGGCAGGAGGATCAATAGAGCTCAGGAGTTCAAGACCAGCCTGGACAACACAGTGAGACCCTGTCTCTACCCAAACAAAAAAATTTAGCCAGGCATGGTGGTGCACACCTGTAGTCCCAGTTACTTCGGAGGCTGAGGCAGGAAGATTGCTTGAGCCCAAGAGGTAGAGGGAAGAGGCTGCAGTGAACCATAACTGTTTAAAAAAATAAAAATAAAAAAAATAAAACTTGGACCCTGAGTCTCAAGTGAGCTTTCCTAGTAGACAACATTGCACATATGTTATCAGAATTTGTTGCTGGAGGAATGATGAACGTCTTGTGTGATTCCCCCTGAGATAGACCTCTTGGAAGCATGCTGCTAGTTTCTCCTTGACTGTGCCTCATGTATCTTTTCCCTTTGTTGACCTTGCTTTGTATTTCACTGTAATAGATCAGAGGCATGAATACACCTGTATGCTGGGTCCCATAAGTCCTTATAGCAAATCATCCAAACTGGGTGTGATCTTGGAGACCCCTGACACAGATATGTTATCCTTTTTATATGTCACTGGATTTCATTTGCTAATTTTGTTCAGGTTTTACATATGTATCATGAGAGAGATTGGTCTGTAATTTAACTTTGTCAAGGACCTTGTCAAGGGTGGGTATTAAGGTTAAGGTGGCTTCATCCAATAAAGCGAAAGGTATTTCTTCTTTTTCTATTCTCCGGAAGAGATAGTGTAAGCTAGGTAATATTTCTTCTTCAAGTATTTGAAAGAATACACTGATGAAGCCATCTAAACCTAAATTTTTTTTTTGGTGGGGGGGAGTTTAAAATAATGAAATCCCTGTACTATATATAAGAACATTCAGATATTCTACTTCTCGAGTAAGGTTTGGGTGAATTTGTGTTTGCATAAACCTTGAATAAGGTTTGGGTAAATCATTTTGTATACATTTCCAGATGTATTGGTGTGAAGGTTTTCATAACATTCCTCAATTCTTTTTTTTTCTGTATTATAAGTCAGTAGTCAGGCTGGGCGCAGTGGCTCATACCTGTAATCCCAGCACTTTGGGAGGCCAAGGCAGGCGGATCACTTGAGGTCAGGAGTTCAAGACAGCTTGGCCAACATGGTGAAACCCCATTTGTGCTAAAAATACAAAAAAATTAGCCAGGTGTGGTGGTGCATGCCTGTAGTCCCAGCTATTTGGGAGGCTGAGGCAGGAGAATCGCTAGAACCCAGGAGGTGGAGGTTGCAGTGAGCCAAGATCATGCCACTGCACTCCAGCCTGGCAACAGAGCGAGACTCTGTCTAAAGAATAATAATAACTAATTAATTTTTAAAAATTAAAAAAGTCACCAGGCAATCCTTAAATATTACTTAATGGATGTAAGAACTGCAGTGATGTCCCTTTTCTTTCATATTTTTTTCTTCAATAGTTTTGATAGGTGTTTATCAATTTTATTAACGTTTTATTTTTGTTTTTTATTTTTTTTTATGAGACAGGGTCTCACTCTATCGCCCAGGCTGCAGTGCAGTGGCACGATCTTGGCTCACTGCAACCTCTGCCTCCCAGGCTCAAGCAATTCTCGTGCCTCAGCCTCCTAAGTAGCTGGGACTACAGGCATGCACCACCACACCTGGCTAATTTTTTTTTTTTTTTTTTTGAGACGGAGTCTTGCTCTGTCGCCCAGGCTGGAGTGAAGTGGTGCGATCTCGGCTGGCTGCAAGCTCCGCCTCCCAGGTTCACGCCCTTCTCCTGCCTCAGCCTCCCGAGTAGCCGACTACAGGCACCCGCCACCATGCCCAGCTAATTTTTTTTGCATTTTTAGTAGAGACGGGGTTTCACCGTGTTAGCCAGGATGGTCTCGATCTCCTGACCTCATGATCTGCCCGCCTCAGCCTCCCAAAGTGCTGGGATTACAGGTGTGAGCCACTGCTCCCGGCTTTTTTTTTTTGTATTTTTAGTAGAGACAGGGTTTTGTCATGTTGCCCAGGCTGGTCTCGAACTGGTGAGCTCAGGCAGTCCACCTGCCTCGACCTCCCAAAGTGCTAGGATTACAAGCATCAGCCACCATGCCTGGTTTCTTATTATTATTATTATTATTATTTTATTTTTTTGAGACAGAGTCTTGCTCTGTCACCCAGGCTAGAGTGCAGTGGTGTGATCTCGGCTCACTGCAGCCTCCGCCTCCTGGGTTCAAGCAGTTCTCCTGCTTCAGCCTCCCGAGTAGCTAGGATTACAGGCGCCCACCACTGCGCCCGGCTAATTTTTGTATTTTTAGTAGAGATGGGGTTTCACCATGTTGGCCAGGCTGGTCTCGAACTCCTGACCTCATGATCCACTCGCCTCGGCCTCCCAAAGTGCTAGGATTGCAGGTGTGAGCCACCGTGCCCAGCCTTATTAATTTTTTTAAAAACAGCTTTCGACTTTCTTTTTCTTCATCGTATAAAATTTGTTTTCTATTTTACAAATTTCTGCTCTTTATAATTTCCTTCTTCTTACTTTCTTTAGGTTTTTTGTTTTGTTTTGTTTTGTTTTTGTTTTTGTTTTTTGAGACAGAGTCTGACTCTGTTGCCCAGGCTGGAGTGCAGTGGTGCGATCTCAGCTCACTGCAGCCTCCACCTCCTGGGTTCAAAGGAATTCTCCTGTCTTAGCCTCCCAAGTAGCTGAGATTGCAGGTGTGTGCCACCACACCCAGATAATTTTTGTATTTTTAGTGGAGATGAGGTTTCACCATGTTGCCCCCAGGCTGATCTTGAACTCCTAACCTCAAGTGATCTACCCGCCTCAGCCTCCCAAAGTGCTGGGACTACAGGCATGAGCCACTGCGCCCAGCTGGGTTCAAAGTGTTTTCTAATTTCCCTTATGATTTCTTCTTTGACCCATGGGCTATTTATAAGTGTATTTTATTTTATTTATTATTTTATTTTATTTTATTTTATTTTATTTTATTTTATTTTATTTTATTTTATTTATTTTAAGACAGACTCTCTGTTGCCCACGCTGCGGTGCAATGGTGCGATCTCAGCTCACTGCCACCTGTGCCTTGCAGGCTCAAGCTATTCTCATGCATCAGCCTCCCGAGTAACTGGGGCTACAGGTGCGTGCCACCACGCCTGGCTAATTTTTGTATTTTTAGTAGAGGTGGGGTTTTGCCATGTTGCCCAAGCTGGTCTGGAATTCCTGAGCTCGAGTGACATGGTATAGGCGTGAACCACCGTGCCCAGCCTTATTTAATTTCTGAATATTTAGTGGTTTCCTAGTATGGCAGTTATCAACACTGCCTCAGCTCCAGATTCACTCTCAGTACCTGTTCTGTTCCATGATAACCGGATCGACGCTAAGCATTTATCCCGTACAGTGAGTACAGTGTTAAGCTTTGTCAGCAGAGGGCACTAGAGGGCTATTGCAGAAACAAAGAGGCTCTCCCGGGTTCCAGTGTGCAGCCTTCGGATTTTTCTAAGGAAACCATGGATGTCAACTATGACCGTGATTAGTTACAAAAATGATCAGTTACAAAAACGAGGACTGTAGCAGCGATGCATATTCTTCTTTGCTTCTTACATGCATGTGTTTATTTGTATGTACTGACCATGTCTTTTGCCTCCCTTTGTTATTTTATGTGCAAATTGTTGGAGGTCAACTTTACAATCTAGTTTTTAGGTAATAGACACAGGTAATAGTTTTTAGGTAATAGTTTTTAGGTAATAGGGATCACGACAAATCTGTGGAGTAATCTAGCCAGCTATGGATACAGTGACTGTTTGGACTGTGTGTCTTATCATTTGGGGGAAGGCTGAGAACTTCACTTTTAGAGAGGAGATATCTTGTTAGTAGGAATGTAGCTACTAAGGGAGTTCAAAATTTGTGTAAAGAGTGCATATGGTAGTGGAGTAGCTGGAAGAATGGTTTCTGCCAGTTACCTATTTTTTGCCTCTCAGCTTCATTATTTACCTACCCTTCGGTGTCTGTTAAGCGATAACTAGACTCGAAGCATTTCTCCCTACAATGAGTACAATGTTAGGCTTTGTCAGCAGAGGACGCTAGAAGGACATTGCAGGAAGGAAAGGGCTTGTCTTCTGGTTCCAGTGCACTCCAGCTAGGGGCCTTGCTCCATCGTCCATCAGCAGGGCACGCCTTGGGAGATCTGCTGGTGTTCCACTCCAGCTGCACACCCAAAGCCGGCACTCCCTTGGCAACTTTGCCGATCTGGTCTAGGCCCCGTGACCAACTTGCTGTGGACTCCTTGTCATGGTTGCCGCTTACTCCAGGCCTTCCACCTGGGGCAGCTCCCTAACTCTGTGCACCTGCCCCCTAGTCTTGGCTTACCTATGCCATGGATGGTTTTCCCCAAAGCCCTCCAGGCATGGACAACGTGCGGTCAAGGCTGTGCCCCAACTTCCTCTGTGCGTCTGCTCACCAATCTGAGTTCTTCTGCATCCCAGAGGGTTGATTCCCATCCTCCATATCCTGTGTGGACACCATGCACTCCAAGCACATGGGGCATTCCAGCTCTTTTGATGCATCTGTCTGACAGCTGGGGCTCACCTGCGACCTGGAAGGTTGTTTCCTAGGGGCCTCCCAATGCGGGTGCTATGTGCTCTGGGCAGGTGGTGTTGCTATGTGCTCTGGGCAGGTGGTGTCCCCATGTGCTCTAAGCACCTGCCTACCAGCCTTAGCTTGCTTTTGGCCTGGAGGGTTGTTTCTTGCCTGGCAACTGTGAAACAGCTCTGGCCTGGGCTAATCAGTGAACTTCACACTGCCCAGTGAGTGGCATGCAGTGAAGTCTGAACCCCTGCCTTGGGGGTGGGGACCCTACTGAGTTTGCCCTTCCTTGGGTACTTCCCTCTTTACTTCCTTATAATTCCTCTCTTATTATAGTTTAATACTTTTTTACTTTTTCTATTTTTTTTTTTAATTTTTTTGAGACAGGGTCTTGCTCTGTTGCCCAGGGCTGGAGTGCAGTGCTGCAGTCATAGCTCACTGCAGCCTTGACCTCCTGGACTCAAGCAATCCTTCTGCCTCAGCCTCCCAAGTAGCTAGGACTACAGGCACATGTCACCATGCCTAGCTAATTTTTTCTTTTTAATAGAGACAAGGTCTTGCTATATTGTCCAGCCTGGTCTCAAACTCCTGGTCTCAAGTGATCCTCCTGCTTCAGCCTCCCTAAGTGCTGGGACCGGCTGGGCATAGTGACTCACTCCTGTAATCCCAGCATTTTGGGAGGCCGAGGCAGGCGGATCAGTTGAGGTCAGGAGTTCGACATCATTCTGGCCGACATGGTGAAACCCCGTCTCTACTAGAAATACAAAAATTAAACAGGAGTGGTGGCACATGCCTGTAATCCCAGCACTTTGGGAGGCTGAAGTGGGATGATTGCTTGAGTTGCTTGAGGCCAGGAGTTTGAGACCAGCCTGGTCAACATAGTGAGACCTTCATCTTACTAGAAAGAAAAAATAGAAAAAAATTAAAAATAATCTTTATGTTTACCTAAATACTATCTTTTTTTTTTTTTTTTTTTTTGAGATGGAGTCTCACTCTGTCACCCAGGTTGGAGTGCAGTGTCGAGGTTTCAGCTCACTGCAAACTCCACCTCCCGGGATCAAGCGATTTTCCTGCCTCAGCCTCCCGAGTAGCTGGGATTACAGGCATGTGCCACCACACCCAGCTAATTTTTGTATTTTTAGTAGAGACAGGGTTTCTCCATGTTGGCCAGGCTGGTCTCCAACTCCTGACCTCAGGTGTTCCGCTTCGGCCTCCCAAAATGCTGGAATTACAGGCGTGAGCCACCGTGCCTGGCCTATCTTTTGTTTGTTTGTTTGTTTGTTTGTTTTGAGACAGAGTTCAGGCTGGAGTGCAGTGGCGTGATCTCGACTCACTGCAACTTCTGCTTCCTGGGTTCAAGTGATTCTCCCTCTGCAGCCTCCCGAGTAGCTGGGATTACAGGCATGGGCCACCATGCCTGGCTAATTTTTTTGTGTGTTTTTAGTAGAGACAGGGTTTTGCCATGTTAGTCAGGCTGGTCTGGAACTCCTGACCTCAAGTGATTCACCTGCCTTGGCCTACCAAAGTGCTGGGATTACAGGTGTGAGCCACTGTGCCCCGCCTTAATGTTTCTTATAGTGCAGCACTAATTCTCTTAGTTTTCTTTTATTTGAAAATGTTTTTATTTCAGCTTCATTTTTTTTAAATTTTTAAATTTTGTTTTATTTTTAGTAGAGATGGGGTTTCACTATATTGGCCAAGGTAATCCTGAACTCCTGACCTCAGGTGATTCACCCACCTCGGCCTCCCAAAGTGCTGGGATTACAGGCATGAACCACTGCACCCAGCCCGAGGTTGCCTGTCTTTTAATTTACTGAGATAATATTTTCTTTTCTTTCTTTCTTTCTTTTTTTTTTTTTTTTTGAGACGGAGTCTCGCTATAGCCCAGGCTGGAGTGCAGTGGTACCATCTCAGCTTACTACAACCTCTGCCTCCCGGGTTCAAGCGATTCTCCCGCCTCAGGCTCCCGAGTAGCTGGGACTATAGGCACATGCCACCACGCTCGGCTAAGTTTTGTATTTTTAGTAGAGACGGGGTTTCACCATATTGTTCAGGCTGATCTTGAACTCCTGATCTCAGCTGATCCGCCCGCCTGGGCCTCCCAAAGTGCTGGGATTATAGGCGTGAGCCACTGTGCCCAGCTTTGAGATAATATTTTCATTGATGCTTTCATATCCTTGTTTGTTAATTCCGATATCTGGACCATCTCTTTGGTGGCACTTGTAAATGTTGGAGACTCTGGTTTCAGTTACTTTTCCCCAAAGAGTGATGTTTTTTAATTTTATCAGGCGGTTAGCTCAGTTACATATATACTACAGTCACCCTTATTGAGTTGGCAGCTCCAATTTTCAGTTTAGATCTTTTTTATTTTATTTTATTTTATTTTTAGAGATTGGGGGGTGGTTCCTCACTATGTTGCCTACACTGGTCTTGAACTCCTGGCTTCAGCCTCCTGAGTAGCTGGGATTATAGGCGCAAGACACCACACCTGGCCACTTTAGATCTTCTGTCTTTAACTGAGCTGCGTGGAGTCTGAGTTCCCTATGTGGGGTTCAGAGCTTGGGCGGAGGTGTGGGCAGACAGAATGTGGGGATTTCCCTCTCTGGCTCTTTCCCTTCTAAGATTCCCATCTTCCTCTCTAGTGGTTTCAGTTGCACACACGCAGGACCCTGTTTCAATATTGAGAAAGAGGCCGGGCGCAGTGGCTCATGCCTGTAATCCTGGCACTTTGGGAGGCTGAGGCGGGCGGATCACGAGCTCAGGAGTTCGAGACCAGCCTGGCCAACATGGTGAAACCCCGTCTCTACTAAAAATACAAAGAAATTAGCCGGGCATGGTGGCGGGCGCCTGTAATCCCAGCTATTCGGGAGGCTGAGGCAGGAGAATTGCATGAACCCGGGAGGTGGAGGTTGCAGTGAGCCGAGATCGGGCCACTGCACTCCAGCCTGCGTGACAGAATGAGACTCCGTCTAAAAAAAAAAAAAATTGAGAAGGAAAAAAATCTTTTATCTGAGGAATATGGGTCTCTTTAAATTGTCAGGCTCGGCTGGGCGTGGTGGCTCACGCCTGTAATCCCAGCACTTTGGGAGGCCGAGACGGGCGGATCACGAGGTCAGGGGATCGAGACCATCCTGGCTAACAAGGTGAAACCCCGTCTCCACTAAAAAATACAAAAAAAATTAGCCAGGCGTGGTGGCGGGCGCCTGTAGTCCCAGCTACTCGGGAGGCTGAAGCAGGAGAATGGCGTGAACCCGGGAGGCGGAGCTTGCAGTGAGCCGAGATCGCGCCACTGCACTCCAGCCTGGGGGTCAGAGCGAAACTCCGTTTAAAATAAATAAATAAATAAATTGTCAGGCTCAGAAAGATGTTTAAAAACATAGCCACGGTCACGTCTCATTCCCTCTTGAGAAAAATAATTACCTCTTGAAGCCACTTGCTATGTGGACTCTAGACTAACTGACACCAAGCTGCCATAAAATACCATAAACCCTATAGTTCAACAAGGTATAGCCAATCACGAACCAATGTTCCTTCTGCAAATCAATGATAATTCCTGACGAACAATTTTATAACCACCTCCTTTCTTAATTAGCTTGGTTTAATTTTTTTTTTTCTGTCGAGACAAGGTTTTGCTCTGCCGCCTAAGCTGGGGTACAGTGGTGCAATCACAGCTCGCTGCAGCCTCAACCTCCTGGACACAAGCAATCCTCCCACCTCAGCCTCCCGAGTAGTTGGGACTACAAATGCACACACCACCACACCCAGCTAATTTTTAAAATTTTTATGTAGAGGCCGGGTGCAGTGGCTCAAGCCTGTAATCCCAGCACTTTGGGAGGCTGAGGCGGGCGGATCACGACCTCAGGAGATCGAGACCATCCTAACACAGTGAAACCCCGTCTCTACTAAAAATACAAAAAATTAGCCGGGCGTGGTGGTGGGCGCCTGTAGTCCCAGCTACTCAGGAGGCTGAGGCAGGAGAATGGCATGAACCCGGGGGGCGGAGCTTGCAGTGAGCCAAGATCGCACCACTGCACTCCAGCCTGGGTGACAGAGCAAGACTCCGTCTCAAAAAAAAAAAAAGAAAGAAAAAAAAAATTTTATGTAGAGATGGGAGTTTTCCTATGTTGCCCAGGCTGGTCTTGAACTCCCAGATTCAAGTGATCCACCCTTCTCAGTCTCCCAAAGTCCTGGGATTACAGGCATTAGCCACTGCATCTGGCCAGAACTTTGCTCTTGAATACACTGTCTTTAAAACACATTCTGACCCTCTTGATTATTTTAAGTTAATGATAGTTTGTCTATTTCTTCCATATTTTCCTCTTTTTTTTTTTTTTTTTTTTTTTGAGACGGAGTTTCGCTCTTCACTCTTGTTGCCCAGACTAGAGTGCACTAGCACGATCTCGGCTCACTGCAACCTCCACCTCCTGGGTTCAACAGATTCTCCTGCCTCAGCCTCCCAAGTAGCTGGGATTACAAGCATGTGCCACCATGCCTGGCTAATTTTTGTTTTCCTCTATTGTTGACTCCTTGTCTTCCTTTTTTAACAGTTAGATCACCTGTTTCTATTTCCTAGTTTTTCTCTTGTTTTATTGATATGGCCCTACCTTTTAGCAAACTAGTAATTTTTATTAGACCCAGAAATTGTGTATAAAAACTTACAGATGTTTTTTCTTCCAACTTTTCCTTGCTAGGCACATAGAATGAGTGCTGATCACTTTAACCCCATCAGGGACTTTATGGTTTGAGGCTGCACTACAATTTTTTTTTTTTTCTTGAGATGGAGTCTCGCTTGGTCTTCCAGGCTGGAGTACAGTGGTGCGATCTCGGCTCACTGCAACCTCTGCCTCCCGGGTTCAAGCGATTCTCCTGCCTCCGCCTCCCGAGTAGTTGGGACTACAGGCGTGTGCCACCACACCCAGCTAATTTTTTGTATTTTTAGTAGAGATGGGGTTTCACCATGTTAGCCAGGATGGTCTCGATCTCCTGACCACGTGATCCGCCCGCCTTGGCCTCCCAAAGTGCTGGGATTACAGGCATGAACCACCGTGCCCAGCCTGCATTACAATTTTGACAAATTTCAGTCCACCTGTTTCATCCTGTTCCCAGTAAGGAGCCCTCCTGAGCATTCATATGAAAGCCCTGTGTGTTTGCCAATCCCTTTGCCCAGGTGGGTCCTAAATTCGAATCTTCATCGCTATCAGTCAGAAATTCTACTCTGCTTCTCAGAAGTTTGGGGCTTATTTTTTTATTATTATTTATTTTGAGACGGAGTCTTACTCTATCACCCAGGCTGGAGTGCGTTGGCATGGTCACTGCAACCTCCTCCTCCTGGGTTGAAGTGATTCTCCTGCCTCGGCCTCCTGAGTAGCTGGGATTACAGACACGCACCACCAGGCCTGGCTAATTTTTGCATTTTTAGTAGAGACAGGGGCTCACTGTGTTGGCCAGGCTGGTCTCTAACTCCTAGCCTCAGATGATCCGCCCACCTCAGCCTCACCAAAGTGCTGGGATTGCAGGCATGAGCCACCATGCCTCACCAGAGGCTTAGATTTTTATAGCCTCTAGTTCTACACAGCTTCAGAATTTGGTAAATATCTTAAGGAAAAAATCTGTTATGTTTTAAAGGCTCTTTGACTCCCCAATTTTCTTCCTCCAGTGTTATGAGATGACTCAGCTCAGCTGGCTTTTCTGCAACCTTGTCTGGGCAATGCTTGGATTCTTAGCCTCTTGCTCAATTGTAGAATTAGTAAATACCCCAGGGAGAATTCTGTTGCAATTGTTAGCTGGCTTCTCTATGGTTCTCCGTACTCTAGAATTTTAGGTCTGCTGGCCCTTCTTGCTTCACCAGCTCTCTGAGGGTATTAAAAATATGATTTTTCAAGATTATTATTTAGGCTGGGCGTGGTGGCTCACGCCTGTAATCCCAACACCTGGGGAAGCCGAGGCAGGCAGATCACCTGAGATCAGGAGTTTGAGACCAGCCTTGCCAAAATGGCGAAACCCCATCTCTACTAAAAACACTATATATACACACACACACACACACACACACACACACACACACACATATATATATATCTCACGACACTGCACTCCAACCTGGGCAGCAAGAGTGAAACTCCATCTCAAAAAAAAAAAAAAAAAAAAGAAAGCCTCAAACTGAAAATCGTATATATATATGACTTTTTTTGTGTGTGTATTTTATCTGACTTTTCTAGTTCCTGACTGGAGTGTTGGTCAGTTAGAAGAATGGAAGTCTCTAAGCGCTTTCAAAGTGCTTCTTTCCACTAGGTGCAGTGGCTCACGCTTGTAATCCCAGCACTTTGGGAAGCCCAGGCAGGAGGATTGCTTTAGGTCAGAAGTTTGATACCAGCCTGGGCAACAGCAGGAAGGCCCTATCTCTACCCAAAAAAATTAAAATTAGCCAGGTATGATGGTATGTGTGGGTGTTTTCCCGCACTGACAAATTATTCAACATCAGCTGGGTGTCCTACAATTCGATTCAATTCTGACACTACATGGAGTTAGCATCAGAGCCCACAGGTTAAGTAAGGCTCAGTCCCACAAGAATGTCCCCACTTCAAATGCTAATCGCAAGTCTGGCTCTCTGGTACTTCTGACCCACTGGCTATGAATCAGAGATTCCCACAACCCTCTCCTTGGGTTCAGTAATTTGTTAGGATGGCTCATAGAACTCATGAAAACAGTTTACTTACTAGATTGCTGGTTTATTATAAAAGGAAAGAACTCTAGAATAGCCAGATGGAAGACATGCACAGGGCAATGTATAGAAAACAGCCAGGAAGCTTCCATGTCCTCCCTGGTGTAGACCAAAAGTAATATTCTAAGTCCCCCAAAAGACTGAATGAACCCTCCTCTCGGCCAAGGGGATTCCAAACTAAACCTGAAAGACTAGTTCAGGTCATGATTGGAAGGGGTGTTTGGACATGCTTCATTATACTGTCCTCCCTTTGGAATTCAGGCACATCTGACCAGTGTGAAAGGAAAATAAATCTTGGATCGCCAAGTGAGTGTGAACCCAGAAAATTTGAGACAGGTCTCAGTTAATTTAGAAAGTGTATTTTGCCAGGTTGAGAACACGTGCCTGTAACAACACAGCCTCAGGAGGTCCTGACAATATGTGCTCAAGGTGGTCAGAGCACAGTTTGGTTTTATACATTTTAGGGAGACATGAGACATCAATCAGTATGTGTAAGATGTACATTGGTTTGGTCCAGAAAGGTGGGACTACTCTAAGCAGGGGAGTGGACTTCCAGGTCATAGGTAGATAAGAGATAACCAATTACATTCTTTTGAGTTTCTGATTAGCCTTTCACTGAAGGCACAATTTACATGCAAGAGGAGGGTAGAGGAATAGTCACGTATGCCTTAGTCTGGCTCAGTGAAACAATATGGCGGGACAACTCGAAGCAGGGAGGGGCTTACAGGTCACAGGTAAACTAGAGACAAATGGATGCATTCTTTTGAGTTTCTCATGAATGCATCTCTAAAGGAGGCAATCAGATATGCATTTGTCTCAGTGAGCAGAGCAGTGACTTTGATTAGAATGGGAGGCAAGCTTGCCCCAAGCAGTTCCCAGCTTGACTTTTGCCTTTAGCTGAGTGATTTGGGGGCCCAAGATATTTTCCTTTCACATTTCCTCCCCTTTCTTTTTAAAAATCTTTTAGAGAAAGCATTTTAGAAAAAAATGAGTCTCTTGTCTCATGTTTTATCTTATCTCTCATGGCTAGGATGGTTTATTTCTAGACGAGTAGGTCCTGAGTTATTAGGAAAACTCATTTTTAGAAGGTTGTGAAGTGTCATGTCCCATAAAGACAAAATAGGGGGAGGAAGGGAGAACAACAACAAACAAAAGAACAATCCTGGAAAATTGCTATAAGCCACATTACTCTGAAGTCCATACATCGGTAGGCAGGTATGAAAGTGGCTTATGTATGTAAATAGGTTGCTGTTATTTTTCTTCTGAAGTTGTCTAGATTCAGTTTGCAGGGCTTTATGAAAGCACAGCTTAGTTTTCAGTGACTCCAAATTGGAAAAAAATGGAAAAAAGAAGAAAAAAATGAAAACATTATTTTGAAGACTTGTAGTCAAGAAAAATTAGAATTCGGTCCAAACTGTAGAAAATAATAAAATTGAAAAACATTAGGCAAGACAAGAATCTAACAACAGGTGTGCTATAGTTTTTGAAACAATTTTTCTCTTTCCAGTTTTCCATTATTTTTTTTTTTGAGACAGAGTCTTGCTCTGTCATCCAGGCTGGAGTGCAGTGGCGTGATCTCAGTTCACTGCAACCTCCACCTCCTGGGTTCAAGTGATTATCCCACCTCAGCCTCCTGAGTAGCTGGAATTACAGGCATGCACCATCACACCTGGCTACATTTTGTATTTTTAGTAGGGATGGGGTTTCACCATGTTGGCCAGGCTGGTGTTGAATTCCTGACCTCAGGTGATCCGCCTGCCTTGGCCTCTCAAAGTGCTAGGATTATAGGCATGAGCTACCGCATCTGGCCGAATAATTATTTTTTACATAGGCTTTTAAATTGGCTTTGATGAAACTTTGTTCCATAGAAAGAATCTCAGATAAGACTTTTTAAAAGCCGAGCCCAGCCGTGGATTTGTGCCATCAAATACCTATGAATTGCATGATCCTCTCCTCTTGAGGTTCCAAGATAAACTTGGGACTCCTGGGCCTGTCAGAAAGTGACGTGCTTTACTTGCCACAGGTCAGAAACCTTGGACAGCGGCTGTGTGGACAAAGGTATGGGGCCAGTTTTTCCAAGGGGCTTTTATTGGCTCCATAAAGTCAAATTTGATTGCTTAAAGGAAAGCACACCATTCCAGTAAAAGCCTTGGTAAAATAACCAGTTTCTCCAATTGTGTCCTGTTACAAACGAAAACAGATTCTTATTGCACTTATGCAAATAACAGTATTGTCATAAGTTAAGAATACTCACAGCTGGGTGGAGTGGCTAATGCCTGTAATCCCAGCACTTTGGGAGGCTGAGGTGGGTGGATCGCCTGAGGTCAGGAGTTTGAGACCAGCCTGGCCAACATAGTGAAACACCATCTCTACTAAAAATACAAAAATTAGCCAGGCATGGTGGCGCATGCCTGTAGTCCCAGCTACTTGGGAGGCTGAGGCAGGAGAATGGTTTGAACCTGCGAGTCAGAGGTTGTGGTGAGCTGAGATCACACCACTGCACTCCAGCCTGGGCAAAAAGAGTGAAACTCCATCTCAAAAAAAAAAAAAAAAAAAAAAGAATACTCACAAATAATCTCCAAATTCTGGAGAAATCAGAGAAAAACAAATATGCTGCAAATTTTGTTCATAGGAGTATACTCAATTGTTAAAGCTATAAATAGCTTAAAAGTTTTCTTGACTCTGAAAAACAAAACACAGGATCAGCAACATTTTAAGTGTAAAGTTAAAAAGATCACTTCAGACACCTATTAGTTTAGTCCATGCAATTAATTCCTGTTCTGCTTCATTTTTCATGAACATTTCAGTTCTCCATGAGTCGTGAAAGTTTTTCCTCTATTCTGATGTGACAGTCTCTAAAGTTATCAGAAACCTTATTCAGGGGCACCTATTAGAGTTTGTTTGTTTGTTTGTTTGTTTTTGAGATGGAGTCTAGCTCTGACACCAGGCTGAAGTTCAGTGGCGCGATCTCAGCTCACTGCAGCCTCCGCCTCCCAGGTTCAAGCAATTCTCCTGCCTCAGCCTCCTGAGTAGCTGAATAGCTGGGATTACAGGCACCTGCCACCACGCCCAGCTAATTTTTGTATTTTTAGTAGAGACAGGGTTTCACCTTGTTGGCCAGGATGGTTCTCAATCTCCTGACATCATGATCTGCCCACCTTGGCCTCCCAAAGTGCTGGAATTACAGGTGTGAGTCACCACGCCTGGCCTAGAGTTTTATAGCTGATTATAAAACCACCTTCTAAAGAGGACCAAAGCAAAACAACAATTGTCCATGGATGACAAAATGTTTTAGGGCAGCTATAGTCAAAGACAAAACTGACAAGGAAATTTGTTACCTCTGTGGCACATAATAATTTAACATAACAGTTATAATTATTACCGATAATGTACATTAAGTCATATCAGAATTATAGGAGTTTCCAGGGCCAGTGGCAGTGGCTCGTACCTGTAATCCCAGTACTTTGGGAGGCTGAGACAGGTGGATCACCCAAGCTCAGGAGTTTGAGACCAGCCTAGCCAACATGGTGAAATCCTGTCTTTACTAAAAAAAATACAAAAATTAGCTGGGTGTGGTGGTGGGTGCCTGTAATCCCAGCTACTTGGGAGGCTGATGCAGGAGAATTGCTTGAACCCGGGACGCAGAGTTTCCAGTGAGCTGAGATCATGCCAATGTACTTCAGCCTAGGTGACAGAGCGAAACTCTGTCTCAAAAAAAAAAAAAAAAAAAAAAGGACTGGGCGCAGTGGCTCAGGCCTGTAATCCCAGAACTTTGGGAGGCCGAGGTGGATGGATCACCTGAGCTCAGGAGTTTGAGACCAGCATGGCCAACATGGCGAAACCCCATCTCTACTAAAAATACAAAAATTAGCCGGGTGTGTTGGCAGGCATCTGTAATCCCAGCTACTTGGGAGCCTGAGGCAGGAGAATTGCTTGAACCAGGAGGCGGAGGCTGCAGTGAGCCAGGATTGCACCACTGCACTACTCCAGCCTGGACGACAAGAGTGAGACTCCATCTTTAAAAAAAAAAAAAATAAAAAATAAAAAATAATTATAGGAGTCTCCCATAATTTTGGAACACATCCAACAGCATATTTATACAAATACAGCCCAAAGAAAACCAAACACCATTTTATATTTGACAATGTTTCCTGTATAATTTTTATACCAAGTAAGCCAAATATGTCATTTTTGGACTTTAGGGAACCTATTAATAATATGTTAAAGGATTAATTAGGTCTGAAAAAGACATTATTTATAATTTGATTTTGGAACATTTCTCAAATATCAAAGGTTATCACAGGCCATTGTTAAATAAGTCATTCATTTAACCAGTGATAACTCAAGGATTTCAAAAAAAAAAAAAGGTAAAAACCTTCATTCTTTGAGAGAGGAGACTTAATTTTCCAAACAATAAGCCCTAATAAAAACAGCATGAAGCCAATTAAATATAACTTCCATAAGCCTTTATAACTTTTATAACCTTTATTAAGGAGTCAGTTACTGCTTCAAGAAAACCTTGTTAATCTGACACAGAGGCCCATATGCTGGTCTTGCTTCAGTGTGCCTTTGACATTAATGATTAATTTATAGGGAAACTGAACTTATTTTATCTCTCAAAATCAGCCTTTACAATCTCATCTGTCCGCCTCTTTCTTGATAGTCCCTGGGCCTTGAGGAGTTGAATAGCTTTGATTTTCCAGCCCCGTGCTTCAGGAATGAAGTTTATTTTGATTGGCATCTTCTACCGGGCGTGAAGATGGGGCTTTAATTGCCGTCAGTGTTTAACATTTAGCAGGACTTGCTGTCCTTCTTAGACCCAGGAATCAAAGCCCTGTAACTCAATGTTGCAAGTATTTTAAAAGCGCATATAGACAGATAAACAGATGTAATAACCTTAATTAAAAACTTTTTTTTTAATCTGTTTTTTTCCTAGGCAAACCAAACTTAATGTGACAACTTGATTATATAAAAGTTTTTGGCTTTAAAAAAAAAAAGTAAATTCTCTTATTGTAACTTACACAGACTGTTAATGAAATGCTTGGACTTGCTGGTTTGTCCTGAACAATCCCTCTTTCTTTCTTTTTTTTTTGAAACAGAGTCTCACTCTGTTGCCACACTGGAGTGCAACGGTGTGACCTCAGCTCACTGCAAGCTCCACCTCCCAGGTTCACACCATTCTTCTGCCTCAGCCTCCCGAGTAGCTGGGACTACAGGTGCCTGCCACCACGCCTGCCTAATTTTTTTGTATTTTTTTTAGTACAGACGGGGTTTCACCATGTTAGCCAGGATGGTCTCGATCTCCTGACTTCACGATCCCCCCGCCTTCGCCTCCCAAAGTGCTGGGATTACAGGCGTGAGCCACCGCACCCAGCTTTTTTTTTTTTTTTTTTGAGAAAGAATGTTTTCCGGCTGGGCACGGTGGTGCACGCCTGCAATCCCAGCAACTCAGGAGGCTGAGGCAGGAGAATCATTTAAACCCAAGAGGCAGAGGTTGCAGTGAGCTGAGATCATGCCATTGCACTCCAGCCTGGGAGACAGAGTGAGACTCCATCTCAAAAACAAAACAAAACCAAGAACCTTGCCTTCTATACCCTCTCATGATCTTAACTGCAAACATTTCTGTGGACTTCAACACTTTAGGTAGAATTGAATACTTCAATTCTTTAGGCAGAATTTAACTTTTTTTTTTTTTTTTTCTGAGACAGAGTCTTGCTCTGTTGCCCAGGCTGGAGGGCAGTGGTACAATCTTGGCTCACTGCAACCTCTGCCTCCCAGGTTCAAGCAATTCTCCTGCCTCAGCCTCCTGAGTAGCTGGGATTACACGCATGTGCCACCACACCTGCCTAATTTTTGTATTCTTAGCAGAGACAGGGTTTCACCACGTTGGCCAGGCTGGTCCTGAACTCTTGACCTCGTGATCCACCCCACCTCGACCTCCCAAAGTGCTGGGATTACAGGTGTGAGCCACTGTGCCCGGCCCAAATTTAACCCTTTCAACCAGTTGCCAATCAGAAATCTTTAAATCCACCTGACTTGCAAGGCTTCCCCTTTTGAGATGTCCTGCCTTTCTGGGCAAAATCAATGTACACCTTGCGTCTATTGATTTATGTCTCTGATTGTAACTTCTGTCCCCCTAAAATACATAAAATCAAGCTGTAACCCAACCATCTTGGGCACGTGTTCTCAGGACCTCCTGGGGCTTTGTCATGGATTATTGTCCTCACATTGGCTCAGAATAATACATCTCTTCAAGTATTTTAGAGTTCGGCTTTCTTTTTCATCAATACAAGCATCATCAGTGTGAAATCTAACAAACTCTTACTTTAGGAGCTAGACTTAGATTGCAGGCAGACCTGAAGTAAGAATTGGCATGTCCTTGTTTTATAGGACATCTTGAAAGGGTTCAAAGCCAGCACAGAACAATTTCTGAGGGCAGTCATCTAAGGATGCCTGAGGCTTTTTTCCTTTCCCTGGGGGTGTGGGGTCGGCCTAAGGCATAATGCTTTGACAAAAGGCTGTGAAGTAACAGAAATTCATTTGGGGCTGGGAATGGTGGCTCAGTCCTGTAATCCCAGCACTTTGGGAGGCCGAGGGGGGCAGATCACAAGGTCAGGAGATCGAGACCATCCTGGCCAACATGGTGAAGTCCCATCTCTACTAAAAATACAAAAATTAGCTGGGCGTGGCGGCACGTGCCTATAATCCCAGCTACTGGGAAGGCTGAGGCAGGAGAATCACTTGAACCCAGGAGGCGGAAGTTGTAGTGAGCTGAGATCGCACCACTGCACACCAGCCTGGTGACAGAGCTAGACTCCATCTCAAAATAAAATAAAATAAATTCATTTATTTGGGAGAGGGGGGCGGTGTTGCGTGACTCAGTCTCCAGGCTTAACTTTCCCTTTGGCATAATGAGTTTGGGGGTCCTGAGATGTTTGGGGGCCCCCAGCTGAGGTCACTGCAGGCTAGCCAACTGCCAATGGATCCCAAGGCCATCACAGCTGCCTAGCTGACCTGCAGCTGACACATGAGCGAGCCCAGCTGAAACCACCCACACTTTCCCGTTTCCTATGTATCCTATAGTCTATGGAAGCTTTCATGCTTCAGTGTCGTGGTTAAGTGGTTGTACCCTCAAGACCTCGAATATTTACTATCTGACCCTTCTTAAAAAAAGCTTGGCGACCCTGCCAAAGCATCTCTGAAGAACAAGTTTCACAGAGCAGCTCTCTGGTGTGAGAGACTGGGTGAATTAATGGCCCCCATTCTTTACTCTCTCTGTATCCATGCCTTTGCCCTTGAAAATTTGTAGTGCTTTTGAGACAGAGTAGAGACAGGGTGTGGCTTCAGCTCACCCCCACTACAGCATCCTTTCATGCATCCCCACTGACCACAAAACCCACCCCTCTACCTTGCTGATGTATCCACTATCATCAACGCTTTAGTCATACAAAGAAAATCGCCATTTTGTATTCATCTTCTGTGCTCTCACAATGTTTAACCAGGCCTTTTACTTAAAGAATTCCAGGAACTGGCCTTAGGAGGTCCAAAATATCAAACCAACATTGTGTGTGGACTGTCCCTCCTCAGGAAAGAATACAGATTTGCTGCCATTGGCTAGACTACCTGGTGGTCCATTATTCAAGATAACCCTTACAACCAGATGCTGACCTGCACACCCTACCCTCACGTGCTTTGTCCAGCCCAGCCTGCCTACCCTACCCGAGGTCAATTCCAGTGCTTTGCCTAAGAGAAAAATCCCTGCAGGCTTTGTTTGGAGTCAGTCAGGGAACTCTCTCTTTGACTTGTGTTGTGTCTCTTATGCCCAGGCATAAGCTCCAATGAAGCCTTGTCGGCAAATTCTTTTAGCCTCATGTCAATTTCTATAGCAATGAGAGTCTAAGAACTTGTGGTTGGTAACCGTTTGCCACTTTGTTTCTGGGCTTAGTTGCGTGACTTGCCTTGATCAACAGGAGTCTAGGAGACACAAGACAAGCACAGGCTTGAAATGGGGTTGCATACTGGGACTTTCCCGCTCTGCCACTGGCGTGTGAGCAGATCCAGGCTAGTCTGTGGGAAGTAAATCTGCAAACTAGAGCTGAGTAACCACAGTCACTCCAGCTGAGGTCAATGAAGGCTAGCCAACTGCCAGTGGATCCCAAGGCCATCGCAGCTGCCTAGCTGACCTGCAGCTGACAGACACAAGAGTGAGCCCAGATGAAACCACCCACACACAGCCTTGATCAGCTGAACCCCAAGACAAAGAGCCAGGCAGCTGTTGATTGCTGTATGCCCCTGAACTTTGGTGGTGGAGTTACACAATATTCTGGCAATAGAAAACTGATACTACGGACATAAGAATTTTAAAAATTTCTTTTGCCAAAGCTGGCTAAGGGAATATTTTTATTCTTCTGAGGGCAGTTAAGGCTTCTGATAAGGAAAGAGAGTCTGAACAGAGCACACACATCTGGAGCTCCAGGAGTGGGGGATGCAGCATCAGATTCCATCTTGAATTTCTGCTAAAATACTTTGTACTCATAATGGATCTCAACAAAGATCTGTATTTCATCTGTGGCTCCATCTTCCCTCTGGGTCAAGTAGATGTTAAGCTGGACCTTGGCACGCCTCTTAACATGAAGAGATCTAGCTAGACAGACAGACTCCCCCATTTATGGAACAAGAATTCAATTTATTCTCTATTTATAAAACATTTTTTTAAAGTGCCTTGGGTATAAAAATCTAAATGTCTGCGGTGTGATCAGTCAGGAGCACGTAACTATCACTCTTCGCATCCTTTGGTCACTGGGAGATCCTTTGGGGGCTGGGAGGTCCTTCTGTCCCAGGCTAAAGGAAAAGCTTCACAAGGGTAAGAGCCACAGAACCCTCGGCAAGAAAGGCCGGTCAGGGAGAATGAATGGTACAGAGAGGAAAGGAAGGAAAGGGGGTGGAACAGAGGTAGAAGGCAAGGAAGGGATGCCGCACTGGAGACCGATGGGGACACTCTAATTGTGCAAGAGGGAGGATCTTCCTTCTTGAATGCTGAACACAGCTAGTCTGAACCTTCCTTGGAAAGTCCAGCTGTTTGCCCATGCATAGGGCCAACTCTCCCTGCAAAGCAGCAAATGTGGCTTCTATCAGGAAGGAAAAGTATCCATCAGTGTGACAAGAGGTCACCTTCGAACTTGCATGAACTCCTTGCGCAGCCACAAAGAGTCCTGGTAGAAGTGAGGATCGCCTAGTCTTACGGCTGTCCGTTTATAGAAGTAGCAGTACAACACTGCTGCTGTGGGGAGGAAGCAGAAGAGAAGCCTCAGGGGTGCTCCTGAGTATCATTTCAGGTTAAGAACAGAACCTGGCCAGGCGTGGTGGCTCACGCCTGTAATCCCAGCACTTTAGGAGGCAGAGGCAGGCGGATCATGAGGTCAGAGATCGAGACCATCCTGGCTAACACGGTGAAACCCTGTCTCTACTAAAAATACACAAAAAATTAGCTGGGCGTGGTGGCGGGCGCCTGTAGTCCCAGCTACTCCGGAGGCTGAGGCAGGAGAATGGTGTGAACCCGGGAGGCGGAGCTTGCAGTGAGCCTGAGATAGCGCCACAGCACTCCAGCCTGGGCGACAGAGCAAGACTGTCTCAAAAACAAACAAACAAACAAACAAACAAACAAAAAGAACAGAACCTAATGAGGCTGGGCAGCCCTGCCTCCTCATTTCCCATAGTCTTCTAGCAAGGGCAGGGGCAGTAATCCCTCCTGTTCCTGGTGTGGCTGTCACAACCATCCCAAGCCAGCTGGGACAGGTCTGGGAAGCCAGCATCAAGGCCCTCACTGAAAGAGACACATGTGGGACCTGAGAGAGGCCTGACCTTGCTCTGGTCCTTACCTAGTCTCTGGAATACAAACAGCATTTGAAGTCCATCTGTCCATATGAAGCTGTTGGAGTTTTTCCAGCGTAAGTTCTGAAGGAGATGTGAGATACACAAAAGTTAATGGCCACAAGAAGCCCTAATGTCTCCAACTTGGTTAGCTGCAGAGATGCCAGTTGCTTTAAAATCATGCTAACCTCTTCCTCCTTTCTACAACCCCAAGGAGCGTTTCTCGAAGGAGCCTCAAAGCTCCATTTTTCGCTGCAAAGGGAATATCTTTTAACTTTGAGGGAGGAAGTATGAACTAAGTTATTTATTCTCTTTAATTCCATAACCTTTGCCAAGGAGAAATGATATATTCATTATCTCAGGAGTTCAGCTGGTCACTGTCTTGCCTTGAAAAATCGCTGGCTCAGCTCCTGTCAGATAAAGACTTTGGTGTACTCAGGGTTTAATGAGATTAACGGCTTTTATAGTACAAAGCCAGGACCTATTTTGGCTCCAGGAACCAGGGCACAGAATCCTCTTCAGGAAGCACCCGGAGACTCTGGTGTTGCTTTGCTTCTTTCCTGGGACCTCTACTTCTTTCTGTGGAATCACAAGCACAACCTAACAGGGGGTTCAGGTGTGAAAGTGGCTTTAATAATGAAGTGACAACTAGAGAACCCTGAGGTTTTAGAGTTCAATTGAATTGAGTACATGAGAAATATACAAGATACTCAAAGAGCTGGAAGAATTTGTGAAGCAGAAGAAATCTGAAACCACAGACACTGGATCTGATCTGAGGCCTATGTTAGAACCAAAGGGAGGGATCCTGGAGGCCGGTTCTCCTAGTTAAAGTGATGGGAGCTTGGCAGACGGCATGGAGCACTCAAGGGCAAGCAGCAATCCTGCTTGGCTACTTCCAAAAACATCCACTGCCTACAGCATTAGCCATGGGGCACTGATGCCTAAGAATAACCTGTATCAACATCCACCTGCCCAAATAGCTAATGATGAGACACATTCAACTACCTGTTTTAGCCCTGGTAGGCCTGTTTGGGGCAAAGGTGAATTGAATGTTCTGGAAGAGTCCCCTGACTCTTGGACAAGGCTGTTTTTCAACACATAAGGTTGGTCAAGAGTACCTTATGAAACTCTCACATGCCCAGGGCTCCAACCCAAACCACTTTCATTTCACCTGTTCTCTACGAAGGATTGTGTGAGATGTCAAAGAATGAAGCTGGGTTCCCAGAGAAAAGATATCCCAGTGGCCGGGCGCAGTAGCTCACGCCTGTAATCCTAGCACTTCAGAGGCCGAGGCAGGAGGATCACGAGGTCAAGAGATTGAGACCATCCCGGCCAACATGGTGAAACCCAGTCTCTACTAAAAACACAAAAATTAGCTGGGCGTGGTGGTGCGTGCCTGTAATCCCAGGTACTCAGGAGACTGAGGGAGGAGAATTGCTTGAACCCAGGAAGCGGAGGTTGCAGTGAGCTGAGATCACGCCACTGCACTCCAGCCAGGCGACAGAGCGAGACTCTGTCTCAAAAAAAAAAAAAAAGAAAAGAAAAGAAAAGAAAAGTTATTCCTAGCCCTTTAGCGATTCAGGAATTCAGAGTTCAGGCCGGGCACAGTGACTCATGCCTGTAATTCCAGCACTTTGGGAGGCAGAAGCAGGAGAATTGCTTGAGCTTGGGAGGCAGAAGCAGGAGAATTGCTTGAGCTCAGGAGTTTGAGACCAGCCTTGGTAACAAAGTAAGACCCCACCTCTATTTAAAATAAAAATTAAAAAAAGAATTCAGACTGCCACTCTTACCATGACCCAGACATGAAGGGAGATGCTGAGGGCAAAGTACACAGCTGTCAGGATGATGGTCCCTTTGAACTTATGGAATAGGAGGTTGACCAGGCCAGCCTGGAAGACGAAGGTGTTGAAGAACATGAGGAAAATGATGATGATGTTGAAGAGGACTGCAATATCCTGGATGCTGTAGACATAAAAAAAAGTACAACCAATGAAGGCCTGTGTGAGGACCCAAGAGCAGGTACTATGTCCTGAGGGACACCACGAGGCCTGTCCTTTGTTGTGAGATAGGCATCTGACATCTTAAACCCTCACAGAGATAACATGGGTTTTGGGACCTGAATGACATGAAGCTAAAATTACCTAAAATTACCCACTGGCCCCATCAGTTGGGTTTGCAGTCCATAGTCAAGGCTTTCCTGCTCTAATACTCTTTTTTATTTTTAAAATTTCTTCCATACATAGTCCTATAGAAGATTCTCTGATACTCCTTATTTTTCGAGACAGGGTTTCATTCTGTTGCCCAGACTGGAGTGCAGTGGTATGATCACAGCTCACTGCAGCAACTTCCTGGGCTCAAGTGATCCTCCCGCCTCACCCTCCTGAGTAGCTGTGACCACAGGTGTGTGCCACTATACTCAGCTAATTAAAAAAAAAATTAGCTCATGCCTGTAATCCCAGCACTTTGGGAGGCCGAGGTGGGCAGATCACTTGAGGTCAAGAGTTTGAGACCAGCCTGGCCAACATGGCAAAACCCCGTCTCTACTAAAAATACAAAAAGTAGCTGGGTGTGGTAAATACATAGTGGGGTGTGGTAGCGCACACCTATAATCCCAGCTACTAGGGAGGCTGAGGCAGGAGAATTGCTTGAACCCAGGGGGCGGAGGTTGCAGTGAGCTGAGATTGTGCCACTGTACTCCAGCCTGGCGACACAGCTAGACTCCATCTCAAAAAAAAAAAAATAAAATTATGTTTTAATAGAAACAAGGTCTCACTATGTTGCCCAGGCTATCTGACACTCTTAAACATTTTTTTTTTTTTGAGATGGAGTCTTGTTCTGTCGCCCAGGCTGGAGTGCAGTGGCATGATCATGGCTCACTGCAACCTCTGCCTCCCAGGTTCAAGTGATTCTCCTGCCTCAGCCTCCCAAGAAGCTGGGATTACAGGCATGCACCACCACGCCCATCTAATTTTTGTATTTTTAGTAGAGATGGGGTTTCTCCATGTTGGTCAGACTGGTCCCGAATTCCCGACCTCAGGTGATCTGCCCACCTTGGCCTCCCAAAGTGTTGGGATTACAAGCGTGAACCACCACACCTGGCTTTTTTTTTTTTTTTTTGAGATAGGGTCTTTGTCACCTGGTTGGAGTGCAGTGGCATGATCATGGCTCACTGTAGCCTTGAACTCCTGGGCTTAAGCAATCCTTCCACGTCAGCATCCTGAATCACTGCGATTACAGGTGTGTGGCACCATGCCTAGCTAATTTTAAAAATTTTTAGTAGGTAGAGACAGGGTCTTGCTATGTTGCCTAGGCTGGTCCTCAAACTCCCAGCCTCAAAAGATCCTCCTGCCTTGGCTTCCCAAAGTCCTGGGATTATGGGTGTGAGCCACCGTACCCAGCCTACTAATAACTTTAAGACACTAAATCACCACTGTCAGGGCCTTTGAATTGCGTGGGTTCAGCTTTCCAGAGTGCCTTACTGCACGCACATGAAGAGCACAAGCTGGATGACAGGAGTCTTTTGGAGCAGTTCTGAGAAGGAATTGACAAAGAGGTCATAGGACAGCAGCAGGAACTGCAGAGAGAGCACCAGGCTGTAGTTACTGGTCTGGAGCATCTTCCTTCTGTTTTCTCGGGCCCCCAAGGGCACATCCCACAGTTCCCAGAAAACCGCTCCTGGCTGTCTCCCTACCACTGAGGGAGAGGCTTCTAGTTCCTTTGAATGAGAGCTGTTTCCCTTGCTCTAAGGCAAGCACCTGTTGGAGCAAAAAGATAAGCAAGGTTAGAAATGTATTAATACCATAAACATTTACTGAGGACCTACTGTGTGCCAGGTACCACTCCAGTTGCATGGGATACTTTAGTGAACAAAACCAACAACAAAAACCCCCAAGAAGTCATTTATTCTAGGACCTTCACCAGCTTTTCTCCATGCCTGGAATCTTCTCAATGCAGAGCTGTCTCTAACCAAAGGAATCTAGTAGTATTACTGAGAAGAATGACTGCCTGGTCATGTAGTAGCGGTGGTAACAAAAATGGCAGCAAATCCTTATACATTGCTTACAATGTGCCAGGGAGTGTTCTACAAGCACTAACATTATTTAAACCTCACAAGGTAGATGACATAATACATTATTACCTTCCCCATTTTACAGATGAGAAATTTGAGGCCAAGAGAGGTAAAATAATTTGTCCAAGGTCACGTCGTTAGTAAGTGGCAGAGCTAGTATTCAGATGCAGGCTGCACGGGTCCACAGTCTGTGCTCTTAACTACTGGACTAAGCTGTCTCTTACATAATTGATAGACTAGTATTTAACTAGGCAGGAAAAATGCCAGCAAAGAAGTGTGAAGTGCCCTAGGCAGAAAAAGCAGAGAGGAAACAGGGGTCTCCTGGAAAGCTTTATCTTTAGGGTTATGGTTGCAACACAGTGGCAGTTGTTTCTTTTCATCTATTCCAAGACCCACAAGTTGCTCTGGGGGTGTCCTATGACCCGCTGCTGTGCCAAATCTATAAAGAAATTTCAAAATGCTCTGGAGTGTTAGCGATTAAATTAGCATCGGTAAAATGTTTTGCAATTTATAAGCTCTTTTCATATTTCTAACCTTACGTAATCCTACAACCATCTTGAGAAGTAGCCATTACAATGTATATTATCCCCATTTTACACAGAGGCTCCGGAAGGTTAAGGCACCTCCTCCACCTCAGCTGGTGAAGTCCCACCTTATTGGACATATGTTCGCGGTTTCCTCATTCATTAAATTTTAGAGAGAGAGAGAGTGTCTCGCTCTGTCGCCAGGCTGGAGTGCAGTGGCATGATCTTGGCTCACTGCAACCTCCGCCTCTCGGGTTCAAGCGATTCTCCTGCCTCAGCCTCCCAAGTAGCTGGGACTACAGGTGCGTGCCACCACGCCTGGCTAATTTTTTGTATTTTTAGTAGAGACGGGGTTTCACCATGTTAGCCAGGATGGTCTCGATCTCCTGACCTCGTGATCCTCCCGCCTCGGCCTCCCAAAGTGCTGGGATTACAGGCGTGAGCCACTGCGCCCGGCCGCATTAAATAACACTGATAGCTACTACCTAGGTACTCACACCACGATAAACTTGTCAACCAAGATCGTTTCCTTTAATCCTCCCTACAAGTCTGCAAGGTGGGAATTATTCCTATTCTACAGGAAAGGACACAGAAGTCAGAGCTCAAGGCATTCCTCCAGGTCTCAAGTCAGCAGAACCCGGCTTCATAACTGTGACGCCAAACCCGTGCTCTTAACCACTACTCATAGGCCACCATCCAGGGCTGTTTTGAGGATCCGTTATGCAGAAACGCCCATGCCTGTCTCTACGTACGACGATCCCCTCCAGTTTAGGGCAGTGGAGACTCACAAGCTCATGAAGCTCTTTAATTCGTCCACCGCTACCTGCCGCCTTCCCTTTGTACCTAGGGCAGTATTCCTCACGCTTCCCAATCCACTTAAAAACGAGGCTTCCTTGGCAAACAACAACAAAGCATAAAACCCAAGCCCAAAACAACAGCACCAAAAATTCTGACTTCTGGTCACTTAACCCACTCCTCGTCAATCACTCTCACCTCCAAACTCCAACGTCGGTTGTCATGCGGACATCGTCCCGGCTTCCGGAAGCCGGCTTTAAATTCCGGAAGTAAATGGAGGAGGCGGGCCCCGTCTGCGCCGTGCGGCCTGCTAGTCCCCGGCTTTCTCTTCCCGCTCTATGGCCAGTCTGGCCGCCATGTTGGAGCTTTCGCTGTTCGGGGCCCGGCCTGCTCCGGGCCCTCCCAGCGTCGCCGCTAGCTGACTTAGGGCTCCCGCCCACACTGCGCACGGCCTTGCTGAGGGCCGGCTCGTAGTGGGAGGCTTCGCGTTCACCTGAACATTTCCGCCTCCTCTGGATGGGGGATGAGAGGCGGGGCTGATGCATCGCAGCAGTCCTGGACCCTGACTTCGGACTTGGAGAAGAAACGCCGAGGAGGAACGGGAGTTAGGGGGTTAGCAGCTTGGCGCGCTGGGAGCCGGCCACCCCTGGTCTCCGGACTTCACTTCCCAGGAGGCCTCGCGCGCGACTGGAAGTGCTGCGAGCCTATAAGAAGGCGAGGCGGCACCCGCCGCTCTGCTCTGGGGCGGCATTGCCAGCCGGCTGTAGGCATTCAGGGCAGTGTCTTCTGCATCTCCTAGGAACCTCGGGAGCGGCAGCTCCGGCGCCTGGTAGCGAGAGGCGGGTTCCGGAGATCCCGGCCTCACTTCGTCCCACTGTGGTTAGGGGTGAGAAGGATCCCGGGGCTGGGAGTTCAGGGACCTGGGTTCGAATGCTGGTTCCGCTGCTATCTCGCTTCGCACTGTCGCGATCCCCTTGCTCGGCCTCAATTTTCTCTTTTAGAAAGTGGGCACCTTTCTCCGCGCTCTTCCTTCCAACGCGGTGGTTATAAAGGCACGAAAGCTCTTCAGAGGACGCAGAAAGCACCTGGAGCTCCTCACCCCAATTTTCACCCATTGTTAGCTGGCACGAGCACCCAGCAGAGGAGTCAGGGATCACCCCTCGGGTGCCTGGAACGGTTCTTTGGACACCTGAGCCGGACCTAGGCACAGCCTGAAGTCGGGGTCTATAATTATTCCGGTGCTAAGGGGTAACTTGTTCACCTACCTCCTTGGCAGGAATATTGAGCCCTTCACTCCTCATGTTCCGACTTTAACAGAAGCTACCTTTGAGAATAAGGAATCCTCAGAGCTGAGAGGGAGTGGACCCGAATTCCTGTACCAGCTCGGCCACTTACCTTGGCTAAGTCATTTTCTTGTTTTGGGCCCCAGTGTCACAGTGTTTTTGATTTGTAAGATGAGGGTTTAGGGCTTGTATCCTAAATCTGGTCCTCAAGATTCTTGAAGTCCCCCAGTCCATCGGGGAGGGAGAGCAACAAACTGATTTTCTACCCCTTCATTTATTTGTAGTTCTAAATTATAAAAGTAACACTGCAAGAGTTTGGAGTAGAGCCTTTTTCTTTTTCTTTCTTTTTTTTTTTTCTGAGACAGAGTCTCACTCTGTCGCCCAGGCTGGAATGCAGTGGCACGATCTCGGCTCACTGCAACCTCCGCCTCCCGGGTTCAAGCGATTCCCCTGCCTCAGCCTCCCAAGTAGCTGGGATTACAGGCGCCCGCTACCGCGCCCGGCTAATTTTTGTATTTTTAGTAGAGACGGGGTTTCTCCATGTTGGTCAGGCTGGTCTCGAACTCCTGACCTCATGTGATCCGCCCGCCTCGGCTTCCCAAAGTGCTGGGATTACAGGCGTGAGCTACCGCGCCCAGCCTGCGTAGAGCCTTTTTCTAAGACTAAGGGCTGGATGGGAACTAGCATTTCTTACCCCTGGATGTGACCTGTTTTAGCTCAGCCGGGAGAATCCTTTTTCGCAAGAAGTTAATAATATCTTGTGACGTGAAAATTATGTGAAACTCAGACTTCAGTGTCCATAAATAAATATTACTGGAACACAGCCGTGGTGCTCATTTGTTAAGATGTTTATGTGGCTGCTCTTGCATGGGCAGAGTTGATGACATAGTTGTGACAGACCATGTGCTCTACAAAGCCTAGAATATTTACTACCTGGACCTTTACAGAAGAGCTTGCTGACTGCTCCCTTAGAATGGGGCTCTGCAAAGTGAGCACACCCTGGGATCACAGCCCAGCCTGCCCTTAGAACAAATGAGAGGATATTTTCAAGCATTTGCATTGCAGTTTTCACGGTTTTTTTGTTTTGTTTTGTTTTTGAGACAGAGTCTAGCTCTGTCGCCCAGGCTAGAGTGCAGTGGTGCGATCTCGGCTCACTTCAGCCTTCTCCTGGGCTCAAGCCATCCTCCCACCTCAGCCTCCTGAGTAGCTGAGACTACAGGTGGATGCCATCACGCCCAGCTAATTTTTTTTTTTTTTTAAGAGATGAGGGCTCACTGTTGCTCAGGCTGGTCTGGAACTCCTGGGTATTTATTTATAGACAGAGTCTATCTCTGTTGCACAGGCTGCAGTGCAGTGGCGTGATCTTGGCTCACTGCAACCTCTGCCTCCTGGGTTCAAGCAATTCTCGTGCCTCAGCTTCCCGAGTACCTTGGACTACAAGCGCATGCCACCGTGCCTGGCTAATTTTTGTATTTTTAGTAGAGACGGGATTTTGCCATGTTGGCCAGGCTGGTCTCGAACCCCTGACTTCAGGTAACCCACCTGCCTGGGCCTCCCAAAGTGCTGGGATTACAGGCATGAATCACTGTGCTGGTCCTTCACTGCATTCTTCCTTTTCTCCTGCTTTGCTCTATTTCAGGAAGTAGGAGGGCTTATCTGTGTATTGTGAGCAGGGCAATATAACTTTGCAGCTCTCTGTCAGGAAAGTGTGCCCAGGGTCTATTCTAAGTCTGTCACAGAGCAGTAAACCAGGACCTTTTCTAGGGTGTGGCTACAGATCCTTTCGGACTGCATTTACTTTTTCCTCTTACAAAGAAAAAAAAAACAGTTGTGGAAGTAGATATTGTCAGATGAGTGAGCCTGCTGATCAAGATCTCTTACATTTCACTGAGGGATGGAGAGTGTTTTAGGTGAATATCTGGTGATCTGAAACGTCCTCTGCCCTTGGAGGAATTGAGGAGGCAGTTCTGAGGCTGGGTAGCAAATCTCTGAGTTAAGTAGTTGAGTCACAAATCTTCTAGGAGGCTGGTGGCATGATTTTCTCCTGCCAGCTTCATGGAAGCTTTTTCCCTGCAGCCCTTGGACCTTCTTTTCTTTTTTTTTTTTTTTTTTGAGACAGAGTCTCACTCTGTCCCCCAGGCTGGAGAGCAGTGGCGCGATCTCGGCTCACTGCAACGTCCACCTCCAGGGTTCAAGCAATTCTCCTGCCTCAGCCTCCCTGGTAGCTGGAATTACAGGCGTGCGCCACCACACCCAGCACATTTTTGCATTTTCAGTAGAGACGTGGTTTCACCATGTTGGCCAGGCTGGTCTCAAACTCCTGACCTCAGGTGATCCATCCGCGTCGGCCTCCCAAAGTGCTGGGATTACAGGCTTGAGCCACCGAGCCTGGCTGGACCTTCCTTTCTCAGAGATTACTGCCAACTTGGGTCACCTTGTGCATCTTTACCTAAGTAGGTGGACCCCTAGCATGGGGAGAGCTGGCATGGCATGGCTGAGGGCCACTGAGAGGCCTGGGCAGGCACAAGGAACATGAGCTGCATGTTAGTAGTTAGGATGAAGTGCATGACAGCAATGACTAAGAATTCTATGTATATATATATATTTTTAGATGGAGTCTCGCTCAGTCGCCAGGCTGGAGTGCAGTGGCGTGATCGCAGCTCACTGCAACCTCCACCTCCCGGGTTCAAGCGATTTTCCTGCCTCAGCCTACCGAGTAGCTAGCTGGGACTAAAGGCGCGCGCCACCATGCCCAGCTAATTTTTTATTTTTAGTAGAGATGGGGGCGGGGGTTCACCATATTGGCCAGGATGGTCTCGATCTCTTGACCTTATGATCTGCCCGCCTCGGCCTCCCAAAGTGCTAGGATTACAGGTGTGAGCCACCTCACCCAGCCTTTTTTTTTTTTTTTTTTTGAGATGAAGTTTCGCTCTCATTGCTCAGGGTGGAGTGCAATGGCACAATCTTGGCTCATTGCAACCTCTGCCTCCCTGGTTCAAGCAATTCTCCTGCCTCAGCCTCCTGAGTAGCTGGGATTGATTACAGGCGCCCACCACCACTCCTGGCTAATTTTGTATTTTTAGTAGAGACCGGGGTTTCACCATGTTGATCAGTCTGGTCTCGAACTCCTGACCTCAGGTGATCCACCTGCCTCAGCCTCCCAAAGTGCAGGATTACAGGCATAAGCCATCGCGCCCAGCGAAGAATTCTAATACTTGACTTCTACAGTGTGCTACATTCATTTTCTCACTTGATCTGACAACCTGTGGTCAAGGAAGCAGCGTGGGCCTTGAAGCTAAACACACAGGATTTGGAACTCCCCACCCACTCTCACTGGGTCCTCATGCTAATTACTTATCTCTCTCAGCCTTAGTTTCCTCACGGAATAATATGCCTCCCAGGGTTAAGAGGAGTAAATGGGATCTTGTGTGTAAGGCTCTGGTGCTCGTAGCTGGTGTTCGTTATTCTTACTGTTCAAGTATTCTTACTGCCACGCCTTTCTTGCAGGTGAGTCCTGCAAATGTTAAGTGATTTGCTCAAGGTGCCCATTTCGCAGGAATTGGAGCCCAGGCCAGTTCTCTGAGCCTATCATTAGGGCTAAAGGTGAGCAGTCAAATGTTTTACCTCCGTGGGGGCTATTGGCTATTAGCTGCTTCCGAGTGAGGGACCTCAATGCAGGAAGCCACACTGTTGCCTTCTTGGTGTGAGTCCGTGGGACAGGGTGACTGCCTTGATGCCTGGGCCCGTGCTGCCTACATATTAGCTGAAAGCAGGGCCAGTCCTGTGGCTTTGCCCACTCACCTAGCGTTTAAGAGCAACTGCTCAGGGCTTTAAGCATTTGCCATGCCTGAAACCAGAGTTGGTTTCTGGGTTTATCAAGGACTTGTGGAAATCTCAAAATAAATCTCTTGCTTTCTGGACCATGAGTTGTTGCTTCCTCTTTTTTTCTCTGGACTTTCCCCAGAGGAAGAGAAAGCAGAAGTCTCAGGGCTGGAGACAGCTGAGGGGCATCAGCTGGTTCAAGGTGTGGAGTGTGGGCAGTGGAGTGAAGGCCTGGTTACCTCTCCAGTGAAGATTAGCCCCATAGAGCTTACTCTATGGGGAAGAACTTTTCTGACTCCTTCCTGTCTAGGGTAATAGTGGGGTGTTTGCTCTTTTCAGACTGTAATTTTTGCCTTCTTATCTTAGAACCCAAGGCCTGGGTGTTTGCGTAATTTAGCCTGGATTTTGATTCCTGTCCCTTTTTTCCTGGGGGGTATGGGGTGGTAATTCTTTACCTTCTGGTCCTGTGAGGGGAGAGGAATCCCAGGACTCTGGGTCTTGGGCCTTGGCATCTGGCCTTCGCCAGGGCCAGCCATAGCCTTGAGTTTGCTGCTCTGTCTGGGCACTGCCAGGTGCTGGGGTGGGGCCTCAGTCATTGTGACTGAAGATCAGGCCCACCCAGGCATTGAGGCCTCGGGCGGGGGGTGGTGCCCAGGCTGATGCAGGGGAACTGAAGCAAAAAGATTCCATCCCACAGGCCAAGAGCTAAATCAGTGTTACCTCCTTTAGCCAGAGAACTGGGTGCATCTGAGCCAGTGGAGATTTGTGACTTCTCCTTCTTCTAGGAGTGCGTGATCAGAATGGTGTCTGGACGGTTCTACTTGTCCTGCCTGCTGCTGGGGTCCCTGGGCTCTATGTGCATCCTCTTCACTATCTACTGGATGCAGTACTGGCGTGGTGGCTTTGCCTGGAATGGCAGCATCTACATGTTCAACTGGCACCCAGTGCTTATGGTTGCTGGCATGGTGGTATTCTATGGAGGTGGTGAGTAAGAGGTCAGGAAGGGAGGCGGGATAGGGCTCAGGCTGGACAAAGCTGCACTTTCCCTCTCCAAGGCTGGCCTTTGTAAATGTTGGGCTTGGGGCTATGGGGGTAGGGTGGGTTGGGCTGTCTCTGGGCCTAGCTGTCATTTGGGGGAGGAAGGGGTTAAGATGGGGGGCATCTCAGAAGGGTGGCTTCACAAATACTCTAGGGCAGGAGTTGGCAAACTTTCTATAGAGGGTCAGATAAATATTTCAGTTTTGCAAGACAGAATCTGTGTTGCAGTTACTCAGCTCTGCCACTGTATTGTGAGAGCAGCCATAGACAACACATACACACAAGTGTGGATCACGTGTTCCAATAAAGCTTTATTTGCAAACATAGGTAGCGAGCTGGATTTGGCCTTTGAGCTGTAGTGTTTTTTTTTTTTTTTTTTTTCTCTAGACGGAGTCTTGCTGTGTCGCCCAGGCTGGAGTGCAGTGGCGTGATATCGGCTCACTGCAAGCTCCACCTCCCAGGTTTGCGCCATTCTCCTGCCTCAGCCTCCCGAGTAGCTGGGACTACAGGCGCCTGCCACCGTGACCGGCTAATTTTTTTTTGTATTTTTAGTAGAGACAGCGTTTCACCGTGTTAGCCAGGATGGTCTTGATCTCCTGACCTTGTGATCTGCCCACCTCAGCCTCCTGAAGTGCTGGGATTACAGGCTTGAGCCATCATGCCCGACCTGAGCTGTAGTTTTTAACCAGCTCTAGAGAACAGGAGATTGAAGCCTCTCATGGTTTAGTCAGGCCACCGAATGAGGGACTTGCTTGCTCTTCCGGGATCCATCTTTTTTTTTTTTTTCTTTTTTTGAGATGGAGTTTTGCTCTTGTTGCCCAGGCTGGAGTGCAATGGCGTGATCTTGGCTCACTGCAACCTCCGCCTCCTGGGTTCAGGCCATTCTCCTGCCTCAGCCTCCCAAGTACCTGAGATTATAGGTGCCCGCCATCATGCCCAGCTAATTTTTATATTTTTTAGTAGAGATGGGGTTTCACCATGTTGGTCAGGCTGGCCTCGAACTCCTGACCTCAGGTGATCCACCCGCCTCTGCCTCCCAAAGTGCTGGGATTACAGGTGTGAGCCACTGCGCCCAACCTGGGATCCATCTTTGTAATCTTTGTCCCATGCTTTCAAATCTGTGCCTTGGGGCCCTGGTGAGCCTCATTTTCCCCATTTGTAAAATGGCAATACGATGCCATTGATGATAGCAGCTTACCATGTGCAGTTCACATATATCATCCCATTTTGTTCTTACAAGTTTGTGAGGTGGGCTCTGTTATATCCCTTTTACAGATGAGGAAATTGAGAGTTAGACAGGAGAGGCCAGGCCAGGCGTGGTGGCTCACGCCTGTAATCCCAGCACTTTGGGAGACTGAGGTGGGCGGATCATGAGGTCAGGGGATCGAGACCATCCTCGCTAACACAGTGAAACCCCGTCTCTACTAAAAATACAAAAAATTAGCCGGGTATGGTGGCAGGCACCTGTAGTCCCAGCTACTTGGGAGGCTGAGGCAGGAGAATGGCGTGAACCCGGGAGGCGGAGCTTGCAGTGAGCTGAGATTGCGCCGCTGCACTCCAGCCTGGATGATAGAACGAGACTCTGTCTCAAAAAAAAAAAAAAAAAAAAAGAAAGGAGAGGCCAAACAGCTAAGAGGCAGAGCCTGGATTTGGACCTATGTTGCCTGACCTTAGTACCTGTGTTGACAGCCAGCCTCACTTGTGACAATTCAGTTTGATGAAACAATGACTGTCATGATGCTTTTTAGCCTAGAAACTGCAAACAAGCTGAATTTATTATTGTGAAAATAGAATGAGAGGTCCAAGAAACCTGCTTCCCCCCTCCACTTTTTTTTTAGGAGACAGGTTTCCCTCTTTTTCAGGCTAGAGTGCAGTGGGATGATCATAGCTTGCTGCAGCCTTGAACTCTTAGGCTCAAGTGATCCTCCCACCTCAGTCCCCCAAGTAGCTGAGAGAACAGGCATGTGCCACCATGCCCGGATAATATTTTTTATTTTTATTTTTTGTGGACACAGGATCTTGCTATGTTGCCCAGGCTGATCTTGAACTTCTGGCCTCCCAAAGTGCTGACATGAGTCACCGTGCCCAGCCCTCCTCCCTTTTTAATTGGAATCTGTTTATTTATTTATTTCTCTCTGTGGCCCAGGCTAGATTGCAGTGGCATGATCATAGCTCACTGTAACCTCAAACTCCTGGCCTCAAGCAGTCCTCCCACCTTGGCCTCCCAAAAAGTGCTGGAATTACAGGCATGAGCCACCTTGCCTGACCACTCCTCCCTTTTTAACTGGCCCTTCTCTCCTCCCTTCATGGCTGTTATCCCACAAATCATGGGAGGGTAGAAGATGCCGAGGAGTTGATACCAGTGCCCTAGCATTTCCTGTTCCCTTGCTGGGAAGCTGTGTAGGATCCTATCAGGGTTATTCCCTGATGTCTGGGTGAGCTCGAGGGGAGAGGCTGAGCCCTGGCACTACTCTCTCCTGCAGCGTCACTGGTGTACCGCCTGCCCCAGTCGTGGGTGGGGCCCAAACTGCCCTGGAAACTCCTCCATGCAGCGCTGCACCTGATGGCCTTCGTCCTCACTGTTGTGGGGCTGGTTGCTGTCTTTACGTTTCACAACCATGGAAGGACTGCCAACCTCTACTCCCTTCACAGCTGGCTGGGCATCACCACTGTCTTCCTCTTCGCCTGCCAGGTGGGTTCTCTCTGTTCTCCTCCTCGAGGTTCCCAGAGCCATGAGCTCTGGTTGGGGGTTCACTTGCATGAGCACCAAATATTCCTCTGCTCACTGCTTGGAGAGGGACTTGCAGATTGTTATCTTGTAGAACTGACAGTTTATTCAAGGGCTGTGGGAGGTCAGTGGCCTGAACTTACCCTGTTCCTTTTATCCCTCCCATTGCCCGTCTCTCGTCCCAGAGCCCTCTCTGCTAACTTTGTCATGGCACGCACTATGCTGACTCTAATCAGCCATCTGGCTTCCACTTTCCCCACTCCCACCTCTGTGAACCAAAAGAATTCTTGAAGTGGTTTCCATATTCTGATCTCAGGCCTGTGCGAGTGAAGAGTTTTATGAGCAAGGACTGGAAGGAACCAGAGACAAACAAGGTGGTTGGGTTTGCTGGGAGTGGGATGGTAGCTAAGCATGTCATTTACTGTTCTTGTTGCTTGGGTAATAGGCCACAATGAGGAAGCTAGCACGGTAGTGGGCAATGCCAGGTGGGAAGGTTTGAGTTGTGAAAGAAGAGCCAGGGAGCAGAGATGGGGAGGAGGCACTGATGGGGTGGGATGTGCTTTGGTCACACATAGCACAGTCGGGTGTGTCCTCCCTTTTGTCCACAGTGGTTCCTGGGCTTTGCTGTCTTCCTCCTGCCCTGGGCGTCCATGTGGCTGCGCAGCCTCCTAAAACCTATCCACGTCTTTTTTGGAGCCGCCATCCTCTCTCTGTCCATCGCATCCGTCATTTCGGGCATTAATGAGAAGCTTTTCTTCAGTTTGTGAGTGCAGTGGGGTCCCCAACTCTAAGGTGAAGAGGAGGGAATAGGGTCTTCAAAAGATACACCCTGTGATCACAGGACTCACCCAAGGGAGGAGAGATTTTGGGGTTGGGTCCACTCCTGATCTGGAAGGTAACAGAATTGATCTTTCTTTAGGTTGAAATTGGTAAGTCAGCAGATATTTATTGAGCATCAGTTTGATTTAGCACCTGCTGTGTGTCAGAAACAGTACTAAGCACCTTACATTTAATCCTGTCAACCACCCTACATCATTGGTATTGATTGGTATTGTTGTCATTGCCATTTTCTTTTTTCTTTTTTTTTGAGATGGAGTCTCACTCTGTCGCCCAGGCTGGAGTGTAGTGGCACAATCTTGGCTCGCTGCAACCTCCACCTGCTGGGTTCAAGCAATTCTCCTGCCTCTGCCTCCCAAGTAGCTGGGCCTACAAGTGTGTGCCACCATGCCCGGCTAATTTTTTGAATTTTTAGTAGGGACGGGGTTTCACCATGCTGGGCAGGCTGGTCTCGGACTCCTGACCTCATGATCTGCCCGCCTCGGCCTCCCAGAGTGCTGGGATTACAGGCATGAGCCACTGCACCCGGCCGTCATTGCCATTTTCAATTGAGGGAACAGATTCTGCAATAGGACTGTTCAGGTAGAAATAAAAATAAAAAAAATGAGGGAACAGAGGGGTTACGTAACTTACCCGAGGGCACACAGCCAGTAAGTGGCAGAGCTGGGACTCAGATTAGGCAGTCTGACTCTAGAGCCTTGCATGCCTGACCACTACTGTCCGTTCTTTTGAGGCAATGGGGTGTAGTGAAAAGCAACTAGGACTTAAGGTCAGACCTTGGTTTCGATCTTGGCTGTGCCATTTACTAGTTATGCAACTTTGGGCAAGTTAATTTCATTGCTTTGAGCTTCAGTTTCCTCATGGGTAAAAGGATTATTACAGCTGGGTGCCGTGGCATGCACCTGTAGTCCCAGCTACTAGGGAGGCTGAGGTGGAAGGAGTCCAGCCTGGGCAACATAGGAAGACCCTCTCTCTCTCCTTTTATCCCCCCAGCCAAGAGATAGCATCTCACTCTGTTGCCTAGGTTGGAGAGCAATGGTGTGACCATAGCTCACTGCAGCATCAAACTCCTGCACTCAAGCGATCTTCCCAATGTAGCCTCCTAAGTAAGCTAGGACTACAGGCATGGACCACCTCACCTAGCTAAGTTTTATTTTTGTAGAGACAGGATCTCACTATGTTGCACAGGCTAGTCTCCAACTCCTGGGGTAAAGCAATCCTCATGCCTTGGCCTCCCAAAGTGCTGGGATTACAAGAGTGAGCCGCTGCACCTGGCTCATTATACAAATATTTGCAGGGACTTAGAAAGGGTGTTAAAATTCAGCCGGGCGCAGTGGCTCACGCCTGTAATCCCAGCACTTTGGGAGGCCGAGGCGGGCGGATCATGAGGTCAGGAGATCGAGACCATCCTGGCTAACATGGTGAAACCCTGTCTCTACTAAAAATACAAAAAATTAGCCAGGCGTGGTGGCAGGCACCTGCAGTCCCAGCTACTTGGGAGGCTGAGGCAGGAGAATGGCGTGAACCCAGGAGGCGGAGCTTGCAGTGAGCCGAGATCGTGCCACTGCACTCCAGCCCGGGTGACAGAGCAAGACTCTGCCTCAAAAAAAAAAAAAAAAAAAAAAAGAAAGGGTGTTAAAATTCTAGATCACATATGGACCCGGGAAGGTTTTCTCACCCTCTGTTAGTGACATCGAGTCTCCCACTAGACAAAAATAGGTGGAAAAATCTCTCGAGGGCTCACATTGTTTTGTCATCTTCAGGAAAAACACCACCAGGCCATACCACAGCCTGCCCAGTGAGGCGGTCTTTGCCAACAGCACCGGGATGCTGGTGGTGGCCTTTGGGCTGCTGGTGCTCTACATCCTTCTGGCTTCATCTTGGAAGCGCCCAGAGCCGGGGATCCTGACCGACAGACAGGTATGGGTTCCAGTCCCACATTCCAGGGTGGGACAGGGCCAGGTCTAGAGAAGGATCTCCCACGAAAGGCTGGGGCCTTGACAAGAAGACTTACCCTGTGGCACAGCAGGAAACCAAGTAACTTGAGGGTGGAGTTAGGGTGGCTGATGGGGAGCACTGGTCCCAAACCAGCGCATCCCAGTGAAATGCTGGGACTCCCCAGTCTGTCCATTGGGAGACAGAATTTCCCCCCCAAATCACTGTGGTTCTGTGGGGTGAAGTGTGGCCTTATCTTCTTCCCCAAGGAAGGGCTTGACTGTGACAAGGGTGTGTGATTTCTCCTTTACCAGCCTGGGGGCTAGTCTAGTGGGATGGGTGCCTGGTGACCAGCTGAGTGCTCAGAGCAGGTCTTGATGGGATGTAGGGAGACGGGGTGTGTACCAGGCTCAGGGACTTTGGGGCTTCCCTGAGGGATTTGGTGGCTTGGATGGGGACCACCCTGCAGGCTGGGGGTCTGTCTGAACAGCTTGGGCCTGGTGTGACTCCTGCATCATGTCATTAACTCCTGGGCATCTGCCTCTCTTTCCAGCCCCTGCTGCATGATGGGGAGTGAAGCAGCAGGAAGGGGCTCCCAAGAGCTCCTGGTGGTGCAGCCTGTGCTCCCCTCAGAAGCTCTGCTCTTCCCAGGGCTCCCGGCTGGTTTCAGCAGGCGACTTTCTTCCAATGCTGGGCCCAGACTTCTTGCCTGGGTGCTGGCCTGCCCTCTCCGGCCGCTTGCTGCCTGTCTGCTTTCCTTGGTGGCTTTGCCTGGGTGCTGGGCCTGCCCTCTCCGGCCGCTTGCTGCCTGTCTGCTTTCCTTGGTGGCTTTGCCTGGGTGCTGGGCCTGCCTTCTCTGGCTGCTTGCTGCCTGTCTGCTTTCCTTGGTGGCTTTGGCTTCTGCACTCCTTGGCGTCAGCCTCTCAGGTCCTCCATTCACACGAGGTCCTCCTCGCTCTGGCCGCTCTTGCTGCTCCTGTCTGAAGAAATCAGACTGATTTCCTCTTAAGACTCCTAGGGATGTGGTGAAGAGCTGGGACTCAAGTGCAGTCCACGGTGTGAAACATGAGGGAGGTGAGGTGTCCGTCCACTTCCCCCATAAAGGTGTGCATTTCAGTTAGGCTGCCCCGCCACAGAGCAGGCTTCATCTGCTCTGCCATCCAGCCCCATCTGGATGTGAGGTGGGGTGGAGACATCATGGGGTGATTGCAGAAAGGGGGAGTGGCGGCCCACGCAGCTTCTGCTGAGGAGCTGACCGCTCTGAGCTGTTCTGTTTCGTATTGCTGCTCTGTGTCTGCATGTATTGTGACCGTGCGGCTCCACCTCTTCCAGCTGCTGCTACAGCTGAGGCCTGGATCCCGGCCTTTCCCTGTGACTTACGTGTCTGTCACCGGCAGGCAGCCCTACAAATCCTGGTGACCTGCTCTCCCAAGAACAGAGCCTGTCCCCAGATGTCCCAGTAGCGATGAGTAACAGAGGTGGCTGTGGACTTCCTCTACTTCTCCTTGCTGGATCAGGGCCTTCCTGCCTCCCGCTGGGCAGGTCTGGCCTTGCTCTCTTGGCAGGGCCCCAGCCCCTCTGACCACTCTGCAGCTCACCATGCAGCTGATGCCAAAGTTGTGGTGTCCAGTGTGCAGCAGCCCTGGGAGCCACTGCCACCTTCAGAGGGGTTCCTTGCTGAGACCCACATTGCTTCACCTGGCCCCACCATGGCTGCTTGCCTGGCCCAACCTAGCGTTCTGTGCCATGCTAGAGCTTGAGCTGTTGCTCTTCTTCAGGGGAGGAAATAGGGTGGAGAGCGGGAAGGGTCTTGCTCCTAAGTGTTGCTGCTGTGGCTTTTTTGCCTTCTCCAAAGACGCACTGCCAGGTCCCAAGCTTCAGACTGCTGTGCTTAGTAAGCAAGTGAGAAGCCTGGGGTTTGGAGCCCACCTACTCTCTGGCAGCATCAGCATCCTACTCCTGGCAACATCAGGCCAACGTCCACCCCAGCCTCACATTGCCAGATGTTGGCAGAAGGGCTAATATTGACCGTCTTGACTGGCTGGAGCCTTCAAAGCCACTGGGATGTCCTCCAGGCACCTGGGTCCCATGACCAGCTCCCCATCTCCATAGGGGTAGGCATTTCACTGGTTTATGAAGCTCGAGTTTCATTAAATATGTTAAGAATCAAAGCTGTCTTTGTTCAGGCTGCTATAACAAAAATATAATAGCCTGGGTGGCTTAAACAACAAGTGTTTATTTCTCACAGTTCTGGAGGCTATAGACATCCAAGATGAAGGCGCTGGCAAATGTGGTGTGTGGCAAGGGCCAGCTTCCTCAGAGACCATCTTCTCACCATAACCTCACATGGTGGAAAGGGCGTGAGAGCTCTCTGGGGCTCCACCCTCATAACCCCATCACCTCCCAAAGGCCCCACGTCCTAACACTACCATAGTGGGGGTGAGCCTTTCAACACAGGAATTTGGGGGGGACACAAACATTCAGTCTCTAATAACAGCCCTCTAATGAAATGATGCTGTGGTTAAATGAGTTCTGGGCCAATTTGTAAAAGCCTCAGGACAGGTCTGACCCTCACAGACCTAGGGAGGGGCCAACCGGAAGGCACCAAAGATCCACATGATCCTCTGTCTTCATGGAATGGCATGTGTGGATTCACATGCAGCTCATTTATGTGCGTGTCCTTAATAGCTAATGGCACGTGCTTATCTCACGAGGAAGGAAATTTTTCCTATTTCATAATCTGAGAAAACAAGACTCAAAAAGGGTGACTAGGTTGAGGTCACCCAGCCAGGAAATGACAGAGCTGGGATCCACAGGCCACCGTCTGAGGTCAGCCTCCTTCCCAGCTGCTGGGCGCATACTCCTGTGCACGTGGATGCCTTGTGGTCAGGGACGTATGGTGCAGCCGACAGACAGGACCCTGGGTAGAGAAGCCCAGGCACTCGGGGAGCCTGCAGCCAAATTTGGGCCAAGTAGGTGACGGGGGTTGGGAGGGCAGGAGGCTCTTTCCTACCAGCTAGTGGTAGAGCAGATGACCTGGGAGGGGCTGGGGGCCCAACCCCTGTGATAACCGTAACTCTCAGTGAGTGAGCACTTGGACTGTGCTGGGCTTTATGGCCCATCTTCATCAATTCATTTGAATCCTTTCATGTCCCCATGAGGTGGGTACCATTCTGATTTTACAGATCCCAAAGGGCTAAAAAATAGGCCTTAGCTCCTGTAGCCGGGTTAAAGCAGAATCAGATTTCAGATCATGTGTATGAGTCGACAGCCAGTGCCTTTAACCACTCCCTACCCTACATGTGTGCCAGGCATGTGCTGTTTGTCTCCACATGCATACAGTGCCCCTGCTCACCCTGGTGCCATCAGTGATCGCTCTAGAAAGAGACCTAGGGGCTGGCTTGGCTGCAGTTTCTTTTTTTTTTTTTTTTTTTTTTGAGACAGGGTCTCGCTTTGTTGCCCAGGCTGGAGTATAGTGGCATGCTTATGGCTCACCGCAGCCTCGACCTCCTGGGCCCAAGCCATCCTCCCAACTCAGCCTCCCAAGTTAGGACTATAGGCACACACTACTATGCCTGGCTAATTTTGTATTTTTTGGTAGAGACAGGGTTTTACCATGTTGCCCAGACTGGTCTTGAACTCCTGAGTGTAAGGGATCCGCCTGCCTTGGCCTCCCAAAGTGCTGGGATTGCAGGTGTGAGCCACCGTGCCCGGCCTGGCTGCATTTTTTGATCTACAACTGAACCTTAGACTATGATGATTTCTTTTCCTTCTGGTGTCCCAAATGCCCATTCGACTCCCGAGGAGCCACTGAATTATTAATTCAATGCTAAGAAAAGCCCCTCTACCATTCTTACATGCATCAGGTGTGTGTACTGGAAAGGGGATGGGTCGGGGGTCTCAGTGGAAGCAGCCCAGCTGAGGAGACACTGCCTTAGGGGCTCAGGTAATAAAGATCTGCCTGGTAGAAGATGGGTCATGATGCCTGCAGCCAGGGCTGTGGGCCCCCTTGTTTACATGCTTGGGAAAAGGTCCCTCAGAGGAGGCAGTGTCTTTCTTGCTTCCATGTATTATAGTTTATTAACTTTCTTTTTCACGCTCACTGGGGTTAAGGTGCGGAAAGCATTTCACAGGGAGTCTTAAAACCAAATTAGGATTGCCAGGTAAAGGCTGCACAAGGAAAATGCCTTATCTCTGAAGCCCAGAGCTGGCAGGGGAGGGCATGACCCAGGGACTCCACCCTCCTGCAAAGGGAAAGGGCATGCTGGAGAGGCATGGGGACCCACTCCAGCTCACTCTGGGTGCTGTCTGTAGTTCTGGAAGCTTGGTGGAGGATTTCCTGCTCAACTTAGAGGGTGGGCCAATGGGGCCAGGCCGGGGGAAGGTGAGGGTTGGAAGGCAGAAGGAAGTGACAAAGGCCACCTCAGCACAGCAGTGAGAGGAGCTGAGGCCAAGGGAGGCAGTCACACACCCTAGCTCTGCAAGACCTCCAAGATGGCCCGGAGGATGGCAGCAGCTGCCACCGCCCCGGGGTCTGGCTGCTCCAGCCGTGCTGAGCTGATATAACTGGCTCTTCCGGCTCCAGCTTCCATATTCTTGGTGGCCTCGGCTGCAGCTTCGGCACTCTGGGGGATGGGGTGTGGGAGCAGGTTCAAGGGCAGATCACCAGGCCGCCTCCTTCCTGCCATGGGCAGAACGTCTCTGCCGTGCAGCCTGGCCCTGCACGCCCTTGCCCTGGCTCTGCCAGCACCCTCTGCTCTGTCACCAAATGGAAAGTCACTTCTCATCTACTTCCAGCAGGGAAAAGGGTCACCATTCACTGAGGCCCTGTCACATCCCAGGCAGTGTGCGGGGCTCTACATATTTCCTTAGCCACATAACCACCTTCTGAGATAGGTGCTCATCTCCATTGTACAGAGAAGGAAACTGCGGTCCAGGAAGGTTATTAACTTGCTCAGGGTCACATGGAGACAGGAGTCTGCTGGCTAGAAGCCTGTCTCCCCAGGTGGCTGGGCCCAGCCTCACTCACCTTGACTGCTTTGGTCAGGACTTGTAACAGATCAGCTCCTGGGCTCTTCCAGGCTTGGAGCTCCTGCCCCGCTGCCCACAGAGAATCCAGCTGGACAAGGTGAAGGAAAGGGGGCTGAGCACGGGCCCTGCAACCGAGGGTGCTCTTTAGACTTACAGGGCCAAAAGGAGAAAGGTCTGAGGCCACAGCCTGAGTACATACCATAGTCCTGTCCCCTGGAGCAGCCTTGCCATACCTGGCAGGGAAAGAGAGTGAAAGAGGCTCACTATAGGGAACCAAGGGAATCACTCTGAGGGTTGGGCTAGGGCCTGGCAGGGCGCAGATGTCACCAAACACCTCCCCCAGCCCACCCCTGGTCTGATGCACAGGGCTCTGGCTCACTTCTGCATGGCTTCCAGGCCGGCATCCATGGCAGCAGACCAGGCTGGGAGGCTGGTCTTGGCCTTCAGGGGCTGTGCAGCCGCAGTCAGGAACAGGCCATAGAGCTGGGGAAGATGACAACGCTGAGCATGTGGTGCTGGCCTGGACCCCAGCCAGCCCAGCCACCTCCCTGTCAGCCCTTCAGCCCCCAGGCACCCACCGCCCCAGATGAGCCTCCCATCTTCTCCAGGAGCAGGACAGACAACTTGGAGAGCAGCTGGGCAGGGCTGGCAGGGGGTGGGCCCTCCTTCAGCCACTCCTGGATTGCTGCAGGCAGAGAGAGATGGGGAGGAATTCAGAGATCCTCCCTCCATCTGCCAGACTTCCAGCCAGCACCAATGAAGGCTGGAAAAGGCCGACAGGGAAGTGGAATGAAGGCTTCCCAAGATCCCTTTCCACATCCAGTGTGCAGTCTGGAGAGGGGCTGGGCTGCGTAACCGAAAGGGGCCTGGGGAGGTGAGGCCTGCCCCGAAGCCCTCCACTTGACGCTCTGTACTCTGCTCCCTGGCTTGGTTTTTTTCTCCTTAGCCCTTTGTGCTAACATCCTCTGTGTTTTACTGATTTATCTGGTTGACTGTCTTCCACCTAGAACATAAGCCATGAGGGCAGTGATTTCTGTCTGCTCTGTTCACTACTGTATCCACAGCTGAGAGCAGTGCCTGCCCCACGGCAGGCACCAAATACCTTTTTCTCGAATGAATGATGCTGGACAGTTAAGAGCTTTTCACTGGTCTGGGTAAACTGAGAAAAATAAGGACAACAGAATAAGTTCGCCTTGAGTTGTAAGTTATTCACTGTGAAGGATTTCATTTAATTCTAAGATAACAACCTCATACATTTGTGGTGTTAAGAAGGTCCCTGTCGGCCGGGTGTGGTGGCTCATGCCTGTAATCTCAGCACTTTGGGAGGCCAGGGCGAGCGGATGGCTTGAGGTGGGGAGTTAGAGACCAGCCTGGCCAACATGGCGAGACCCCGTCTCCACTAAAAACACAACAATTAGCCAGGCGTGGTGGCGCATGCCTGTTATCTCAGCTAGTCAGGAGGCTGAGGCAGGAAAATCACTTGAACCCGGGGGGCGGAGACTGCAGTGAGCCGAGATCACACCATTGCATACTCCAGCCTAGCGACAGAGTGAGATTCCTTCTTAAAAAAAAAAAAAAAAAAAAAGGAAGGTCCCTGCCTTCAGGGAAACAAGTGGAAGGGGGGCTAAGGTTTTGTGAATGACCTCACTTGGCAAAGTCCCTGGCACCAACCTCTGGCCGCACGGCTGTGGGTGGTGCCACAGTCGCCGTCACCAGCAGCCCGGTCCAGGGCATTCAGGTGTTCCTCCAGGCCCAGGAGAGTGCTGCACACCCGTTCCAGCACCAGCGCCATCCGCTTCGAGGCTGAGCCTAGAAAGGGAGGATGCTGAAGAACAGGCCCACCAGGCCCTTCTCACAACCACACTTGACTATGGTGGGAGGTGTGGGTGCCAGGGCCCCTACCCGCCCCACCGTATACTCCTGCATCCTTTGGGAAGCCTGTCCCTTCCCCAAAGGCAGGGGTTGGTACCTCCTGCAGCAGTGGAATCAGGGGCCTCCTGGGGCTCGGCAGGGGCTACCCGGCTCCGCTTCCGCCCAGTAATGGAGACTGCAGCCACGTTAGGCCAGGCTGCTGCAGTGGTTTCAGCATCTAAGGGCAGCAAGATAACTCTCTTAGACACGGCTGTCCAGCCAGGGATTCAGCAGGGCTTGGACCCTCCCATCCTGACCCTGGTGGCCTGGCTTTCTCAGCAGCCCTGGAGGAAGGGAGTCCACCTCGACAAGCATGGACTGAGTGCCTACTGTATACAGGGGTATGGAGAGAGGGTCCCTGGGAAAGGGTCAGGCCTCTCTGAGGAGGATCCTAATACCAACTCCTTCTAGTCCAGTGAGAGCTGGAGAAGGCTGGAGAAGCCCAGGAAGAGCCTTCTTCACAGGCTCCAGAGCCCTGATTGTCACGGTCAGCCCTGACGGGGTCTCCAAGTCTCCCTGGCTCCTTCCAGTTACAAGGAGCCCTGGCTTGGGTGACCCCAGGTTCCAAGTCTCACCTATCAGTTTCAGGAGAGGCTCATCCACCAGCAGGAGGGTGAGAGAAATGCCAGGCATCTCCAGTGCTGACATGAAGGTGCCCACCAGGGCACGGGCAATCTTCACCCCGCGGCCCTCTGCAATACCAGAGTGTGGCAGTCCAAAAGGGAAAAATGGGCATCAGGGAAAGAAAACAACAGAAAAGCAAGGACCTTGGAAGCTGGGGCTCTGAGGTCGGGAGGGAGATGTCCTGATTTCCTCCTGGCAGGCATCCCTCAATAACCCCACAAATGACCACGTTCCCTGGAGGTGTCCCCTACGTCGGGGAAGATGAGTAATTACAGGTCTCATTTACTCAGTTCGTGCCAGGTGCTGGGCGCTGTGTTGAGTGTCTTACATATGTTTAATCTCACTTAATCCTCAAAACAACGGTATAAAGCAGGTACCATTATTATTACCCCCAATTTGCAGACAAGAAAACAAACAGAGGCTCAAGGTATCCGGCAATTAGGTGGCAGAGAGACGATTTAACTCAGGCTTATCTGACGCACAGTCCGTGTTCTCTGCCATCACAAGACCCTCCCTCAGCCCTTTCCAAAGGGCTGTAGGATCCCCTTCCCAGTGCATGGCTCACCCAGGGAGCGGACGGTAGCGTCGGCTATGATGCCCAGTTCCAGGAATGACAGGCCACCCAGGTTGTTGACCATCATCACAACTGAGGAGCCTGCGGGTAGACATGACACCCCAGGTGAGACCCTCTGGGCGTCTCCTCCCCAGAGGTTTAGGAGGGGTTGGGAGACGCGGGCGAGAGGCTACCCACCGGGCTGCACAGGCACATGGGACGCGTTGGTGGTGTTTGTCATGTGGTCGAGCATGAGTTTCACAATCTCATCGGCGGTTGCCATCTGTCAGAGGGAGCCAGGAATGAGCTGCATCTGGGGGGCCTTGGCCTTAGGGCGGCCTGTGCCAGAGGGACCACCTACCTTTATCCGGCGCACACCAGCTTCCCCGTGGATCCCTGCGGATAGATGTGGTCACTGCTGACCCACTCAAGGCCTGGGGATTTGCTCATCGTTTTTATCAAGGACTCACACAGTGCTGGACTCACACAGTAAGTGGGCGGGAGTGGGGGATGGAAATGGACAGAATAATGAAAAACACGATCTCTGTTCTCTGGGAGCTTGTGGCCTGGTGGTGGAGATAGCTTTAACTAGAGATAGTTAAGGAGGAAGCACAGGCGAGGAAAGAAAGCTTTGCAGCCAGGTGATCTTTGAACAGCCGTTGAAAGAAGGGTGTATTCTGGCAGGGACAGGAGGACCTGGGAATGGCAGGCAAAGGCTAGGAGGTGGGCAGTGCACAGAGCTCCACATGGCCAAAGCTGTGGGTATAGACAGCAAAGCAGGTAGAAATCAGGCAGGTTGGCCCAGGCTGGGCCTCAAATGACCAGGTAAAAATACTAAGACCACCTGGGGAGAGGACCAGGTTGATGGCTCTAAGGGTATGCAAGGTGGGCAAAGTCCAGGGCCAAGGAGCAGGCAGGGCTGGGATGGATGGCCACAAGCTTACCCAGGCCCAGCTCCACCTCGTCGGCTGAGAGCTCGAAGGTGGGTTTGGAACCAGGGACGCTGCAGGAGGATAAGCTCACCCCCAGGGTACCTATGAGAAACAAGGCATGAAGGGATGACTGTTCCACTCTTAGCACTGGGCATCAGGAAGGGTGGCAGCAGCATCTCAGAGGCCCTGCCCACAGGTACCCTCTTCTCTGAGAAAGGCTGCCAGACTCTCCACCTCAGCCATGGTACCCAAGGCCACCAGTCCCCAGGAGCTCCCCCAGGGATACACTCCCTAGACCCCTGGGGAATAACCTGGGGAGCACCGCTAGGCAGCCAACAGGAACCTGCTCCTCGCCCCAGGGCTGTCCAACCTTCCCCACTCTCTTCCCCAGCTCCCAGGCCAGCACTCACCCATGGCCTTGGCGACCACGTTCACCTGCTTTGCGATCTCCTCCAGCCCCACACCAGCCTCAGCCAGAGCACCTGCCACCTGCAGCCACAAAGAGGTAAAAGCCCCAGGGGGGAGGGTATCACTGTACCATGTGGGGTAGAAGACAGGCAGGGGATGAATTTCTTGTTGGGAAGGGGGAACCTCAGGATTTTCACACTCAACCTGGCCCATCACATTTAGGGCAGAAGAGCAAACTCCCCTCATTCACAGTGTACCTGCCAGGAATCTTCAAGAATTCCAGTCTGTTGGAGTCAGAAGAGACTTTACAAATGGGGAAATGGACCCAGAGAGGGGCGGTGACTTGTCCAATGTCACACAGCCAGTGGGTGGCCAGTTTCCCAACTCTAGAGTTCCAGAGTTCTCTCTCCCATAGCCTTGCTATTTTGGGTCACTTTACCCATCTATCCATCCATCCATCCACCCAATTTTTACCAAGCATCTAGTATATGCTGAAAAGGAAAAAAGGCGACTAAGTCACAGTCTCCACCTTCAAGAACTCACAGCCTGGGGAGAGGCTAGGGAAGCAGATACCCATAAATTGAAAATTTATGTGAGGTGGTAATTACAGTGATGGAGTCCACACTAGGACTGGCTGCCAACCAGCTCAGGGTAGTGGGGAGATGGAGATCAGGGAGAGCCTTCCAGGTGGGGAGACATCAGAGCTGGGCCTCTGTAGAATGGTAGGAGTTAGCCAGGCCAAAAGGAGGCTGGACAAGGAAAGAATTTTCCAGGCCACAGATACTGCATAAGCAAAGCCAGAGATGATCCATAGCCTGGCAGGTACAGGAGCTGGCGTGAAGAGACCATAAGAGGAAGGCAGGGGCCGGGCGCGGTGGCTCACGCCTGTAATCCCAGCACTTTGGGAGGCCGAGGCGGGTGGATCATGAGGTCAGGAGATCGAGACCATCCTGGCTAACAAGGTGAAACCCCGTCTCTACTAAAAATACAAAAAATTAGCCGGGCGCGGTGGCGGGCGCCTGTAGTCCCAGCTACTCGGGAGGCTGAGGCAGGAGAATGGCGTGAACCCGGGAAGCGGAGCTTGCAGTGAGCCGAGATTGCGCCACTGCAGTCCGCAGTCCGGCCTGGGCGACAGAGCGAGACTCCGTCTCAAAAAAAAAAAAAAAAAAAAAAAAAAAAAAAAAAAAAAAGAGGAAGGCAGGGATGGCTGGGCGCGGTGGCTCACGCTCGTCATCCCAGCACTTTGGGAGGCCGAGGCGGGCAGATCACTTGAGGTCAGGAGTTCGAGGCCAGCCTGGCCAACATGGTGAAACCACATCTCTACTAAAAATACAAAAATTAGCCGGGCGTGGTGGCAGGCGCCTTGTAATCCCAGCTACTCGGGAGGCTGAGGAAGGAGAATCACTTAAACCTGGGCAGCGGAGACTGCAGTGAGCCAAGATCGCGCCACTGCATTCCAGCCTGGGCAACAGAGTGAGACTCTGCCTCAAAAAATAAATAAATAAATAAAAAATAAATAAAAGAAAATAAAAAAAAGAGGAAGGCAGGGATGATGGGAGATGAAGGTGGGGAGTCAGGGAGCTATGGTGAGGGCTTGTATTGATTGTAGGCACCCAAGAAGGCTTTCAGTGGATGAATAACCTAGTCAGATACACATTTTAAAAAGACACCTCTGGCAGTAGTGTGGAGAATGGATGAGCAAGGCCAGAAGGCAGGAAGCAGGCAGGGGAGCCCAGTGAGGAGGTGGCTGCAGCCATCAGGCATGAGTAGATGACCCCTGAACCAAGGCAAAGCAGGAGGGCGGGGTCTGAGAAGGATGTGTGTTGTACATTTGGGAGGAGAAGCACCAGGACCGGGCAACTGATTGGGTGTGGAGAAGAAAAGGGGACGAGTCTGGGAAAATGCCTGTATCTGGGCTTAGGTAGCTGAGGGGATGGCGGGGCCTTCTGAGATCAGGGAACACTGGAGAAAAAGAACTAGCTTCTTGGGGAAGGGCTGGAAAGGTCCAGTTACTGGGTGCTGCCAGGCAAGGGAAGGCTGGAAAGGGCTGGCCAGTCTCCACGTCCCCGGTGGAAGCCCACCTTGTGTATAAGCACCGTGCCGCACAGCCCCCGCCGGCCTGCCTTCTTCAGGACAGTGAAGGCGCTGTCGTCCCCAATCACCACCATCTCCACCGGGATGCCTTCAGCCCGGGCCTGCTCCCGGGCCAGGCCGAAGTTGAGCCGATCCCCAGTGTAGTTCTTCACGATAAGGAGCGTCCCCACTGCGGGAGCAGCCGGAAGGGCTCAGTGTGCTTACTGTGCCCTCCCTGCCGCAGCCCCTCCTGCATGCCAGGCTTACCTGTGCCGGCCTGGGCCACGGCCCTGATGGCTGCCAGGATGCTGCCCACTGCCGGGGAGGTGAACACAGCTCCCGCGATGACCCCAGTCAGCATCCCCTTCCCTATGAAACCTGGAGGTGGAAGGAGTGGAGTGAGCATGCTGGGTGGGACTCGCGCCTGTAGTCACTGGGGCTTCCCACACTCCGGGGGTCATGGTTTGGTGAGCCCTACTGTGTGCTTGGTGCTCAAAGATCCCCCAGGTCTTCACATGGCTGACTCCTTCTTAGGAGGCATCTTAGAGAGGCCTTCTGTGACCTCCCAGCCTGAAGCAGTCACCAGCTCCCTCCCCAGGGACTCACTGTTCCTTTGCCCCATTTTACTGTCTTTACTAAGTCACTTAGCACCCTCTGAAATGATCTCATTTACTTTCGTGTTTACTTGGTTATTGTCTGTCTCCCCTAAGTAGAATATAAGCTCCACGAGGGCAGGGACCTTGCCTGTCTGGTATCCCTAGTGCCCAGTACAGCGCCAGGTACACAGTGGGCTCATGAGTGTTTGCCAAATGAATGGATTTTGCTGAAGGAAGACAGGAAGCAGAGAAATGACGCGCATCCTAGTCCCTGCCCTCCAGCAGCCCTCAAGGAGAGTCTGCGTCCCTGGCTCCACACAGGAAAGAAGCCAGGACAGTCCACAAGTGGGACACAGCAGGTGGGAATTCAGAAGAGGGGTGCTGCTGTAGGCTGGAAGAGTCAGGAAGCCTTCATGGAATCGGGGTGGGTCTGCTGGGCTTGGAGGGTCCAGAAGATTCATGGAATCACCGACTCTCAGAGCTAGAAGGACTTGAGAGATTGTTTGGCCCAACTTCGTAGATTTGTAGATGTAGAAACAGATTCAGAGAGGCCGTGATGGGCCCCTGATCCCAGCCGGAGGGAGTGGGAGAGTGGGAAGTACCCCAGTTCCTGATTCTGGGCTGAGCTCCATCCTGCACTTCATGGCAGCACTAAGGATCCCCCAGGAGGCCCTGTCCACTCCACTAGTACCCCCTGCCCCACCCCAGGATACTCACCAGCATGGGCAGGCTCATGGCCAGAGCCCCCACCCGACAGCAGTGCCACCCGGCCCTTGAGGCTGTCCAGGTCAGAACGGAGGGCCACGCGGTGGCCCTGCAGGAGCTGCAGGTTGGGGTTGCAGGCCACCAGGCCAGCAAGAGCGTCATCAGCACAGCCAGCCACCGAGTTCACCAGCTTCTTGGAGGTCTGCAAGGGAGGAGTGAGAAGGAGGTCAGAATGTGGTCAGTACAGATACCCCCATCCTGCGCAGCCACACTGCTGTGGTGTAGACCCCTCTCCCGCATCCACCTAGGAACTCCAGGAGCACAGGACTTCCTTGAGTTGGGCGACATCTTAGGTGGGTATTTCTGTGAGTTTTCAGTAATGTGTGACTTTCTATTCAGTACCTAATTTATGAAGTGTCTTGCACCATACCTTCAATTTATTCTGAAAAAATGGCTGCAATACAAAGAAAATGGGGGAGTGGTTGCCTGCAGTGTAAAATATTTTAATAAAACTGGGGCCCAACACCTTCTTCTGTCAAAAGGAAGAAAAGCCTCAGGCTGAGGCTCCTATGCTGGGGGAGGAGCTGAGCAGGTTCCACAGCCACCGCTGCTCCCTGGTGCTCCAACGCGGGGCAAACATTTCCCCAGCCTCTTGGTATGCCAGGCCCAGCACTAGACACTATGTGTAGAGATAACAGCTCAGGTGCAGTGGCTCATGCCTGTAATCCCAGCACTTTGGGAGGCTGAGGCAGGCAGATCGCCTGAGTCCAAGACTTTGAGACCGGCCTGGGCAACATGATGAGACTCCATCTCTACAAAAAATATGAAAAATGATCCAGGCATGGTGGTGCATGCCTGGAGTCCCACTAGTCGGAAGGCTGAGGTGGGAGGATCACTTGAACCTGGGAGGTCATGGCTGCAGTAAGCTGTCATCGTGCCACTGCACTCCAGCCTAGGTGACAGAGTGAGACTCCATCTCGGAAATAAAAAAAGAGATAACAATGCTGTTCCTGCCCTCAGTGGAAACACAGCAGAGGTCACAGCCATGTGTAGTGGGCACTGCTACACGAGGAGCGCACGTGCACCATGGGAGCATAGAGGAGGGGCCGCAGCCTCCCGAGGGGCCTGGAGGTCTCTGGGAAGGATAAGCAGGACCGGGGTAGGGAAAAAGGGGGCAGGAGACATGGGAGGAGGGAAAAGGGAGGCTCTTCCAGCCAGAGGGGGAGCATAAGCCAAGGCCTGGATGAGTGAATAGTGTGGTGGTGCCAGGAAGCACGGGTGACCAGCAGGAAGGGGTGGGGAGGAGAGGACTGGCCACAGGCAGCCTCAGGAGGGGTTGTGGACAGGCTGGTGGAGGGTTACAGAGCAGTGCCGCCAGGCTTGGCTGAGTGGATACAGGGTGCAGACAGAAGTGAGTAGCGTGGGGGCCAGAATGGAGTGTGGCTTGAGCTCTGCTGTTACAGGGACTTGGGTTCAAATCCCACTTCTGCCTCTCATTAGCTGCAGGAACTCAGGGAAGATACATCATTGTCGGGAGCTAAAATTCTTCCTCTGTAAAATAGGGATTTACTAGAACAGAGTATATGCCCATGATATAGTGGAAACTCAATCAAATGAAGCTACTCCCTTTTTCAAACAGGCTGTGAAAAGCCAGAGTCTGCTGAACAAGGGCTGCAGCCCCTGGCTTTGTCCTGAAGACAGAGTGAGACTGGGGCCCAACGTGGACTCAGAGGGCTGGGCTCCCACCGCCACCTGGTGGCCCGGTGGGAACCTGCAGCTGAGCCAGGTCCTGGCAAGGTGAACTTCCGGCTGTGGCTTCTTCCTGAGCTTGCTAGCACCAGCTCCTTTGTACAAAATTTGGCTCTGCTGCCTCCCTGCCAACCTGTCCTGCATCCAGCCAGGGCCAGGGCTAAGCCACCTGCTTCAGAGTAGCCTAGGTCTGTAGGGAGCAAGAAGAACAATAAGATTGGTTCCATTTGCTGAGCAGTGACTAAGAGCCAGGCCCAGTTCTAAGTGTTTTTGAGCATGTCTCATTTAATCTTCCCAACAGGCCGGGTGTGGTAGCTCATGCCTATAATCCCAGAACTTTGGGAGGCCAAGGCGGGTGGATCACCTGAGGTTGGGAGTTCGAGACTAGCCTGATCAACATGGAGAAACCCCATTTCTACTAAAAATACAAAATTAGCTGGGCGTGGTGGCACATGCCTGTAATTCCAGCTACTCGGGAGGCTGAGGCAGGAGAATTGCTTGAACCTGGGAGGCGGAGGTTGTGGTGAGCCGAGATTGCGCCATTGCACTCCAGCCTGGGCAAAAAGAGCAAAACTCCGTCTCAAAAAAAAAAACCCAAACTAAAACAAAACAAAACTTCCCAACAGCCCTATGGAGGAAAGATGAGCCCAGTGAGGAAACTGAGGCACAGTTAAACTATTTTGCCCAAGGTCACACAGCCAGCAGGTGTCCAGGTCTGCCTGGCTCCAAAGCTGGTTCCCTTTTGGCCATATCATGCTGCTTTCTCGAGGGGCTGGAGGGAAGTGGAGGGTGACAGAGGTTGCCCTAGAAAGGACATGGGTTTGTGGCTCTCAGAGCCTACCAGGGACTGGAACACACAATGAAGTTGTGAGTTGGCCTCACTCCAAGCCCAGCCTCCAGCAGCACTACCCTCCAAGAAAGTGGCCTGCTCCCCATCATGATAATCTGTCTTTTACAGAGCCAGAAGAGGGTTTAGGGACCAGTGCTATCCCTGGTTTCAGTGGCCTGAAAGGATGGAAAAGGAAAGGAAGTCAAGTGAGGCCTCCAGGACTCTGCTTGATCAACACCACACAACCACTGGAGGTAGGCCTTAATTTGCCTTATAATGCAGATGAAGAAAAAGAGGCGCAGAGAGGTCTGTAAAAGGTCATGCAGCTGGTCAGTGGCAGGCTGAAATTTGAATCCAGATATGTTCAAGGCTTGTTTTGGTTCAAATCAGTGGGCCTGGAGCAAAGCCCAGGGACATGGCCAGCCTCCCACACTGTAGATCCCAGCTCCAGACCGGCCCACATAAGCCCCAAGGTTAGGAACGGTCACATGGTCATTCTTCACGATTCCTTCTGTGACCGGTACAATGTCTATTACAGAGCAGGTAACTGTTACTGTTTTACTCTGAATGCAAGACCCAGATAAGGGGCAGAGTGGCTCTGAAGGGACTCAAGAGGCTGCAGCCCCAGGCCTGGCTGGGACCAGCAGCCTCCAGGAAACAAAGAAAAGCAGGGATCAGACCCTGGGAGAGAGGATGACCCTCTCTCTTCACCCGTGAGCCTCAGGAGGCAATAGCATCTCTCAGTCAAAGTGTAAGGAGCTTTAGCTTGCCCAAGGCTGGGATCCTGCTTTGAGACCATGCTGCCATTCCCGTCCCGGCCCTGTATGACTCACCATGGTGTGGAGGCTCTGAAACAGGCTGAGTTCACACCGTTGCACTGAGCTGCTGGAGGATGGACAATCCTGTGCTACCTGGGTCTGAGTACAGTGGAGGCAGCAGCAGCACCTGCAGGAGTGGGTAACGATACAAGCTGCGGAAGGAACTCGCAGTCGACTGGCACAATCACGCCTTCAGCACCCTAGTAATTAGGGAGCTGCCCCAGACTTCGGTCCAAGTCCAAACTCTAGTACATGGGCTACGGATGGAGAAGAGTGTGGGGCTGACCAAGGTTCATGCCTGCACTTCACTGCCAGAAGACAGATCAATCCATGTCAAGCACAGGTCTGCCTTTATGTCCAGGAACAGCACCCACTTCATCACTAAAGGACAGTGATCCTCAGAATAACTATCTTTTACACGGGCATCACATGCAGCGAAAAAGTTAACAAAGCTCGTCACACGCTTGCCCTCACTGGCCTTGGCACCAAAAGGGAAGGGAATGGGGGGAGCTAGCCAGGTTTGTGACCCATTTTACTTCTGGGAAACAGACTCAGAGAGCTCTAGGGACTTGTCCAAGGTAATACAGGTAACAGCCAGAATCTAAACCAATGTCTAGTTTTTCTACAGAGTGTGTTTTTACTACTGATAATTCAGTGCCTCCAAAGTCAGGCAGAGTCTCTGCTATGGGAAAGGCAAGATGTAAACCACGATGACTTTCTAGCTTTTCCTCAGTTCAGCCTGGTTCAGCAGCGTGTTGGCCTCTGTGTGGGTGCACAATAGGAAGAATCAACATAGCTCTGCCTCAGCCTACTTGGGGTTGTGGGGAGGGTCTTAGGTAAACCAATTCCTCCCTAAGCCTCAGCTTCCTCATCTGTAAAATGGGGGTTGGCTCCTCTCTGGCATTCTGCGAGTGTGCCAAGCCACGTGGTATTCCTCTTGTTCCCGGGGAGCCTGTTTGATGTGGGGTACCCTGGAGGCTGCAGGGCTGACGGCTCTCCTGGCTCATTAAGGTTCCCTACGGAGAAATACTGGTTTTGTGTTTGAGGTTCGAATTTGTAGAGCAATAGGGGCACTAATAACGTTGGGCAAGCAGACCGGTGGGCCCTTTGAAGTCTGAAGAATCAACGCGCAAAAGGGAGGAGGTGAGCAGGTGGTCGTTCAAACGTCAGGCGAGGGCACCAGCTGGATCTGGAGGAACTGAGACAGTGAAAGGAAAGCAGGCAAGGTTCTAGTCTGGGATATGCACGAATCGCGGTCTCCCTTCCCTCTCTATGCCTCCGCAGTCCTTCCCGTTCCCAAAGGAGGAACAGCCCGAGGGCTCCTGGAGCAACGGAAGGAGGACTGGATGCGGGGAAGGGCAAAGGGCGCGGAACGGGGTGGGGAGTCTGCGGGCGAGCTCGGAGGACACTGGCGCACCTCCCCCGCCGGCTCACGGCCGCATCCGCCACATCCGAAGGCGCCGCGACTTCCCGGAGACCCCGAAGCGTGCGCTCTCATCCGGGTCCTGCGGGCGCTGGCGGAAAGAGGCGAGGCGGTGCCTCCGGGGGCGGGGCCTCCTTCGGTTGGCGGCCTCGGGCTTCGGGAGTCCTCCAAGAGGCCAGGTGAGGCCGTCCCGTGATGCCCCGCGCCCCGGCCGCTCTGGCCTGCAACGTGTCTCTGGGGCGGAGGCAGCGGCAGTGGAGTTCGCTGCGCGCTGTTGGGGGCCACCTGTCTTTTCGCTTGTGTCCCTCTTTCTAGTGTCGCGCTCGAGTCCCGACGGGCCGCTCCAAGCCTCGACATGTCGTACAACTACGTGGTAACGGCCCAGAAGCCCACCGCCGTGAACGGCTGCGTGACCGGTGAGGCTGCCGGGGCCGGAGACCCCGGCGAGTGAGGGAGTTGGGGGGAGCCGCGGCCTAGGGAGGCCCGCCGCCCCGGGGGCGGCCGGGCAGGAGTGGGCCCGGCGAATGGAAGGCGCTGGCGGCCGAGGAACCTCCCCCAGCACCGCGACCTCGAAAGAGTCGTCCCTGTACGCGCTTTTTGGGGGTTGGAAGCCGCTCTCGAGGGTCCCCTTTCGTCCTGGGGAGGTCATTCGGCCTCGAGAACAGGGCGGGCCCAGTGAGACAGAGGAGTGTGAGTTGGTTGTGCGGTGTCGTTTGGGCCCGGAGATTGGCTTTCTGTGGCCAGGAAAAGGGGAGGTGGTAATGACGACTTTGGGGTCAAGATTTTCCTGTGGGGAAGTCTGGGGGGCCCAGGAGGTGGAGGGATGTGAGGAATGCCCGCATTATCCCACAGAGGGAGAGGAGCCCTCTTCAGGCTAACCCCTTTGCCTGGGGCTGTTGTTTACATGAGGGCCCTGCTGGAGAAGAGGGTTTGGTTTGCCTGGCCCAGTGCTGGGTTTGCCTTGTTGACGATGCGCTTGGATTGTTAAGGACACCGATGTTCAGAACCCGGGAAGAGTCATCTTAACCCACATTCTCAGCTGAATATGCAGACCCCAAGCTTGCATGTTTATATACACCCTAATCATGATTCCAAAACAAAACTGTTGTTCAGAGTTGGAGGTAGCTGAGTGTGGATGGAGGTATTGGTAGACTGCCAGGAGGGCAGGGGGTGTGGACAAAACAGTGTTTTCATATAAAGCTCTGGGACTTCTTCATTTGACTTGGTCTGTCAGATAAAAGTTTTGTGAGACTTTAGATGAAGACTGGAAGAAGTGAACACTTTCTCCGGCATTCTCAATTAGAGCCTGCCACTGTAACTGTAATAGAGTAAAATTGGAGGGGCAAGAGGCATGAGAAGGGATTACGCAGTCATTGTCATTTGGAGGACACACGGCTCTTAGGTCCAGTCCAGTTTTCTTAGTCTGATTAGGGAAGTAGCTTTGTTGAATGCATGAACTGAGACTCTTTGAGGTGCCGGATTTGGCAAGAAGGGGAGTAGCTGGAGGGAGTTGGAGAAGTATGTGAAGTAAATGAGAATTCTGGAGGTATTTAGACATAAGTGATAGGATTATTTTGAAGGGATGGGAGGCCCTTCCCCTGAGTTCAAAAGTTAGAGGGTCTGTTCTTTCAGGACACTTTACTTCGGCCGAAGACTTAAACCTGTTGATTGCCAAAAACACGAGATTAGAGATCTATGTGGTCACCGCCGAGGGGCTTCGGCCCGTCAAAGAGGTGGGCATGTATGGGAAGATTGCGGTCATGGAGCTTTTCAGGCCCAAGGTAAGTGTTGCAGTTGGGACAAGCAGTGGAGGGGGAACTGTTGGTCGTAGGTTGTTTTATGTTATTTTTGTTTGTTTATTTATTTTCTTTGAGACGGGGGTCTCACAGTGTTGCCCAGGATGTCTTGAACTCCTGAGCTCAAGCAATCCCTCCACTTTAGCCTCTGGAGTAGAGTAGCTGGGGTATTGTAGGCATGCCACCGTGCTTGGGCTGTGTTAGGTTGTTTTGCGAATTCTTGGGATGGGTGGAATATGCTTTAGGAGAAAAACTCTTCTCTTTTTTCTCTCTTTGGATAGCAAATTTCAGTATGTACTCTTGACCAAGCTTTCTAGAAGTAAAAGGAGAGATTCATTAGGGAAACATTTATGAAGTTGACTTCTTTAGAAGGGAGAAATTAAAGCAGTTTGTTTCAGAGGATAGGCTACAGAGTGGGGCAGTCCTGGCTTCATTTCTTGTTAATTCTGACTTTAGGTGCCACTTAAGGCACCTTTCAGATCAAATCCCCTGGGTTGTTGTGACGATGAAATGATTCAGTAACATAGGGCCTATCATATAGCAAGCATTTACAGTTATGTTAACAATTACCAGGCCGGGCATGGTGGCTCACGCCTGTAACCCCAGCACTTTGGGAGGCCGAGGTGGGTGGATCACGTGAGGTCAGGAGTTCGAGACCAGCCTGGCCAACATGGTGAAACCCCATCTCTACTAAAAATACAAAAGTTAGCCGGGTGTGGTGGCACGTGCCTGTAATCCCAGCTACTTGGCAGGCTGAGGCACAAGAATTGCTTGAACTCAGGAGGCGGAGGTTGCAGTGAGTGGAGATGGCGCCCATTGCCCGGTGACAGAGCGAGACTCCATCTCCAAAAAAAAAAACACCAAACAAAAAAAACAATTACCATCAGTATTTTCATTATTTTAGCGCAAATGTTTTCATCCAAATCACCACCACATTGCTTTATGTTGTCTTAACTGAATCTGGCAAGAAAGCAGTGGGTTCAAAATTTTAATTATAACCCTTTGAACAAAACAGCAATTTTTTGGAGTCTGTGTTAAATAAGTAGGACTTTGTTGATCCATTTTAGCTTCCGTTGTTATTCCCACATTTTTTTTCCTCTTTCTTCAAATACTTGGGGAGGAGTGGAGGAGGCATTACATTCATCTTTCAGAATTTGAATGGGATGATTGAGATTAGCTTGAGATTGAAATAGATGAAGACTTTGTTTGTAGAACAGAGAGATGGAGAATCATGAAAGTGAGAACTAGATGTTTACCAGCTTCAGTTCTGGCTTTTTGTACATGCCCTTAGGGTGTATGTGTACCTAGTGTGGGTTACAAGCTCACCATGTATTTTCTCTTTAGGGAGAGAAGAATTTGGAAAATTCTTAAAGAATTTGGTGTGCTTAAAGACTGGACAGGTTGTTCCTGTTTTAAAAAGAACCTCTTTTGATAGCATAATATTGGTTTCCAGGGGGAGAGCAAGGACCTGCTGTTTATCTTGACAGCGAAGTACAATGCCTGCATCCTGGAGTATAAACAGAGTGGCGAGAGCATTGACATCATTACGCGAGCCCATGGCAATGTCCAGGTGAGGTGGCTGCTTTAGGCCAATGAAAGTTTTCTAAGTAGGGCTGTCATGATTCATGGAAAAAATTAAAGTGCTGGGGGCAGCTCTCTATTCGATCAGAGAAATAAGGAGAAGACACTATGGGTTTGAGCTTTTTGGAGAAAGGACTCCTGTAGTTCACTCAAGACCCAAGGGACAGGGTAATAATTCATTGAGATTCAGTGTTTCATGAAAAAGGCATGCACTGACATTGGGGCTCCAACTATTTGGCCTATCAAATAGATCCATTAGTTTTAATACCTCTCCTAAAATTTTTCTGCACAAGTGGTGCCCAGCGTCCTCTGTTGCTCTGTGGATGTTGAGGTTCTTCCCTAATCCCGATTTTGTTTCTCAGGACCGCATTGGCCGCCCCTCAGAGACCGGCATTATTGGCATCATTGACCCTGAGTGCCGGATGATTGGCCTGCGTCTCTATGATGGCCTTTTCAAGGTTATTCCACTAGATCGCGATAATAAAGAACTCAAGGCCTTCAACATCCGCCTGGAGGAGCTGCATGTCATTGATGTCAAGTTCCTATATGGTTGCCAAGCACCTACTATTTGCTTTGTCTACCAGGTACTGGATCAGGAAGAGAGAGCGAGAAACTGTGAGGTTGATGTGATAGGAGTTGTTTTTGCTAACTGGCATGTCTGGGTTTGGTAGGATAGAGAGAAGTGTTTAATGTGTTTGTCCTGAAATGTTTTGAACAACACAATTAATATGGGTCAGACTTTCGTTGCTTCTTGAGTGCAGTAGTACTTATTGTGGAGGCAGCAAGCTCTCTGGGGCTTGTAGCAGGTTTTAATCCTGAGATTACACTCTGGTTGTGGGCCTTGGGAGATTTCATAGGATGACCCAGTTTATACTTTGATTCTCTTACTGGAGTGCTAGGGGATTATTAAAACTTAGTTGTCAAGAAATTATCTAGATCTTGCCTTTATATTAAGCAAAGAGAAATTGTCTTGGTGATGCCTTATATGTGTTTTTTAAGAAGAGGTTTACATTTTGTCCAGTAATCACTTACTGGTGACTTGCTGGCTTATTTTAATTTTATTTTATTATTTTTTTTGAGACAGAGTCTCACTCTGTTGCCCAGGCCGGAGTGCGATGGCCTGATCTTGGCTCACTGCAACCTCCGCCTCCTGGTTCAAGCGATTCTCCTGCCTCAGCCTCCTGAGTAGCTGGAATTACAGGTGCATGCCACCACGCCCAGCTAATTTTTGTATTTTTAGTAGAGACGTGGTTTCACCATGTTGGCCAGAATCGTCTCAAACTCATGACCTCATGATCCGCCTGCCTCGGCCTCCCAAAGTGCTGAGATTTCAGACGTGAGCCACCGTGCTCGGCAACTTGCTGGCTCTTAACTTCTATTTTAGTCTGCCTAAAACTGTAGCAGAGCTGATCCTGGGCAGCTGTTCTCTGGTCCAGATCTGTTAAGCGGGGGTGGGGTGGTAGAGCACCAGACTAACATGCCAGTATCTTGGTAAAATCTCAGCCCTTTAACAAAGGGCCATGCAGCATAAGATCATTTCATTTGCATGTGGCTGAATAAGTGATGGAAGGAAATGATAGTCCAGTTCCACATAGAGTGTGTTGGCACATAAACAGTTTGATAGCCTTGTTATATGTTGGAGGTGCTGATATATTTTTGTATATTTCTTAGTGTTACTGTAGTTCTGAAGCTATTGGAATAAGACCCAATTGAATAAGGTTGAAACCAGGAGATTTTGTTTGATCTTACTTAGTATGAGTTAAAATAAAAACTTAGAATTTCTCTATGTTCTTTAGTTTTGTAATATTAGGTCATTAAAACTTTGATGTTGTTGATTATTCAAGGCTGGTTGTTCTAAGCTTCAGGGCTGCCAGCTGTGATCAGATCTTCATTTCTGCATGTGTGTCTCAGAGGCCCAAATCCACACTTGAACTTTTTGCAAAGTTGTGTCATAACCCTACTCATTGATGGGAAAATGTTTTCATCAGCCAAAAATTACTATCTTCTGTTTTATGCCAGAAATTCAATTTGACAAATATTTAGGTACTTAGTGCTATGTGAAAGGTATTCATGCTTCAGGAGCTGTAACAGTGACTAAGATGTGATCCCTGCCCTGAAACACATTGCTGAATTCCTTCCATAACTTCTTTGTTGAAGCTGTCTTCCACTGGCTGAGTGTAGCTTTCTTCTGGTCCCTGCTTTTTAGCATCTTAAAGGTGACCTTGGCAGTCCCAGGACTGACATGAGTCATAATTCAGAAAAAGGAGGGGAAGATGATGTTGACAATGGCAGGACTGAAAGTTTTGACAACTTTAGCGGAGCAATCAATTGTGTTCTCTCTACCATTATTCCATCAGAATGCTTTTAAGAATTGTATCAATTTAAAAAAAATCTCATAGGTGTAGCTTATCAGTGCGTGTTTCACTTAGCTGTTTTGTAAGTTTCTCGAGGCTAAGGAACACACACAGGCACACACACTGTATCTCTTTTTTTTTTTTTTCTGAGATGGAGTCTTGCTCGGTCGCCCAGGCTGGAGCTCAACCTTCGCCTCCTGGGTTCAAGTGATTCTCCTGCCTCAGCCTCCCGAGTAGCTGGGACTGTAGGCACGCGCCCCCATGCCAGCTAATTTTTGTATTTTTAGCAGGGACGGGGTTTTGCCGTGTTGGCTAGGCTGGTCTTGAATTCCTGACCTCAGGTGATCTGCCCACCTCAGCCTTCCAAAGTTCTGGGATTACAGGCGTGAGCCACTGTGCCTGGCACACAGTATCTCTTATAGTACCTAGTGCAGTGTGACAAGTTCATTTTTCTAATTCTTTAAACCTTTCTTGGTTGGTTGAATTGTTAAGAATGGTAGATCTCAGATGCTGCAGTCTACCTAGGAATTCATCCCAGGCTCAGCTAGTGCTTGTCAGTATAGTGATGGATAAGGGTGGGAGGGCTGACATGACAGGACTGTCAGATGCTGGGTAGTGGTGGCTTATTCCTTACAGCACCTCTCTCTAGCCCAAGGCTCACCCTTCCTAAGGGCTAACCATTTTACCTTTCCCCCCCAGGACCCTCAGGGGCGGCACGTAAAAACCTATGAGGTGTCTCTCCGAGAAAAGGAATTCAATAAGGGCCCTTGGAAACAGGAAAATGTCGAAGCTGAAGCTTCCATGGTGATCGCAGGTTGGTAGGGGGTTTAGGAAATGTGCCTCCACCTGGGTCTAGGCTAGTTCCCTGTTCTTGTTCGCTCCCTCACCTTCTCTGCCCTTCGTTTTGGCGCTCGGTATTATTGAAGGTGTGCATTGTTTACCACTCCTTTATGTTTTCTTTCTCTAATTGTGCTTTGTTTTTTTCTGTCTTTGAGATTTTCTGTTTTTCACTTCTCCCCCCAAAAGTATAACTTGTCTTTTACTTGGGTGGAGGGATTGACTATAAAACATTGAGATTGATTTGCACAGTGGCATATGGAAATGAGTCTCATTATTTTATTGCTGGGCATAACATTTAAAACTGAAAGGAAGCCAGGATCTATAGTCCCAGCTACTCAAGAGGCTGAGGTGGGAGGTTCACTTGAGCCTAGGAGTTTGAGTTCAGCCTGGGCAGCATAATGAGACCCCATCTCTTTAAAAAAAAAAACAACAACAAAAAACTGAAAGGGAGCAATAGAGCTTATCTGATTTCTTTACCTCATAGATGAAGAAACAGGGCCAGAGGGACCTGCCCATGCCTGTCCATGATTGACAAAGTCTGGGCTAGAATCCAGGCCTCTTCACTCCTTGTCCTAAGTCTGCCCCTACATTATGTTTGTCTCACTCAGTAGGGAAGTTTTAAAACTCTTAAGAGAAAATTGGCTCTTCTCAGTGGTAGCCCTGATAATGGGGGGAAGTTAAGCTAAGGAACAAGAGTGGAAACCAGGAAAAAAAAGTAAAAGCTTTTACTTGGAAAGGATTAGAAGTTGAGAAGAAAAATGGGGGAGAATGCATGGGGAAGAACATGGAGAAGACTCCCCACCCATAGGAATAGTCGAACACCAGAAGAGTGGCAGTAAAAATACTACCAGGATTAGATAATGGCCAGTTAACAAATTCTAAGAGTCTCGTAAAGGCTATCATGTTCCCTGGGCTTTGATGTCCTTTTTAAAATAATGATGACCTTAAAGTTTGCCTTGGGGCTAACTAGACCTGTACTTTTGCCAGTCCTGGTTTGGCAGACCCAGAGTGCTGAGCATTCTAATTTTGCTGTCTTTCCTGCAGTCCCAGAGCCCTTTGGGGGGGCCATCATCATTGGACAGGAGTCAATCACCTATCACAATGGTGACAAATACCTGGCTATTGCCCCTCCTATCATCAAGGTGAGCGCAGTCCTACCTTTTTTTCCTTTCATCTTTTCTTTCCTTGTCCTCACCTTGCTCCTCCCTTTCTCTTATTTATCAAAAGGAGATTCACAGATGCCTGTTACACAATTTACTATGTATATAAGGTATTGCGTTGGCCATTGGGAATACAGAGAGAGATTAGCCTGGATTTGCTTACAGAGAACTTGCTTGCTAACTTAGATAAATGATAATCAAAATAGGCTTCCCCTTTTCATTGACTGGGGCAACTTTTTTTGTCAAAGAGACAGGGTCTTACTCTGTCGCTCAGGCTGGAGAGCTAGAATGCAGTGGCATGATCGTAGCTCACTGTAGCCTTGAACTCCTGGGCTCAAGTGATCCTCCTGTCTCAACCTCCCAAGTAGCTAGGATTACAGGCATGAACTACCACATGGGGCAACTTTAAGAGGGGAAAATTTTGGCAGTTTCTTTTTTTTTTTTGAGACGGAGTTTTGCTCTTGTTGCCCAGGCTGGAGTGCAGTGGCACGATCTCAGCTCACTGCAACCTCCGCCTCCCAGGTTCAGGCGATTCTCCTGCCTCAGCCTCCTTAGTAGCTGGGATTACAGGCATGTGCCATCACGCCCGGCTAATTTTGTATTTTTAGTAGAGATGGGGTTTCTCCATGTTGGTCAGGCTGGTCTTGAACTCCCGACCTCAGGTGATCCATCCGCCTCAGCCTCCCAAAGTGCCGGGATTACAGGCATGAGCCACTGTGCCCAGCCGTAATTTTGGCAATTTCTATTGCATGTAATGTTTTCAGGGCTCAAGTCATATAAAGTAATATATTGATAAATTATAAAGGCTAAGAAAGTCAAAAATGTCAAGGACTTAGAATATCAAGTTGTAAAAATTAAGCCTTAAAAGTTTCATTTTACTTTCTTTTTGAGAAAAAAGAACAAAATCTAGCTGGCTACAGTGGCAAGTTCCTGTAGTACTAGCCACTTGGGAGGATGGCTTGAGTCCAGGAGTTTAAGGCTACAGTGCACTGTGATCATGCCTGTGAATAGCCACCGTACTTTAGCCTGGGTGACATAGAAAGACCCTGTCTTTAAAAAAAAGAACAAAATCTGTGGTAGCATTGCCACAGTGGTAGGGGGTAATTAGTGGTATTAAGAATAAATAACAACATTTGTAGTAGCATGCATAGTTCAGTAGATTTTGGCAGCAGCTTCCTATTCTGTGTATTTCTATTTTCCTGCAGAATGACGACATATCAGTAAACATATAAGATATATTGATGGAGCGCCTCAGAAAATTATCTTCAAAATAAAAAAGCTCCCCATTTTCTATTAATGGGCAATAGGATCTATCCTCATTTTCATGTAATGTTATCTGAGCGATTTGTCTGCTGGTAAAATGGCTGGGTTTGGTAAAGGGAGTGGTCCAGTAGGGTTTGTTTTCTGGTGTAGAAGATGCTGAATCTCTAATGACTGTTTCCTTCCAATTGGCAGCAAAGCACGATTGTGTGCCACAATCGAGTGGACCCTAATGGCTCAAGATACCTGCTGGGAGACATGGAAGGCCGGCTCTTCATGCTGCTTTTGGAGAAGGAGGAACAGATGGATGGCACCGTCACTCTCAAGGATCTCCGTGTAGAACTCCTTGGAGAGGTAGAGCTTGTTCTCCCTGTTCCTCTACAATGTTCTTTTAGGTTCCTAAAGACACCAAATGTGTGGTCCCACACCTCAACTCTGGGAATTATGTTACTTAACACCTAACAACAAACTGTTGTTCCTGCTGTGGAAGTTGACTGTTGAATGAGTTAGGTATTGGAGCATCTCACAGGATCCTGTGATAATCTATCCAAGCAGCCTGTGAGAAAAGGAAAAGAAAGGGAAACAGAAAAGGATATAATCTGGAATTAAAGATCAATCTAGCTGGTTTCAGTGGCTCACACCTGTGATCCCAGCACTTTGGGAGACTGAGTCAGGCAGATTGTGTGAGCCCCAGGAGTTCGAGATTAGCCTGGGCAATATGGCAAAACCCCATCTCTACAAAAAGTACAAAAATTAGGTGGGTATGGTGGTGTGTGCCTGTAGTCCCAGCTACTCGGGAGGCTGAGGTGGGAGGATCACCTTAGCCCGGGGAGGTCGATGTTGCAGTCAGTGAGCCATGGTGGTACCACTGCACTCCAGCCTGGGTGACAGTGAGACCCTGTCTCAAAAAAAGAAAAAAAAAAGATTATTGCTGATTTCAGTTCTGGGAGGAGGCTCCCAAAAAGTTTAATATTAATACTTAGGCAGTATCTTTTGGAGCAGGAATATGCAAGACAAATTATAGATTTTTCTGAGTGTAGGGATGCAATAGATGAAGAATCAAAAACTTCAGAGATTTAGAAACATTTGCTTAGTGTGACCTGGGAATTTGAAACAGAACTGTTCTGAATTATGGCTGCAGTTGGGAGTTTTCTCAGCAGATGTCTGAGATGTGGGTAGTATCTGGATCCCACGTAGGGTCCATTCTCATTTCTTTCACGTTGCTGACTTTCTTCCAGACCTCTATTGCTGAGTGCTTGACATACCTTGATAATGGTGTTGTGTTTGTCGGGTCTCGCCTGGGTGACTCCCAGCTTGTGAAGGTGAGAAGACACTTGTTTCTGGTTTCTTTTTTGCTGTACTCACTGTTTCTTCATCAAATTTCTCCTATGTTTGGCACCTCTCAGAATCTCTCCATTTTATCCACATCCCTACTATCCAGCTTTCTACTTGGTTAATTTAACATCCTACCCCTGACTAGCTCTTTGCCTTTGTGGTTCATTCAGCAAATTTGCCAGGCAAGGTGCTAGGTGCTGTGGATACATTGATGAACAAGACCCAGCTCCTACCTTCAAATAGGTCATAGTTTAATGTAATGGACTTCTTCTAGAATATGAAAACTTCGGACCTTCTCTGCAGAAAAATGCATGCAAACATTTTACATTAATTTTCAAACATTCACTACTTCTCTGAAATCCATCCATGGACTCTAGGTCAGCAATCCTTGGCTGATTAATGGGTCACCTGTGGGACAACCATATTCTTTCGTCAATAGTCCCCTTCTGGAATCATCCCTTGGAACATGAGAATGGCAGATCTAGAAACTAGTTATTGAGAGTTTCTTTTGGACAATAACCATCTCTTTTGGGTGGGTCTGTTAGGGTGTTCTAGGACTAACATAACATTGTTCTTTCTTATTAGCTCAACGTTGACAGTAATGAACAAGGCTCCTATGTAGTGGCCATGGAAACCTTTACCAACTTAGGACCCATTGTCGATATGTGCGTGGTGGACCTGGAGAGGCAGGGGCAGGGGCAGGTAAGGGCCATTCTGAAAGTGGATAGTTGGTATATGCCCACTCAAACTGTGTCCTCCTAGCTATGCTTATCTAGAATGGGGAGGGTGCACTGAAAATACTTTTAAGAGCCCCCTCATGAATCCCAGTGATATAAGGATAACTACTGTTTATTGAGTGCCTATCTTGGTCTGCCAGGCACTTTATATACATTATCTCTAATTACACAAGTACCCTAGATAGGGATATTTGGCCATCTCAGAAGTGAGGAAAATTAGGGCTGAGAAAGATTAAGTAACTTTTTCCAAAGTCACCTAACTTAATAAGTGGCAGGTGTATCTAACAGATCCTGTGCTCATTCTAGTAAACTAGGTCCCAGCGATCTAAGCAAGCTTGCTAGGAGCAGTGGTAGAAGCTTTTTGCTTCCTGGACTAGGATGTCCTGTCTGCTCTGTAAATTTGAAAGACTTTGGAAATCAACCTCTGCCAAGTCTGCATCCTCAAACCTAGCCCCACAATAAAGGTTCTTGGATTTAGGTATACCGTGTTTACTTTCTGGGCATCAGTATGACTGGCCCAGTATCTTGAGGGGGTTCTTTAGAAACGTTTTCTCTGCTTGCAGCTGGTCACTTGCTCTGGGGCTTTCAAGGAAGGTTCTTTGCGGATCATCCGGAATGGAATTGGAATCCACGAGCATGCCAGCATTGACTTACCAGGCATCAAAGGTAGCTTTTTTGGTGGGCATAGGATGTAGATCTTACATGAGGGACTTTGGCCTTGTTACATGTTGTGAAGGCGTTTTGGTGGGAGCCAGAGGAAAGCAGATCAAGTGAAGAGTGAAAGTCGTAACAACAGATCAGAAGCTTAAACATATCTGAAAGTATAAAAGTAAACTTTAGAAAAAAAAAAAAAAGAAAATACTACTGATCAAAATTGGTAGTGGAATAGAGGACTAGGGGATTAAAAGATTATAAATTAAAATTAATGTTGTTTATATGAGGCAACCGATAGAATTCATAAAGAAAGGAGAGACTGAGGATATTTTATGAAGATATAAGTATAAATGTGGTTTCTAGATAAAAAATATAAATCTTCCTAAATTCCAGGAGAATTTTAATAAAAAAAAGATCAGAGGCTAGGCGAGGTGGCGTGGCTCATGCCTGTCATTACAGCACTTTGGGAGGCCAAGGTGGAAGGATTGCTTAAGCCCAGGAGTTTGAGACCAGCCTAGGCAACGTAGACCTCATCTCTATAAAAAAAATTAAAAATTAGCCAGGGGTGATGGTGCATGCCTGTGGTTGCAGTTACTTGGTTCTAGCCTAGGTGGAAGATCACTTGAGCCCAGGAGGTTGAGGCTGTAGAGAGCCATGATTGTGCCACTGCACTCTAGTTTGGGCGACAATGAGACCTTGTGTCACCAAAAAAAAAAAAAAGAGAGGCTACACAGTGAAAGACATTTAGAATGTATAAGCGTAACCTAAAACAGTATGACAGAATTGATATGGAACATAGCTGTCATGTCAGTAAATGTAAATGTCCTGTTTGAGGACAGCATAATCAGATTAAATCATAAAACAAAACCACCTTAAAGTTGTATATAGGAGGCACATCTTTAAAAGAGTAATTCTGAAGGTAGGTGCAGTGGCGTGTGACTGTAGTCCTAGCCACTTGGGAGGCTGAGGCAGGAGGATTGCTTGAGTCCAGGAGTTTGAGACCAGCCTGGGCAACATAGCAGGATCCCATCTCAATTTAAAAAAAGGAGTAATTCAGAATATGAAAAAAAAAGTATGGGAAAAGGTCAATAAAGAAATAGAAGTATGGCCAGGCATGTTGCCTGACACCTGTAATCCCAGCACTTTGGGAGGCTGAGGTGGGTGGATTACCTGAGGCCAGGAGTTCGAGACCAGCCTGGCCAACATGGTGAAACCCTGTCTCTACTAAAAATACAAAAAATTAGCCAGGCATGGTGTGGGTGCCTGTAATCCCAGCTACTCGGGAGGCTGAGACGGGAGAGGCACTTGAACCTGGGAGGCGGAGGTTGCAGTGAGCTGAGACTGCGCCACTGCACTACAGCCTGGGCCACATAGTGAGACTCCATCTCAAAAAAAAAAAGAAAAAAAGAAAAGAGAAGTATATGAAATTGCAAAGGAAGAGATCATATAACTACAAACCCAAGATAATCAACTAAAAAACTACTATAGACAATACAAATTCACTAAGATAGCAGGATGTAAAAGTAATGTACTGAAATTAATAGCTTTCATGTAAACACAGTCAATTAGAAAGCATAGTAGAGGAAAGGGGGCAATTTACCATAACAAGAAAATGATTAAGTACCAAGGAGTACATTTAACAAAATTGTGCAAAACCTATACAAGGAAAACTTAAAGATACTCCTGAAGGAGGAAAAGAACAAGTTGATCAAACGAAAAAGACACACCAAGTACTGCAAATCAGTATTATAAAGCTGTTCTCTCTTTATATTTAATGTACCTGAATATGTATACAATGTTTCCTTGACTTAGACAAGTCCAAATGGAAAAAGGAAGAAGCAGGCATAACCAGGAAAACTTTAAAAAGAGCAATGAGAGGCCGGGCGCAATGCCTCATGCCTGTAATCCCAGCACTTTGGGAGGCCGAGGCGGGCAGATCACAAGGTCAGGAGATCGAGATCATCCTGGCCAGCATGGTGAAACCCCATCTCTACTAAAATACAAAAAATTAGCCGGGGGTGGTGGCGCGTGCCTGTAGTCCCAGCTACTCGGGAGGCTGAGGCAGGGGAATCACTTGAACCCAGGAGGCGGAGGTTGCAGTGAGCCGAGATCGTGCCACTGCACTCCAGCCTGGCGTCACAGCAAGACTCCATCTCAAAAAAAAAAAGAAAAAAAAAGAAAGCAGTGAGACATGTTAGCCCTACCAGATACTGAAGCATACTGTTAAGCCTCTATAATTAGAAGTGTAGTATTGCTGATGAATAGGCAGAGTCTAATGGGCAGATTCAGAAGTCCAGAAATGACATAATTACATGTGGAAATTCAGTGTATGATAGTGGTGGCTTCTCAGTTCAGTGAGTAAAGTTGGGACTTTTTAAATTTTTATTTGTATTCATTTTTTGAGATAGGGTCTCACTCTGTCACCCAGGCTGGGGTACAGTGGCATGATCACGGCTTACCATAGCCTCAATATCCTGGGTTCAAGAGATCTTCTCTATGTCAGCCTCCCAGTAGCTGGGACTCCAACCATGCGCCACCACGCCTGGCTAATTTTGTTTGTGTTTGGTAGAGGTAGAGACAGGGTCTCCCTATGTTGCCCAGGCTGGTCTCAAACTCCTAGGCTCAAGCGGTCCTCCCGCCTTGGCCTTCTGAAGTGCTGTAATCACAGGCATGAGCCACTGAGCCTAGCCTAAAGTTGGGACCTAATAAATGGTGTTTTTGGGATAATTGATAGTCATTTGGGAAAAGACAAGTTTGGGTTCATACTGCCTGCCAAATGTACACTTGGCTAGAATCTAAATGGTTGAAAAACTTAATGTAAAAAAATGAAGCCATAACTATGACTCAAAGTACAGAAGCCAAAAAGAAAGATTGATAAATTCCAACTATATAAAAATAAAACACTTCATAGCAAAAGCAAAACAAAACACTATTAGGTAAGTCAGAAGAAATGACAAACCAGATAAAAATATTCTGTAGTTCATCTTATAGACAAAAGGCCCAGTCTTCCTAATTTATAACATATTTATAGAAAGATCACTAAATTTTCTGTCCCCAAACTAGCAAAGGACATGAATGGACAGGCAACAGTCCTGAGAAATGCACATTAACACCAAACAGCAGTACTCTACTAGATGACCAAAATCCAGAAGTTTGACCACACATTATGTTGGTCGGGCTGTGAGAAAATAAACATGCTTGTGCATCCTCTATAGAAGGGAATTGGGCAATATCAAAGACAGCAGTTAGCGATTTACTTAGTAGTCCCAGTTCTGAGCCTCTACCTGACCTTTATATGTATAAAGTGACATAAAAATACAAGCTTATTTCTTGTGGCATTGTATGTTATAGCAAAATACTGAATAAATATAATGAGAAGGGATTTGTTAATCTGCATAATTTAATAATTATAGATAAATGATTTACACAATTAAATACTGTGTTCTGATAAGGGCTTCAAGCATATATTGTTCAATGAAAGAACAAGGTGCCAAATAGTGCATGATAGACTATTTTATATTTGCATTTGTTTGTAATACTCTATTTCCTTAAAGTAAAAAAAATTAAGCTTAGTGTTGCATAGTGGGCCTGTAGTCCTTACTGTTCAGGAGGCTGAGGTGGGAGGATCACTTGAGCCCAGGAGATCGAGGCCAGACTGGAGCAACATAGCAAGATCCTCCCACACCCCATCTCTTTACCAGAAGGCTAAACAAGATGCCTTTATTGATTACTTGTTTGGGGGATGGGTTGGAGGGAGGTATGGGAATGAGACTTTTCTGTGTACTTTTAAAAAATAAATTTAGGCTGGGTACAGTGGCTCACACCTGTAATCCCAGTACTTTGGGAGACCGAGTGGGCAGATCATGAGGTCAGGAGATCGAGACCATCCTGGCTAACACGGTGAAATCCTGTCTCTACTAAAAATAGAAAAAATTAGCCAGGCGTGGTGACACGCACCTGTAGTCCCAGCTACTCAGGAGGCTGAGGCAGGAGAATCGCTTGAACCCGGGAGGCGGAGGTTGTAGTGAGCCGAGATCGTGCCATTGCACCCCAGTCTGGGTGACAGAGCAAGACTCCGTCTCAAATAAATAAGTAAATAAATAAATAAATAAATTTAGACTTTGGGTCATGGAAATGTATATCCAATCCCAAATTTAAAATAGGCTCAAAACAGCTTTAAAATTATCTAACTTTTGGCCCGGCGTGGTGGCTCACGCCTGTAATCCCAGCACTTTGGGAGGCCAAGGTGGCGGATCACGAGGTCAGGAGATCGAGACCATCCTGGCTAACATGGTGAAACCCTGTCTCTACTAAAAATACAAAAAATTAGCCAGGTGTGGTGGCGGGCACCTGCCTTCCCAGCTACTCGGGAGGCTGAGGCAGGAGAATGGTGTGAACCCGGGAGGTGGAGCTTGCAGTGAGCTGAGATCGGGCCACTGCACTCCAGCCTGGTGACAGAGCGAGACTCCGTCTCAAAAAAAACAAGCAAACAAACAAAACAAAACTATTTAACTTTTTAGAGCCTTAAAACCAAGAAGGAGCAGAGAGGGGGTTCCAGCTCAGGACTCCATGTTCCAGCCCTTCCAGTGGTGTCAGGCTGCCATGTCTATATATATATATATATATATATATATATATATATATATATATATATATATATCTATCCTTTTTTTTTTTTTTTTTTTTTGAGACAGGATCTTGCTGTGTCACCCAGGCTGGAGTGCAATGACATGATCATAGCTGCAGCCTCTTTCTCCTAATCTTAAGCAATCCCCCCACCTCAGCCTCCCATGTAGCTGGGACTATAGTTTTGTGCCACCACACCTAGCAAGTTCTTTTGTATTTTTAGCAGGGACAAGGTCTCTCCATTTTGCCCAGGCTGGTCTAGAACTCCTGGTTCCAAGCAGTCCTCCTGCCTCTGCCTTCCCAAGTGTTGAGATTATAGGCATGAGCCACTGCCCCTGGCCTGCCCTGTCCGTAGATATGCATGCTAAGTGTTGGTCTGTCCTATGCATCTGAATCCTTGGTCCTTGTTCCAGGATTATGGCCACTGCGGTCTGACCCTAATCGTGAGACTGATGACACTTTGGTGCTCTCTTTTGTGGGCCAGACAAGGTAAGGATGGGTCTAGTGCCAGCTGTAGGTGCTGGTGAGAAGGTTGTGAGGTGGGGAAGCTGGTCCCAGGCTGACCCAGGCCCTCCATTCTGCTGCAGAGTTCTCATGTTAAATGGAGAGGAGGTAGAAGAAACCGAACTGATGGGTTTCGTGGATGATCAGCAGACTTTCTTCTGTGGCAACGTGGCTCATCAGCAGCTTATCCAGGTGATAACTGAGAAAGGGGCAGGTGTTACCATATACTTGAATTGACCTAGATGCAGTACAGAGCACCACTGGATTTTAAAACAACCAATTTTTATGGCTCCAAAAATAATGTAAAAATTCTAGGGAAAAAATTACAGATAATCCACTACTCAGAGATCACAACTCTTAACCTTAGAGTTGCTCCTTTTAGCTTTATTTTTCTTCTGCAAATGTCTGTGTATTTATTTACATTTTCTTTTATAGACTCGGGTCATTATATATATAAACATAAAAATATAGTTTCGGATCCTATTTTAGCACTAATTATATCTTCCGAGACACTCAAATTTTTTCCCTTTGTTAAACTAGTGATACATCCTTATTTATAAAATTAGAAAATGCCAAAATGCACAAAAAAAGAAAAAATCATGATGCTACCATCCAATATGACTCTTGGCAGCCCTTTCCACATACTAATTATAACCGAAGCTTACCCTATTCTGATCCTTACTTTCAATCTATCTGCAATACGGGGGCAGATAGCCTTCTGGCATATTGTTATCCACGAGAGCCTCATTTCTGACACCCTTCCACCCCTCAGCAATTTTTTGAAGTTTGGAGTGACCCTGACATCCTTCAGCTTTTAGCACTCTCTCCTTACCTTCTGAGCTGTTCTTCACTCTGTGGCCAGAGTCTGTCTTGCCTTTGGTGGGTAGGGCACTGGAGTGCCTAAGGATTAATGAACTGTCTCTGTCTTTTTATCCACCTGGTTTTCCTTTTAGCCACCTGGCAGTGGTAGATTGGTAAAACCGGAGGGAAAGTTCTGTCAGTTTGCAGACCAAGTGTGGGACGTGCCCAGATACTGAGTCATTGCTTTGTCAGTGTTATCTAACTATTGGCCTGAAGACTGGCACCAGCTCACCTATTTATTATTAAAGAGCTTTCATCCTTATATATAAACTCAATTGTGCTAGGTAAGATGAATGAATAGATAACAGTGTCACCAACCTACTTCCTGTTTTATTTCAGTGATAAATTTATACAATATATTTCTATACAATTTTGTAATCTTTACTAAGGAACTTTAAATAATTTAAATGGCTCATACACAGTAAAGAACTTAGATATTTTAGAGGTCTGATTTGGGGGTTGAGAAAAACTGCTAAGACTGGTGGTCACAGTCAACATGGTGGCTCACGCCTGTAATCCCAGCACTTTGGGAGGCCAAGGCAGGTGGATCATGAGGTCAGGAGTTCAAGATCAGCCTGGCCAACATGGTGAAACCCCATCTCTACTCAAAAAACAAAAGTTAACCAGGCATGGTGGCATGCGCCTGTAATCGCAGCTACTTGGGAGGCTGAGGCAGGAGAATGGCTTGAACCTGGGAGGCGTAGGTTGTGGTGAGCTGAGATTGCACCACTGCACTCCAGCCTGGGCAACAGAGAGAGACTCTGTCCCAAAAAAAAAAAAAAAAAAAAAAAAGCCAAAAAACTGGTGGTCACAGGGTCTTACTCTATTCATATCTTCCCACAGGATGCAGTTTGTATTACCCAAGTAAGTCTCAATTAGAATGAAATAGGCCTTTTCCCCACCAGCTGTAGGTTTGTAAGCTGTAAGCTACTTTTAAGCTGGCCTCCTTCAGGCATTCATGCAAAAATGACATCTATTGTAATCATTAGCAGGACTTTGGGGAATAAGAAATAGAAGCCTCATGTAGCTTATTCGTAGGGCTCTATTAGGGCTGCATTTACCACCTTTCCACTCCTGTGTGGACCCTGGCAGATGCTTGGAGACATTTGTTCATCTGCTGTTTATCTAGATCACTTCAGCATCGGTGAGGTTGGTCTCTCAAGAACCCAAAGCTCTGGTCAGTGAATGGAAGGAGCCTCAGGCCAAGAACATCAGTGTGGCCTCCTGCAATAGCAGCCAGGTGGTGGTGGCTGTAGGCAGGGCCCTCTACTATCTGCAGATCCATCCTCAGGAGCTCCGGCAGATCAGGTGTGTGTGTTTTTCTGTCTGCTCGCTTTCCTCCTCTTTTCTCTAGGACTTCTTTGAGCCTTGGATTCCTTCCTCTGCCATATTCTTCTTTGTTCAGCCACACAGAGATGGAACATGAAGTGGCTTGCTTGGACATCACCCCATTAGGAGACAGCAATGGACTGTCCCCTCTTTGTGCCATTGGCCTCTGGACGGACATCTCGGCTCGTATCTTGAAGTTGCCCTCTTTTGAACTACTGCACAAGGAGATGCTGGGTGGAGGTATGTGTCATTTAGGGACCTGGGTTGGGACAGAGTCAAAATGTGGAACAAGAACATAATGTCCCCCTTTCTCACAGAGATCATTCCTCGCTCCATCCTGATGACCACCTTTGAGAGTAGCCATTACCTCCTTTGTGCCTTGGGAGATGGAGCGCTTTTCTACTTTGGGCTCAACATTGAGACAGGTGAGAGTAGTATTTTGAGTGAGGGACTCTTTCAAAAATAGAGTATTAGAATTACACAGAATTCTTAGTCCCAGGGTTCTGCTTTTGAACTTTCACAGGCCAGCTTTTTGTCCTGTTTTCTTTCTTCCTTTCTCCTGATGTCATTCTCTCTGTAGGTCTGTTGAGCGACCGTAAGAAGGTGACTTTGGGCACCCAGCCCACCGTATTGAGGACTTTTCGTTCTCTTTCTACCACCAACGTCTTTGCTTGTTCTGACCGCCCCACTGTCATCTATAGCAGCAACCACAAATTGGTCTTCTCAAATGTCAACCTCAAGGAAGTGAACTACATGTGTCCCCTCAATTCAGATGGCTATCCTGACAGGTGAGTCTCTTTTTCCTTATTTAATGAGAGCTATTGATTGAGGGGGTCATGATGTTTTCCTCAAACCCTTACCTCAAAGCCTTTTTCCGGTGTCAAAATCATAACTGAGATGGGAAGTATAGTGCAGAGGTTCTCAAAACTGGCTACCCAATAGAAACACTTGGGAAGTTTTTTAAAACTACAGGATTTTTGGAATCCTCAGTGGGTCTGAGGTTGAGCTCTGGAATCTGTATTTTCAGAAAACTTATCAGGTGATTCAGATGACTGTTTCATAATCCCTAATTTAGAGATCATTTTGTGTCCCTCTAGAGCAGGAATTCTCAAAGGGTGTCCCCAACCAGCAGCTACAGCATTACTTGGGAACTTGTTAGAAATGCAGATTCTCTGGCTGGGCATGGTGGCTCACACCTGTAGTCCCGGCACTTTGGGAGGCCGAGGCAGGAGGATCATTTGAAGTCAGGAGTTTGAGACCAGCCTGGCCAACATGGTGAAACCTTGTCTCTAATAAAAATACAAAAATTAGCCAGGTATGGTGGTGTGTGCCTGTAATCCCAGCTACTTGGGAGGCTGAGGCAGGAGATTCCCTTGAAATTGGAAGGTTGCTGGGTGCAGTGGCTCATGCCTGTAATCCTAGCTCTTTGGGAGGCTGAGGTGGGTGGATCACCGGAGGTCAGGAGCTCGAGACCAGTCTGGCCGACATGGCGAAACCCCATCTCTACTAAAAATACAAAAGTTAGCCGGGTGTGGTGGCAGGCACCTGTAATCCCAGCTACTCAGGAGGCTGAGGCAGGAGAATCACTTGAACCCAGGAGGCAGAGTTTTCAGTGAGCCAAGATCCCACCATTGCGCTCCAGCCTGGTGACAAGAAAAAAAACTGTCTTAAAAAAAAAGAAACTGGGAGGTGGAGGTTGCAGTGAGCTTAGATTTCACCGCTGCACTCCAGCCTGAATAACAGAGCTGAGACTCTGTCTCAAAAAAAAAAAAAAAAAAAAGAGAGAGAGAGAGAGGAAAGAAAAGAAAGAAATGCAGATGCTCAAGCCCCACCCTGACTCACAGAATCAGAAACTCTGGGAGGGGGCCCAGCAGACTGTTTTGACAAGCCCTCCAGCCAACTCTGACACAGGCAGTAGTTTGAAAGTCACATTCCTGGAGCGTTGATTTTTTTAACTGGTTGCACATTATCATTAAATGGAAAGCTGTTAAAAATCTCAGCCTAGGCTCACCCAGACCAATGAAATAAGAGTATCTTGTGGATGGGACCAGGAATCAGAATTGTCTGTCTCTCCAGGTGATGTTTAGCATGGAGTCAAAGCTGGTGTAATCCTGCCTTGTTTTTCTTCCTCTGTGGAGTTGCCTCATAGAATCTTTGCCTTCCTTGAGTCTCCTCAGTCTAAACCCAGACCCTTCTTTCCAGCCTGGCGCTGGCCAACAATAGCACCCTCACCATTGGCACCATCGATGAGATCCAGAAGCTGCACATTCGCACAGTTCCCCTCTATGAGTCTCCAAGGTGAGGCCCAGGGTGGGAGAGTGGGAAGTGGGGGTTGGTGTAGGGTGCTTCTGACTTTCTAAGTGACACTGTTGTTCTGTACTTGTTCTGCAGGAAGATCTGCTACCAGGAAGTGTCCCAGTGTTTCGGGGTCCTCTCCAGCCGCATTGAAGTCCAAGACACGAGTGGGGGCACGACAGCCTTGAGGCCCAGCGCTAGCACCCAGGTAAGGGCAGTGGACAAAGAAAGATGACCTTAGAGCAGGGGCCAGCAAGCTTTCTGTACAGGCCAGGTAGTGAAGGCTTTCGGCTTTGCAGGCAGTGTGGTCTCAGTTACCACTGACTGTTCAACTTTGCCATCGTAGCCTGAAAGCAGCTGTAGGCAACAGGTGAGCATAGCTGGCTTCTATAAAAGTTTATTTTTAAAAAACAGTTCCTACTTGGTGGCCTTGCAGCATCTGTCACCATCAGTTTGGGTCCTTTGTAGAGTGGTCGAATAGAGGAGGAACATGGGGTTTGGAGTCCGACAGAACGGGCTTCCAGGTTTGTTTGTTTGTTTTTTTTTTAAGACAGAAACCAGCTTTTCAAAAGTGCCTACTGGGTTTATGTTATGTTATGTTATGTTATGTTTTATGTTATGTTTTATGTTATGTTATGTGTTATGTTTGTTATGTTATGTTATGTTATGTGTTATGTTATGTTATGTTATGTTATGTTATGTTATGTTATGTTATGTTATGTTATGTTATGTTTGTTATTGAGACGGAGTCTCACCCTGTCGTCCAGGCTGGAGTGCAGTGGCACGATCTCGGCTCACTGCAACCTCTACCTCCCAGGTTCAAGCGATTCTCCTGGCCCAGCCTCCTGAGTAGTTGGGATTACAGGCGCGTGCCACCATGCCCAGCTAATTTTTGTATTTTTAGTACAGATGGGGTTTCACTGTGTTGGCCAGCCTGGTCTCGAACTCTTGCCCTTGTGATCTGCCTGCCTCGGCCTCCCGAAGTGCTGGAATTACAAGCGTGAGCCACTGTGCCTGGCCTGGCTTCCAGGTTTATTGCTAGCTGTGTGACCTTGGGAAAGCCTAAACTTCAGTTTTCTTATCTGCAGAATGAGGCAGATAACAGTCTGGAGCTACACATACTAGGCTCAGTGGTGATACCAGCTGGTCATTTTCTTCCATGTATTCTCTGCCTTTCATGTTTCCACATATCTGCGATAGGACCTCCCTCCGTAGTCCAGAGTTGAAGTCTTCATGGCTTCTGTTTTTATTTGAAGTGCCCCCCTCCTCTTCCCATTGAGGGTAGTGGAGTCTGTCCCCATTAGGTCACCTGAGTTCCTTTTTAGCTGTGCTTGATTGACTTGAAGCATCACTGTTTTGTCTTTAATGACCCTTAGATTTTTACTGTTTGGGATTGATGTTTCAACTACATGCCTCCTCTGAAACACTCTCCTCAGGCTCCTTGAGCTGCCAGCCATCAGAGTTCTTGGCTAGCTGCAGCCTTTGTGTCCTGATCTGACGGGTCCCTTCACAATGATGTCTCAGCACTTCTTCTGTGTTTGAGAAGGATGATGTGCATTCTCTCTGTTTGCAGGCTCTGTCCAGCAGTGTAAGCTCCAGCAAGCTGTTCTCCAGCAGCACTGCTCCTCATGAGACCTCCTTTGGAGAAGAGGTGGAGGTGCACAACCTACTTATCATTGACCAACACACCTTTGAAGGTGCACATGAGCTCTTTCGATAATTTTTATCTACGCCCTCCCTAATCCAGGCTGTTCTGGGCTCTGGTACCTGCAAAGCCTGACAGATGTGGCAGACTGTCCTAGGAGGAGCAGAAAGGAGGGGTGGGAATTCTGTGAGATGGCAGTGAGTTTGGAGGGCTGGGCATCCTCTCCTTAGCTTAGGCTGGTGGGGGATGGATAATCTGATGAGACAGGGACAGCAGGTGGTACACGCTTTGTCACTGCCTAAGCCACAGGCCTCAGAAATACGGGGTTATGTGTGCGTGCAGATATGGGTAACCTGTCATCACGTAGTCATCTCTCTACTCTCTAGTGCTTCATGCCCACCAGTTTCTGCAGAATGAATATGCCCTCAGTCTGGTTTCCTGCAAGCTGGGCAAAGACCCCAACACTTACTTCATTGTGGGCACAGCAATGGTGTATCCTGAAGAGGCAGAGCCCAAGCAGGGTCGCATTGTGGTCTTTCAGTATTCGGATGGTAAGTGGGCGCAGTCTCCAGTTTCTGAGGGATGTGAAATGCTGAGAAAGTCAGCAGGCCATTGTGAGGTTTCAGAGAGCCTCAGTTAAGCAGTAGAAGAAGTTGGGTTCATTGCTGTAAAGAGCTATTCTCTTCTTTATTTGATTGAATTTTGGAGCATGTGAACAGTACACAGTAAAATTTAGCTTACATTTCTTTCTTTGCTACTCTTTGAAAGGCCAAAAGAACAAAAGGGAGGGGTGGGAGAAGTGAACGATGGGTAAGGGAATCTAGTGACAACAGGTATAAAAATTCAGAATCTTAGGTTTGTTTTCCACTTGGTTGCTCAGGCATTTAGGTGCTCTTTCCAGCTTCAACTCTGTGTTTATATTTTAATATCTTTTCTCGTTACACCCACCCAAGATGGCTCTAAAGACTATCAGCCCGGAAATCTCAGATCAGATAGCTGAAATGGGATCTGGTTTCCATCTTGAGAGAGAGATCTAGAGTTTCAGGGCGAGGGGGCAGATCCTAGATACCAACTGGATTTCTCTGCACATTATCTTGGGGCTCATACTTCACGTGGTCATTAACTCCAGTAGATACTGAGTCTGTGTTGTTTTTTTAGATGAGTGGTTTTGGGGGGCAAGAATTTGTACCACAGGGGCAACCAGAGGATTCTTTTGATGAGGTAAAGTGTGGGCTCATAGAGACTCAAACATATTTTTTCCACCCCCAGGAAAACTACAGACTGTGGCTGAAAAGGAAGTGAAAGGGGCCGTGTACTCTATGGTGGAATTTAACGGGAAGCTGTTAGCCAGCATCAATAGCACGGTGAGGCCTGGACCACTTGGTACTTACTTTAGGCTGCCCATCATTGTCTGCAGAATGTGTCTCTCTTAGGTTGTCTGGGGCCACGTGTGTGTCAGATCTGAAGGAGAACAAAGTAGCGGGTGTGGAGGATAGAGCTCTGAGTTGAGAATCTCGGAAACTGAGGTTGAACCACGCATTAGACTAGGTTACGTGAACCCCCATGTGTTTCAGATCCTGAGTGCTGTGGGACTTGAGAAACGAGTGAGACCTATGGTCCCTGCACGTAGGATGTTCCATGCCAAAAGAAAATGAGCCAAATCAGAATATCCTGAGTGCATTCCTGAAAGCTAGTCCTTTGAAATATTCCACTGCTTATGCCATGACCCTACCTCCTCCCTTGCTAAAAAGTTTTTTTCCATCTTTATTGAGGTATAGTTGACAAAAATTTTGTATATCGAAAATGGACAACTTGATGTTTTGGAGTAGGGAGATAGCAGCAAACAAAATGGACAATGAGCTGCCCTTTTGGAGTTTATGAGCAAATAAAGTACATAGTACGTGAAATGGTGAGAAGTAAAAGGGGTGCAGGACTGGAGGAATGCCAGGATGAATGTGGGAAGTGGGGTTTGCTGTTTCATATCACATGGTCGGGAGGGTCTTGTGGATACACAGTGGCATTTGAGCAGATTCCAAAATGAAGGGAGGTAAGAACCCTACCTGTGCTTGGGGAAGACAAGTGCAAGGGGTGGTAGGTCATAGGTGAGAGTGGGCGGGCCTGGTGTCTGTGGGGACTGAGCTGGTGTTCTGGTGAGAGATGAGTCCAAGGGACAGCCAGGGGCCAGAACGTGCAGAGCCTGGTAGGCCATATCAGGGTTTTATTCAGAGCATGATGGCAACCTCTGGAGGGTTTGAGCAAGGGTTTGAACATGATTGAACTTGTATTTTCAAAAGGTCATGTTGCTTCTCTGGAAAGACTGTAGGGGAGCAGGGGTAGAAGCAGCGGTATAAGAGGTCAGTTAGGGGAGGCTCTTGTAGTAATCTGGATGCATTCGGTGGTTGCTGGGACCAGGTGGTGATGGAGGAGAGGAATAAGAGTAGTCACATTCTGCTTATGTTATGAGGGTAGGATTGAAGGACTTTGGTGATAGATTGAAGATGAGATGTGAGAGGCAGAGGAATAAAGGGTCGGGTTTTGGCTTTGCCATTTACTGATGGGAAAGATAGTGCAGCAGGTTTGGAGTGGAAACCAGAGGTTCTGGATATACTCAGTTTCAGTGGTTATCTAAGTGGAGATGTTCACTAGATAACAATGAGAGAGGTATGGAATCCAGGGAAGAGGTACACTGGAGATACTAGCATGGCAGTTAAAGCTGAAAGTCTGGATGACATCACCTAAGACCACCCATGTGCTGAGAGCCCATAGAGACAGGATCTGAAGATAGCCCTAGGAGCTGTCCAGCATTTCAGAGATAGGGTGAAGATCCAGCCAAACAAAGGGTGACTTGTGAAGTAGGAGGAGAACCGAGAGAATAGTGTTCTGGAAGCCATGGAGAAAAAGTTATCTGAAGCAGGAGGGAATTGGTAAACTCCAAGTGTTGCTGGCAGGTCAGGTAACATAAAGATTAGTAACATGGAAGTCAGTGGTAAACTTGATCAGAGCTCTTGGTTGAGTGGTGGGGCTAGAAACCTGATTGCAGTCGCCTCAGCGGAGAGTAGGAGGAAAGGAAGCTGGTACAGAAAACCCCTCAAGGAGTTTTGCAGTAAAGGACAGAGTGATGTGGACAGTGAAATTTCAGGATAAGAATTTTCTGTTTTTAATTTTTCAAGCTGGGAAACACTGCTGCATGTTTTCTATGCTGATGGGACTGATGTTAGAAAGAGAGCCATTGTTCTTGGCCAGGCAAAAGGAGGTGGGATCTCAAACCGAGTGACAGAGAAGGGAACAGATGTGGAAGTTCATGGAAATGCCCTTTTGGCTGTGTCTCTGTTCTCTGTGAAATTGCTGAGAGAGAAGATGGGAAGGAGGTATTGGCAATTTGAGTAGAGTGGAAAAGGGATGAATTCATTGTTTTAGGACCAGAAGAGTGAGAGGAGTAGGAAAATGCATTATTTCTGAGAGGTTTAGGAACCCCCTTTCAGTTAGTCGTCTTGAATGTAAAAGAACAGTCATCCTGTTGGTTGGTTTTCCTTACCTGGAGTGGAAGATGAAAATTTAATACAAGTCGAGTTTTGTTAGGTGAGCATGAGAAAGGGGAGAGGGGTCAGGGCGTTGGAATCTGCAAGACAGTTATTATGTGATTATGGTGGTGGACTATGAGCATCTGAGAAGAGGCAGAGCGGAGGACACGAGATTCAGGAAGAGTGCAGTTACTTGTAATGCCAGGCTTTAAGAGGTGGTCATAAGAATGGACAAAGTAAGTGGGAAAGAAGGGGTCAGAAAAGCTAAGAGGTGAGGGTATTAGAAGGACCTTCTCTGTGAATATTATAGTCATCAAGACTTATAGGAGGTTGTGTGGGAGAGAGTGATGGGTGGGTTGGGGATTCAGGTGACTGCTTTAGTGGGTGATGGTGGTTGTGTGGTCTGGTGGTGTGAGCCTTAAAACTGTGGTGTTTCAGGGGAGGGAGTGACAAGTCTGAAAGAGCAGACGAGGAGCTTGGGAGACTGTGCTACCTCCTGTTCCAGTGCTATGAGGGACAGTGGAAGAGAAAACAGACAAGTTAAGAGGGCCACAAGGCCCTTAGGAAAGAGCCATGGATATGAGTTAGAATGAAGTGAAGGGTTTGCCCAGAGAAGTGGCTGTCCATGGTTAATGACTGTGTTCCAGAGGGTGCAGTGAGTGGGCACAGGGATCAGGAGGGTGGAGGGTGGCATTTGAGGTCAGGTGAGGACATATCTGTTCTGTTGCCAGCCAATAGAAATATTATATGAGCGATGTATGTCATTCTGAATTTTCTAGTAGCCACATTAACAAATGCAAAAAGAAGCAGGTGAAATGAATAAGGTATTTTATTTAACCCAATATCTAAAATATTAGCATTTCCACATGTAATCAGTATAAAAATGCTTATTAAGATATTTTACAGTTTTTCATACTAATAATTCAAAATCTGGTGTGTATTTTATAGTCAGAACACATCTCAACATGGACTAGGCACATTTCAAGTGTTTCATAGCCATGTGTGGCTAGTGACTACCATATTGGACAGTGGAAGTCTACAGCCTTTTGGGAAGAGAATGGGAGTCTTGGCCTTCTGGTGGTGTCTGGCTTTAGTCTTGACTCTCTCCAAGGCGATGGGGAGGTTGAGAGTGTGGAGAGAGAGTGGTGGCAGGTGTTGGCAGGAACATGTGGAGCTCTGAGGCCCCCCGCTTCACTCTTTCTGTTGGAGGTGTGGAGGCCCAGCAAGGTGGGCTTACCTGAAGACGGGGCACTCTGGAGGTACCTTTTACCCTGTGATAGAGGTGTGGTAACCATAGTATGTATGTATGTGTTTATTTATGAGATGGAGTCTCACTCTGTCGCCACGCTGGAGTGCAATGGCGCAGTCTTGGCTCACTGCAACCTCCGACTCCCTGGTTGAAGAGATTCTCCTGCCTCAGCCTCCCGAGTAGCTGGGATTACAGGCACACGTCACAATGCCCAGCTGATTTTTATATTTTTAGTAGAGATGGGGTTTCACCACGTTGGCCAGGATGGTCTCGATCTCCTGACCTCGTGATCCGCCTGCCTTGGCCTCCCAAAATGCTGGGATTACAGGCGTAAGCCACTGCGCCCCGCCAACCATTGTAATTATTACAAATGATTCTTGGAATATATTCCTGTGTAGCTAGGGTTCTTTGGACAAATCTTGAGAAATTGTGGTTTGATTAATATGTTCTGCCCAGGAGTTTCTAGATGTGCAGAGGCCATGGGGATTATCTGGATCCTGAAGGATCTGCCAGGGGAGGCTTGTCAGTTCAGATGGGTTGAGTCTGTCTTCTTTAGCACTGGGCCGTGCCAAGTAGCTCTCCATTTGTCTACTGATGATAAAGCATTTTCATTCTTTTGGAGATGTGGTTGTAATTGAAGAAGCACTGTGGTGGAGACAGAAAAAAGCAGTTTCTTTTTTTTTCCTTTTTTTTTTTTTTTAGGCGGAGTCTCACTCTGTCCCCCAGGCTGGAGTGCAGTGGCCCCATCTTGGCTCACTGCAAGCTCCGCCTCCCAGATTCGCACCATTCTCCTGCCTCAGCCTGCCGAGTAGCTGGGACTACAGGTGCCCGCCACCACGCTTGGCTAATTTTTTTTTTGTATTTTTAGTAGAGACGGGGTTTCACCGTGTTAGCCAGGATGGTCTCGTTCTCCTGACCTCATGATCTGCCCGTCTCGGCCTCCCAAAGTGCTGGGATTACAGGCGTGAGCCACTGCGGCCGGCTGCACAGTTTCTTTTTCCCTCTTGCGGGGTGGTAGAGGGTGGCTGTAGAATCAAGTTCTTCAGGTTCCTTTAGTTATTTGTCAATGTTTCTGTTGGACTTTTCTTTCTTTCTTTCTTTCTTTTTTTTGAGACAGAGTCTCGCTGTGTCGCCTAGGCTGGGATGCAGTGGCATGATCTCAGCTCAGCTCACTGCAACCTCTGTCTCCTGGGTTCATGCAATTCTTGTGCCACAACCTCCTGAGTAGCTGGGATTACAGGTGTGCGCCACCAAGCCCGACTACCCACATTACTGTTTCCTTTACGTGGACTCATTTTTTTATGTAAAGGAAAACTTGGGAAGTTTTGTATTCCTGGTTTGGTGTGTTCATTGTGTTTTCATATTTCATAAATATGTAATAGTGAAATAATAAATGTTCACCCCAGTGCCTCATAAAACCGTTTCCTGTCCCGCATTGCACTTTGAGAAGTAGTGCTGCAGATGAAGGGTCGAAGAGTTGGGGGGAGTCATTCTGAGAGAGCTCTGGCCCCTTTGGCTGAGAGAGACAATGCCCTTCCCAGGTGCGGCTCTATGAGTGGACAACAGAGAAGGAGCTGCGCACTGAGTGCAACCACTACAACAACATCATGGCCCTCTACCTGAAGACCAAGGGCGACTTCATCCTGGTGGGCGACCTTATGCGCTCAGTGCTGCTGCTTGCCTACAAGCCCATGGAAGGAAACTTTGAAGAGGTGATGCTGGTGGGGGGATGCGAGCAGACTTCTTGCTTGAGCCACCGCCCCTGCAAGTGTCTCTGGTGGGGAAGGATAAGCCAGCCCAGTATTAGGGGCAGAAATGTTTTCCCCGGAGCAGACATTCTACATTGATTAAGTTTTTTTTTTTTTTTTTTTTTTTTGAGACGCAGTCTGGCTCTGTCCAGGCTGAAGTGCGGTGGTGCGATCTCGGCTTACTGCAAGCTCTGCCTCCCAGGTTCACGCCATTCTCCTGCCTCAGTCTCCCAAGTAACTGGGACTACGAGTAGCTGGGACTACAGGCACCTGCCAACACGCCTGGCTAATTTTTGGTATTTTTAGTAGAGACGGGGTTTCACCTTGTTAGCCAGGATGGTCTCGATCTCCTGACCTCATAATCGGCCCGCCACGGCCTCCCAAAGTGCTGGGATTACAGGCGTGAGCCACTGTGCCCGGCCCTGATTAAGTATTTTTAGAGACTCCCAACTCAAACTCTGACTAGGCTCCATCTCTGGGCAGTTGGCAACCAAATGGGCTGCGTTGGCAGAGAGGTCGGGGAGAATCCCTCTAGGGTGACACTTGTTGAACACCATGCTATATCTTCTGCAGGGTGGGGCCTTGCTCCTGAATAAAGGAAACACAAGTCCCAGAACTGGATTCCGTGCAAACTGCTGATTATGCTTTCTTCTTTCACCTTGTCTGTTTTAAGATTGCTCGAGACTTTAATCCCAACTGGATGAGTGCTGTGGAAATCTTGGATGATGACAATTTTCTGGGGGCTGAAAATGCCTTTAACTTGTTTGTGTGTCAAAAGGATAGGTGAGTAGTGGCCAGCTCTGGGAGTGGTGGGGAGGGCTGGGAGTTCCTTGGTCTCTGGTGGATGCAAGCATTGGGTTCTGTGTCAGGTTCAGGTGCTCCTGTTTACAGAGATAGAACTTTCCTCGTCAGAGAATAAAAGGTGACAGAAATCCACCTCTTTAGACTGGCTCCCCTACTGTGGAGTATGTCAGCTCCCCAGGGAAATTGAGCACCGTGACCACTGCACGTGGTCCTGTCTCAGGGCCTGTGGTGGAAACAGGAGGTTCAGAAAGTGACTTTCTTACCGCCTTTCAGCGCTGCCACCACTGACGAGGAGCGGCAGCACCTCCAGGAGGTTGGTCTTTTCCACCTGGGCGAGTTTGTCAATGTCTTTTGCCACGGCTCTCTGGTAATGCAGAATCTGGGTGAGACTTCCACCCCCACACAAGGCTCGGTGCTCTTCGGCACGGTCAACGGCATGATAGGTAAGGTCACCCCTGTGGGGCACACCCCCACACAGGCCTCCTTCCTGATACCAGCATTCTGAGGGACTGGGGAGAGCAACTGTACAAGACCTAGGTGTTTACTAGAGGAGGCTGCAGCACATTAGCCCTCCCTGAGCTGCTCACCTGGGCTGCCCTTTACGTAGAGGATACATGCTGTGGGGTTGAGCTCTCTGCAGCTCACTGCCTCCTTCACTTCTTCAGGGCTGGTGACCTCACTGTCAGAGAGCTGGTACAACCTCCTGCTGGACATGCAGAATCGACTCAATAAAGTCATCAAAAGTGTGGGGAAGATCGAGCACTCCTTATATCCTTCCCAGAGCCATCCCCTTGCTGGGAAGCACATCCCGGCATATGTGGCACACGGAGTCACATTACCCGGAAGCTACTACATGTCTTGATTAGGTTCCTGTACAGAACAGGTTTTTTGTTTTGTTTTGTTTTTGACTTTTTCATGTGGAAAATTTCAAACATACACAATAGAACAGTATATTGACTCCCAAAGTACTTATCACCTAGCTTCCGCTGGTCCATCTTGGAAATGTACATTTATATTCCTGAAATGTGTCCGCCTCTGGCCCTCTCGGTGTAGCAGGCCAAATGTGAATTTAGATCACAACACAGGAGCACATCCTTTCAGGGATTTGGTTGAGGGCAACAGTGTCTGAGACTAGAGAAACTACCAGAAGAAAGGGAAAGGTGAAGAAGCGGAAAACACTGAAAGAATCTGCCACCCTGGGACCCCCAGAATCCAAGTGCTATTGGAAGTTTGTGTAGTACAGGAGATATAAAGGGCCCTCCCCGCCCCCCTGGAGGTGGGAGGAGCTCCTGTCTGTGACTCTGGCCCTGCTCTAGCCAAGGAGGGCTGATGGGCTGGTTTATTGGTTTTTTGCTAACAAGACTTTTGGCAGCCTTGTCTCACTGAGTCTCAGTTTATTCATCAACGGAGCTGCTGCTTTTATTCTTCTTCTTCTTCTTTTTTTGTTTTAATTGGAGGTGGGTTCTTGCTCTGTTGTCCAGGCTAGAGTGCAGTGACATGATCATGGCTCACTGCAGCCTTGACATCCTGGGCTCAAGTGATTCTCCCATCTCAGCCTCCCGAATAGCTGGGACTGTAAGCACGTGTCAGCTCACCTGGCTAATTAAAAAAAAATTTTGTTTTTTGTAGAGACAGGAGTTCATGATGTTGCCCCGGTTTGGTCTTGAACTTCGGGACTCAAACGATCCCCCTGCCTCAACCTCCCAAAGTGTTGGGTTCACAGGCATGAGCCACCACCACACTGACCCCTCTATGGAGCTTTGAGGCTAGACTTAGGTGGTTCTTGTGCATCAGCTTTGCCTAGAGCACTTTTAAAGAACTTCCATACATATACGGGCTTCACATTAATAGACTCTGATCTGTACTTTTAAAAACTATTTTGAAGATCACCCCAATTGAGAACCAATTAGATTAGGTCATATTTTTACATTTTTTTCAATTCCAAAAATGTCCAAATAAAAGCAAGGCGAAAGGAAGTGTCATTTCCTTTCTAATCCTGATGATTGCTTTAGATTGTGGTCTTATTCAAAGGTGGGGATGACTGAGGAGGGTGTTTCCTGATAAGCACGTGTTCCTTAACTCACCCATCCACCTGGAGATCCTTTCACACCGAGCGGAAGACAGAACCAGCCACAGGTTTCATCGACGGTGACTTGATTGAGAGTTTCCTGGATATTAGCCGCCCCAAGATGCAGGAGGTGGTGGCAAACCTACAGGTGAGCTGTGTGGTGTTTAACCCTGGGCCAGACAAGTCCACTGCAGGTTGGGGCATGCCAGGAGACTGTCTCTGGGCACCTCTCCTCCTCAGTTCCAAGATGCGAGGGGACCTCTGTGTAATCCTTACCAGATGGAAGGTGGAGTCTGAGGGAAAAGAGATGTTTGTAGTTGTGGCTCGTGGGTACCCACTAGGTACCAGATGCTGTGCTAGTAACTCTACCCATGTTAACCCCGTCCTTGAGCAGTGAAGACATATCTGGGATCTTTAGCAAGACCCAAAGGTGGGAGGCAGGGTCAGGATCCCGTAGGGAGGAGAAATGGCCACAATTCTGGAGTTTGGGATATTGCTCACTGGAGATGGTGTCTCGGGGATAGCAGAAGAGGGAGAATCTTGAAGAGGGAGAAATAGACCAGGTGGTGTCCTTGCTGACCTGTGCCACCCAGGGGGAGGCGTGGGTTTCTGGTGAGTCCTTCCTCTGCCATGACAATGGTGGAGTCTTGTGCCTCCTTCACTGGGGGCATTCCCTTCCCCACCTGTGGGAGAGCACCCTCTTGGTCCTCACAGCCCCGCCCATCTTCTCATTGCAGTATGACGATGGCAGCGGTATGAAGCGAGAGGCCACTGCAGACGACCTCATCAAGGTTGTGGAGGAGCTAACTCGGATCCATTAGCCAAGGGCAGGGGGCCCCTTTGCTGACCCTCCCCAAAGGCTTTGCCCTGCTGCCCTCCCCCTCCTCTCCACCATCGTCTTCTTGGCCATGGGAGGCCTTTCCCTAAGCCAGCTGCCCCCAGAGCCACAGTTCCCCTATGTGGAAGTGGGGCGGGCTTCATAGAGACTTGGGAATGAGCTGAAGGTGAAACATTTTCTCCCTGGATTTTTACCAGTCTCACATGATTCCAGCCATCACCTTAGACCACCAAGCCTTGATTGGTGTTGCCAGTTGTCCTCCTTCCGGGGAAGGATTTTGCAGTTCTTTGGCTGAAAGGAAGCTGTGCGTGTGTGTGTGTGTATGTGTGTGTGTGTATGTGTATCTCACACTCATGCATTGTCCTCTTTTTATTTAGATTGGCAGTGTAGGGAGTTGTGGGTAGTGGGGAAGAGGGTTAGGAGGGTTTCATTGTCTGTGAAGTGAGACCTTCCTTTTACTTTTCTTCTATTGCCTCTGAGAGCATCAGGCCTAGAGGCCTGACTGCCAAGCCATGGGTAGCCTGGGTGTAAAACCTGGAGATGGTGGATGATCCCCACGCCACAGCCCTTTTGTCTCTGCAAACTGCCTTCTTCGGAAAGAAGAAGGTGGGAGGATGTGAATTGTTAGTTTCTGAGTTTTACCAAATAAAGTAGAATATAAGAAGAAAGGTACATTTGTTTTTGCTTTTATTCACCCTGCCCAGCTATCCAGGACTCCAGGTTAACTATTCTTAATTTACTGCGAACTTAGGCAGTATCCTCCCTTTTATGGCAGTTGTTGCATTCACTTGCCCTTGCTGTTAGAACAGCTCTTTTCAAGTAGTGAAAGTGAAGACATCTATACCTCTTCTTCATCACGTGATTGTTTGATGGGATCCCAAGGATGATGGGCTTAGAAATTCACTGGTCTTTTTGGTTGTCCTTGACACCATTTGATTCTTACTTGCCTCTGTCGGTAACCTGCTGGGCCTGGGGGTTGCCTGGACTGCCTTTCCTGGTTTTATAGCCAGCTCTGTGTGCAGTGTCCAGTCATCTAGCCCCCAGGCCACCTAGTAGCTCCTCATGTACCTCCCAGCTGCTTGTTGCCACATGCCCTTTGGACCCTCATTTTGTTTCCTCTGATCTAATCAAGTGAACCTTTGGTGCTTTTGGTTTGAGAATACAGCAGGAGTAGGGCACATATGGGATTCACTCTTCTGTCTGGCAAACAAAGCCTGTCTTCTTTTCAGCTTGGTGGGCCAATGTCTGGGACCACGTTTCTCTCAGTGATCCGGTGGGAAGAAAGGCTGCTCTGTCCCCACGGTGGAGTAGGGTTGATACTAGGCATATTGGTGGCTCCTTTAAGACCAGCCTTTGATACAGTGTCAGGAAAATTGTGGTTGCAAGTTCAAATTGTGGTTTTGAGAGATTCTAGCTTAAAAAGAAAAGAGCTAAGAAGCATCCCTGGTTTGAGGGTCTTCTGGAGGAAGTTTCCTTCCCTGAAGGAATTCCTTGTGTTTTATTACCTTTTTTTCCCCTTACTCTTCTGAGAGTTCTGCGGGTGGGGGATAAGGGTCTTAACAAAAAATAATCAGCCTCTCAAAAACCACAGGTTGAACTGGAAACCCAACACTGTGATTTGAATTCTAGAAGTCATAGTTTGAATTTGAAAGGGCCTGCCCCCCTGCCAGAGGCCAGCTTTAATGAGGCAGGCAAGCAACAGTCTCCACATTGTGATTATTTTAAAAATTTAATCCTAGATGGGAGCGCTGACTATAAGGTGTCATAATCAGAAAGACAGAATGTGGTGGGATGATCATTCTGGGGCACTTTTGTGGTCTGACCTGCAGCTGCTGAGACCTGCTATTGAGAAGAAGGTTGTCAATGACTTGTCTTGAATTTGGAAGCCTGTGGAGTCCTTGCTATGTTTTGCTGATTTTTTGTTTTGTACACTCTTGGGTGTATTCACTCGGGATTGAATTCCAACTTTGGAAACTGATGTTCTGCTGCCATACTCCCACATCCCCTCTTAAACACCATTAATCACCTCTCTAGGGGTGAAAGGTTGTCTTTGGAGCGTGGCTGTAGCCAACTGGAACAGCTCCATTCCATGTAGGCGCTGATGAACTAGCATCACTCCAGGCCTCTGCACGAAGGGACCTTTGGGAGAATAATAGAAACACTGACTCATCACATGACCATTTGAAGGGATCACAAGCCAGAGGCTGTCATTCTGCAGCCAACAACAACTTGGATCCTCCACCCTCGGTGGAGGGTCCCTTTTGTTACTGAGAAACCACAAGCCACAGAAGTGGGAAGAAACACAGGAACTGCAATCAAGGGATATGCCCGAACTAGTCTTGAACAATAGTAAGTTAGAGACTCTGTGTCCAAACTGAGAAACCTCAGGGTCAAACAAAAAGACAAGAAAAACAAAAACCAAACTAAAGGGGAAAATGTTGATAGGAGCAAGGTGAATGCCATAAGGTCACAGAAACTTTATGGGGAAATGAAAGAAATGCCAGGGGCAGTTTGGACGTTGTTTGGAGATTCACTAACAGGAATTTACTGTGTACTAAGTATCCTAAATTCCTTAGGGTAGATGTGGGTTTTCTTCAAGCACAAAGTTGCATCTCAGCTATTCCAGCTGCTCATTGGCCAATATGGAGCAAACTCTGCCAGGGAGTGAGTTTTACAGGGTGAGGTGGAGCAGGTGGGGCTCCATAATGTAGCTAAGAACAGAGGTAGCTGAGGTGTGCTGGAGTGTGAGAAGATGGCATGAAATATGGAAGCCATGTGGACACTTGTTCTGTGTATGCCTGTTGAAAATTTGGGTAGCTCCCCTAGGGCCAGGAAAAAAGAGCACCTATTTGACATTGGTGGTTTAGGGGCAGTGGAGGGGGAAAGTGTAACCTTCAGATGTTTGGGGCAAGAGAGAAAGATGCCTTAGGATTCCGAGGGTCCTTGGGACTCAGAATGGATATGACGGAAATTGCATTCATCTTATGTTACAGAATATTTTGGCTCCTACTTGTTGAGAATATGTTGACAAGAAAATGGGCCAAAACAAACAAGGTGAGATACGGCCTCAAGGTGAATGTCTGCAAAAATGTAGCCACAAGCCGGGTGCGGTGGCTCACGCCTGTAATCCCAGCACTTTGGGAGGCTGACGTGGGTGGATCATTTGAGGTCAGGAGTTCAAGACCAGCCTGGTCAACATGGTGAAACCCCGTCCCTACTAAAAATACAAAAATTACCTGGGCATGGTGATGTGCGCCTGTAGTCCCAGCTACTCGGGAGGCTGAGGAAGGGGAATTGCTTGAACCCGGGAGATGGAGGTTGCAGTGAGCCGAAATCGTGCCACTGCATTCCAGCCTGGGCGACAGAGAAAGACTCCATCTAAAAAAAAAAAAAAAAAAATGGGGCCACACAGCTTCAGGTAGGGAGACCACTTGGCAGCTTGTGTTTAAATAACATAAAAGCACAACAAAAAATGCCTGCTTTTTTTCGTTCTTTTTTTTTTTTGAGATGGAGCCTTGCTCTGTCGCCCAGGCTGGAGTGCAATGGTGCAATCTTGGCTCACTGCAACCTCTGCCTCCTGGGTTCAAGTGATTCTCCTGCCTCAACCTGAGTAGCTGGGAATACAGGCGCCCGCCACCATGCCCAGCTAATTTTTGTATTTTTAGTAGAGATGGGGCGTCACCATATTGGCTAGGCTGGTTCTGGAACTCCTGACCTCAGGTGATCCGCCCACCTCAGCCTCCCAAAGTGCTGGGATTACAGGTGTGAGCCACCGCGCCCGGCCACCTGTGGTTTTTCTTTACTGCAAACTCAATGTGTCATAATTAACATCATGGGGTTGCCAAAAACGTAATATTAGGGTGCATTAGTAAAAGTATGGTGTCTGCAGGAAGGAGGCACGAGTCCAGGCCACCGCTGGTACGCCATGTCCATTTGTGGCCACCAATGTTAAGCACCTCAGTAAAGGCAGAGGTAGCAGGAAGGCCAAAGGAACAGGGATTGTTCAACTGGGAAGTGAAGACACTTTAAAACAAATGTGGTTCAAAACTGGATTGGGCCGCTTCTTAACAGATAGTGAGTTTCTTACCCCTGGAAGTATTTAAGCAAAATCTTGACTAATTGTGGGTGGCTAAGGGAAAGATTACTGCATGGAGCAGAAGGTAAAATCAGTTATCCTTTCAGCTTTCTCCCAGCGGGATGATTTTGATTTCCGCACCCCTTCTTTGCCTAAATCCCTAGGCAGCCCCCCAGTCTCTGACCACGGCCTGGGGCAGCTGCAGAAGGGGCAAAGAGGAGCCTTCCAGATCTGCTGCTGCCTCTCCACTGCCAACGGCGCCAGCTGCTTCCTGGTCTTGCCACCAGCAGTCGGGAGGCCGGCCATCTGCCCCCTGGGTGCCCAGAGGAGCCCGGGGCTTCAAAAGTGGCTAGGGCCCCAGGCCAGGGAGCGGTTGGACCCACAGATCAACGCACTCCGGCGTTAGGGTGCAGACCTTCTGGCAGGCTGGGGGCAGGCCTAGAACTGCTCAGCGGCACAGCGACCTGGCGTCGTGGGTTCGAATTTCCACGGTTCCCACCTCGTCACAACAAGGCGTCTCGGGTCCCACCGACAGGGGCCATGCCCGGGGCGCGCAGCCTCTGGTGCTAGCCTTGTTCCCGAAGTCTGTTTCCTCCCGGGGCCTCGGTCTGACGCCTTCAGTCAGCGCTTCGCAGGAAGCCGACTCCCAAACCGGGGCAGGGGGTGTGGGCCGAGGGCGAAACCCCGCCCCCAGGGGTCCCTGATCTTTGCCCCCGCCCCGGGCTCCGCGCCTCTCGGAGAGGCATCAGCAGGCGGGCGGCGTTGCCTTTGTGTGTTTCGCTTCGAGGTGCCAGAGACCCTCCCCACAATCGTCCGCCGCGTCCCCTCGCGGCCCTCGGCCCCTCCTCTCGGCGTCCCAAGCCCCCCTGCTCAGCTCTGCGTGCCATTTCGGGGATCGCTGGTTCGCTCCCCACGGCGCCAGGAGGAGGGGCGAGGGCCGGCAGCCCCCTCTCCCGCGCGCGGCGCAGGAGCCGAGCCCAGCCCGGGGGACCCGCCGCCGCCGGTCATGTGGGCCGGACTGCTCCTTCGGGCCGCCTGTGTCGCGCTCCTGCTGCCGGGGGCACCAGCCCGAGGCTACACCGGGAGGAAGCCGCCCGGGCACTTCGCGGCCGAGAGGTAAGCGCCCGGAGCTCCTCCCCGCTCCCCCGCCCGGGAGAGCGCTACCGGCGTGCAGTCGAGAGGCGCGGAGGGGCGCTCAGGAGCCGCAGGCAGCCGCGTGTCGGGGCTTCCTCTGGGGTGCTATCAGCGCGGGCACAGCTCGGGGACGGCACAAAGAGTCAGCAACTTGTGCCTCTAGGCGGGTGCTCATCGTGCCCCCCTGGCTGGGGCTGTCCAGACTGGGACCTGGGAGATCGGAGGTCCAGGCGTTGGGTGACTCCTAATGTGCCCTGGAGCGCGGACCTCTGGAGAGGGGAGCCCAGGACGTGCCATCTGGTCTCCGGACTGGCTGGCTCACCCCCCAGCGTGCCCGTGGCTCTGCCCGGGCAGCGCCTGGCCTCCCCTGCCGCGCGGGGCTTTCCCTGGGTCTTGGCCCTACGAACTTCATGGACCTTGGAACAGCCGGGGTCTCTGGGTCACTTTTCGTTTTCTGTCCGTGCGTGTGCGCGCGTGGGGGTGGGGTGCATGCCCCTCCGCTGTCTTTCGCGATGGATGCCGCCCTCCGCACGTGCTTTCCCCCGGGCCGCGGTGGGGCCGTGCGCGTGTGTGCGTGATGCTCGGAGCTAGGGAACACTGTGTCAGCAGGCGGCCTGGCCCGCGGCCACGTCCTCCGGGGGGCGCGCAGCGGGGGCGGCCCGGCCAGGCTTGTAGCTCACACGTGTGTTCCACAGCCACCGCCAGTTCCTGCTCAGAACCTGCCCCGACTCCCCGGCGTTCCACAGGCTCCCACCACCTGTCCCTCTGTCACCAGCCCTAGGAGGCTCCTTAGGGCGCTCTGGCGGGTGCTCGGTCCCTGCCCACCTGAGAGTTCGACTCCATCAGCCTCCCTGGGCACCCTTTTATCTGCCGCCTTGGTGGCACTGCCTGTCCGTTTCTGAGAGTCCCAAGGCTCCGCTCATTCGCCCGGTCCCCTCCTTCTCAGGCTGCTGCCATAATCACTCCAGCAAGGGGGTGGATGAGACTTCACTGCCAGCTCCCGCCAGCAGGAGGGCCCCCCCTTTCTTCTGTGATGACCTCAGAGAGGGAAAAAGGCCCCAGGGACAGCTTTCCTCAGACTTTTGTGTGCTGCCATTGCACCCTGAGCTTCCCTTTCCGGAATACTTGTCACATTTTGGCACAGATTTTTCTCCCCAAGAACACGCTAAGTTTGCCTTGTCCCATGTCCCCAGTGCCCAGCGCAGAGTGGGTGCTTTACAAAGTGCCTGCCTCGCAGAATCATCTTCCCTCCGCTCTGAACATTGGTGGAACACCATTGGGAAGGGGTTTCTTGTCCCTTTTCTGTTGCGGTGGGGTTGGAAGCTCAAACCAGGCTGGATTTCATCACCCTCTGTCCAGTCCATGACTGGAGCTGGTTGCAGTTGTCCTCTCTGTCCCCCTCCAGGCCTGCAGTTGTGCTGTTTCCCCTGCTAGAACACCCTCTCCCTTCCTCTTCTTTTGCTGGCTGCCCTACTTTTTTTTTTTTTTTTTTTGAGACAGAATCTTATTCTGTCACCCAGGCTGGAGTGCAGTGGTGCGATCTCGGCTCACTGCAGCCTCTGCCTTCTGGGTTCAAGCGATTCTCATGCCTCAGCCTCTCGAGCAGCTGGGACAACAGGCACATGCCACCACACCTGGCTAATTTTTTTTTTTTTTTTTTTTTTTTTTGAGATGGAGTTTTGCTCTTGTTGCCCAGGCTGGAGTGCAGTGGCGTGATCTCAGCTCACCGCAACCTCCGCCTCCCAGGTTCAAGCAATTCTCCTACCTCACCCTCCCAAGTAGCTGGGATTACAGGCATGCGCCACCATGCCCGGCTAATTTTGCATTTTTAGTAGAGTCGGGGTTTCTCCATGTTGGTCAGGCTGGTCTCAAACTCCTGACCTCGGGTGATCCGCCCGCCTTGGCCTCCCAAAGTGCTGGGATTACAAGCGTGAGCCACCGCGCCCGGCCTGTATTTTTTTTTTAGTGGAGACAGGGTTTTGCCATGTTGGCCAGGCTGGTCTCAAACTCCTGACCTCAAGTTATCTGCCTGCCTTGGCCTCCCAAAGTTTTCTCTCTCACCTCAGCCTAGATGCTGCCCTTCCAGGAACCCCCCCTGACCCTCCTCAGGGCTCCACAGTCTGTCCCACTGTGGCATTTGTCACTCTATGCTGTTATCACCTAGCTCCTGGTCTGCCCTACTTTCCTTGAAGGTGGGGGCAGTAGTTTGTTTATGGCTGTATGGTCACGCCTTACTCAGCACCCAGCACCAGTTGGATGCATCTGGCTTCCTGCCCTTTCTGGACCTCATTCCTGCTTGAACAGACCCCTACTGCCTCCAGTTTTGGGCAGCTCATTCATGACCCCACACCCACCCAAGAGATGTCACCTATGCCATTGCCCTTCTCAACCTTTCCCTCAACAGCCATTTATTGAGCACCTACTACATGCCAGGCACTCCTGTACGTGCTGGGGTAAATAGATAAGAAACCCTTGTCATCAGGGAGTTGTAGGGGAGACAATGAATTAATAAATTAAAATCTAATGTCACAGGAAGTAAATGTTGTGGAGAATAAAGCAAGGTAAGGGTGGACAAGGAAGGCCTCTCTGAGAAGGTGCCATGGGCAGAGATCTGGGTGAAGGGAGAGAGGAAGCCCAGTGTGTGTCTGAGGAAGAATCTTTCTCTCTCTCTTTTTTTTTTTTTTGTTTTGAGACGGTCTGGCTCTGTCACTTAGGCTGAAGGGCAGTGGCGCCAACTTGGCTCGCTGCAACCTCTGCCTCACAGGCTCAAGCCATTCTCCCACCTCAGCCTCCCGAGTAGCTGACCCTACAGGTGTGTGTCACCATGCCCAGCTAGTTTTTGTGTTTTTAGTAGAAACGAGGTTTCACCATGTTGCCCAGGCTGGTCTCAAACTCCTGGGCTCAAAATGATCAGCCTGCTTCGGCTTCCCAAAGTGCTGGGATTACAGGCGTGAGCCACCACACCCAGCCATAAGAACCTTTCTTATAGCAGGAACTGCAAGTGCAAAGGTCCTGAGGCAGCCACCCCTGGGGCTCCTCATCTATTGCACAGCCTTTCTTCAACTCTGAGGCCCCTCTCCTGGCCACTCTGCTGTGTGTTCACGTGGCAGATATCTGTAGGAGGCCAGTATCTATTGTCTCACACTTTTGTCTCTGTCTTGCCTCCAGGAGAAGACTGTTTGGGTCATTTTTCTTTGGAAACTTCCCATTGCCCCTCCAGACAGTTCTTGAGAATTGTTTGTTGATTCACTTACACACTGGCTGGGAGACTTTCCTGTTGACCAATGTCTCCCCCAGTATAGAATGAGGAAAGTGCTCTCTCTTCTCTTGCAGACGCCGACTGGGCCCCCACGTCTGCCTCTCTGGGTTTGGGAGTGGCTGCTGCCCTGGCTGGGCGCCCTCTATGGGTGGTGGGCACTGCACCCTGCGTAAGTGCTTGTCCCTGTGCCCCAAGTCTTCTCCTCCAGCAGTGTGTGTTGCCAGCCCTCAGTCCCTGGTCCGAGGGGCAGACGGGAGGCCCCAGTTCCTCGTGTCTCACCTGCACTTCTCCTCTCAGCCCTCTGCTCCTTCGGCTGTGGGAGTGGCATCTGCATCGCTCCCAATGTCTGCTCCTGCCAGGATGGAGAGCAAGGGGCCACCTGCCCAGGTAACTGGGGATGGGAAGGGGCTGATGGGAACAGATGAATGAGCATTGAGGTTATGTCCTGGGCAGTGGGCACTTGAGATGTGTCCTGGTGTCTCAGCTTCAGACAACTCCATTAGGTAGACATTTTGTGCCCATTTTATAGATGAAGAAACTGAGACACAGAAGTTATTGTCTTGCCCGGGGTCACACAGCTGGTAAATGGCAGAGCTGGATTTAAACCCAGGCCTGTTTGCCTTCAGAGCTACCCTCCCAACAGAATTCAGGAGGACCCTGGTGAAGTGGGGATGGTTGGGACTGCCACGGGGTGCATGCTCACTGGTGTGATGCCTGCTCTAGAAACCCATGGACCATGTGGGGAGTACGGCTGTGACCTTACCTGCAACCATGGAGGCTGTCAGGAGGTGGCCCGAGTGTGCCCCGTGGGCTTCTCGATGACGGAGACAGCTGTTGGCATCAGGTGTACAGGTGAGACGCCTGGGAGTGGTGGGGGAGGGGGAGGGGGACAGCGGGAATTATATCTCCTCCCCCTCCTGCCAGGATGGTCTCCAGTGTATTGCAAGGCTAAGCTGAGCCAAGATAGGCTCTGATGTTTGAGAGTGGGCAGAGAGACATGAGAACAAAAGAAATGTGTCACTTCTGTTATTTTACAATTATTTATTGAGCACTTCTTAGGGGCAGGAACTGAGCTAGGGACTGGGGTTATGGGAGCCACAGTTGGTCCCTGTTAGGGAGTTTTTTTTTTTTTTTTTTTTGAGACGAAGTTTCACTCTTTTGCCCAGGCTGGAGTGAAGTAGCATGGTCTCAGCTCACTGCAGCCTCCACCTCCTGGGTTCAAATGATTCTCCTGCCTCAGCCTCCTCAGTAGCTGGGATTACAGGCGGGTGCCACCACACCCAGCTAATTTTTGTATTTTTAGTAGAGACAGGGTTTTGCCATGTTGGCCAGGGTGGTCTCGAACTCCTGACCTCAGGTGATCCACCCACCTCGGACTCCCAAAGTGTTAGGATTACAGGCGTGAGCCACCGCACCCAGCCCCATTAGGGAGTTTCTGAATATGAGGAAGGAAGACAAGTAACAGGACAAGAACAGCTCCATTGTCATGGGGACCTTCACTGGGAAGGGCAAGGTGCCAGGGCCCACAGAGGGGCATGGAACCCAGAGTTGGGAGGGTTGGCCAGGGGAGGCTCCTTGGGAAAATGACATTTAAAAGATGAGGGACGCTAAACTCAATAATTAGTTTGTGAATGTATTATTTGCTTGTGATTTTTAAAACATTTCTACGGACAAAATCTGTTACCTTCCCCAGAAACAGTCACTGTGACCAGTTTCTTGTCAATCTTTCCAGAGCGACAAAAGCCTTTTTGGAGTTTTAACTTCGTAAAAGTAATATTTCTCCCCCTGAATAGAAAAGCAAGAGATAGTTCATTGTAGAACATTTGGAAAGTAAGAGGAGAAAGATGAAAATAAGCATTCTCTGGAAGTCCCCACCCGGAGATATTTGTTACTAAAATGAAGTTTTTTTTCCTGCCCTTTTCCCTGGGTGTGTCTGTGTTTGTGAGTGTGTGTATGTGTGTGTATGTATGTTAAGCATGCAGCATATATGTATGCTTTATAAAACTGGGATTATATCTTATCTGTAGCTTTTATTATTTTTCCCATCTAACTTTATGTTGTAGGCATCACTAACAATTCCTTGCAACATAATTTTTTTTTTCGCTAGGCTTGGTGGCTCACGCCTGTAATCCCAGCACTTTGGGAGGCCGAGGCGGGTGGATCACTTGAGGTCAGGAGTTCAAGACCAGCCTGGCCAACATGGTGAAACCCTGTCTCTACTAAAAACACAAAAACTAGCTGGTGTAGTGGTACATGCCTGTAATCCCGGCTACTCAGGAGGCCGAGGCAGGAGAATTGCATGAACCCAGCAGGTGGAGGTTGCAGTGAGCCGAGATCACACCACTGCACTCCAGCCTAGCGACAGAGCAAGACTGTCTCAAAAAAACAAAAAGAAAAAAAATTTTTTTTTAGCAGTTACATATGTGGTTGCTGTAATTGAAATAACTATTTGTCTGTTGTCCCTTATTTAAGAGGTTTGCAGTGTTTCACCAGTATAAATAATGCTGCCATAGGGCCGGGCACGGTGGCTCACCGCTGTAATCTCAGTACTTTGGGAGGCCGAGGTGGGTGGATCACGAGGTCAGGGGTTCGAGACCAGCCATGACCAACATGGTGAAACCCCGTCTCTACTAAAAATACAAAAATTAGGTGGGTGTGGTGGCGGGTGCCTGTAATCCCAGCTACTCAGGAGGCTGAGGCAGAAGAATTGCTTGAACCCGGGAGGCGGAGGTTGCAGTGAGCCAAGTTCGCGCCACTGCACTCCAGCCTGAGTGACAGAGCGAGATTCCGTCTCAAAAAAAAAAAAAAAAACGCGCCATAAAGAGGCTTCCTGTCAGCTTCTCTGATTATTTCCCAGAAGGACGCTGTTGGGTCCAAGGGTCTCAATAAAGGGGTCTTGGAGCTCATTGCTTGTTGCAGCATCTCCTCCAGATAGGAAAACCAATGGAAGCAATTGATCTGCTCCTGAATGCCTTTCACCTTGGGACATTTTCTGCACGTATTTCTCATTGCAGAGGCAAACGGAACCAAGGAAAAGCCAGAGAACAATGTCAAAGCACTTGCAGGACAGGGTGGCACTGACTGTAGCCACGAGACATCCCAGTGGAATGGGGTTAGTCAGAGTGGGCTTCTTAGCGGTGTTGAGCATGGTCTTGACGGTCCAGCTGTTGGGAAGAGTGGGTAGCTGCTGGGTAGAAGGCTAAGTAGGGGATAAGGAGAGTGGGGGTGTCCCATGGGCTTGGGGGCCACAGTGGCGAGGCTCACTACACAGTGAGTGCAGATTGAGTAGACTGAGCTGAGCCCGTAGGTCCTCAGAAGCTGCTGCGGATCTTTGGCAGGGAAGGGATGGCATGAAGCATGATTTGGGGAAATCTGTCTCCCAGCTCCTATCATCCCTCAGATCAGAACATCTCACTAGGCTCACCTTCGTAAAGTACTACTTGGATTTAGTCACTGCAACTTAGTCTCATCTTTTTTTTTTTTTTTTTTTTTTTTGAGACAGAGTCTCACTCTGTTGCTAGGCTGGAGTGCAGTGGTGCGATCTCGGCTCACTGCAACCTCTGACTTCCTGGTTCAGCGATTCTTATGCCTCAGCCTCCCAAGTAGCTGGGATTACAGGCACGTGCCAGCATGCCCAGCTAATTTTTGTATTTTTTTTTAGTAGAGACGGGGTTTCACCATGTTGGCCAGGATAATCTCAATCTCCTGACCTCGTGATCCACCCACCTCGGCCTCCCAGAGTGCTGGGATTACAGGCGTGAGCCACTGCGCCTGGCCTTAGTCTCCTCTTAATCCATATCTTCAGTCCTGTCTCCTGCTGCCTCAAAAGGAACCCAAGCTTCAGCTACTCTGGGCCTCAGTACAGTTTGCAAGGAGCCCAGCTGCTGCCTGGAAGCACCTCAGACCCTTTCTCCACCTGGGCAGTCCTTCTCCCGATACTCCTGGTCCTCTCAGCCAGTCGCTCTTCCAGGGCATGCCTGCCTGGGCCAGTCTGTCACTGGTGGGGCATATATCATCCCAGCAGGCACTGTTCTCCCCTGGGTGTGTGTCTTGGCTCCTGTGTTATCAGACCGTGAACATCTGGAGTCAGCGCTGTGTCTTAGTTAGTCACATTTGCGTCCTCAACAGCACCCCTCTGGGTCTGCTGCACGCAGTTGGTGCTCTATGAACCTTTAAGAGAATGACTCTGTTGATTATTTAATCAACCTCCCTGTCCACTGCCCTCTGCCCGTTTGAGGGCCCTTTGGGGTTGCCCTGAGGGCCAGGGCCATTGGAAACGTTTGGTCTCAGCCGTCTTCTCTCGTCATCTGATCTTCATGGGTTAAAGGGGGCCCCAGTCCCTTGGCCTCTTCCTTCCTGGGGTTTCCTCATAGCCAGTGACCTTCCTGGTGTCTGCTCTTTTTTCCTGGGGTGCAGGTGGGGATTCCATGCTGCTGAGGGCAGGCTTGGTGTGGGCTCAGGGTCCTTGTGGGGTTGATTTGTTCCTGAGTCACAGTCATGTCAGAGAGGGCCGTGCAAGGGAGATTTCTTTTCTTTTCTTTTTTTTTCTTTCTTGAGATGGAGTCTCGCTCTGTCGCCCAGGCTGGAGTGCAGTGGTGCGATCTTGGCTCACTGCAAGCTCCGCCTCCCAGGTTTACGCCATTCTCCTGCCTCAGCCTCCCAAGTAGCTGGGACTACAGGTGCCCGCCACCGCGCCCAGCTAATTTTTTGTATTTTTAGTAGAGACGGGGTTTCACCATGTTAGCCAGGATGGTCTTGATCTCCTGACCTCGTGATCTGCCCGCCTCAGCCTCCCAATGAGCTGGGATTACAGGCGTGAGCCACCGCGCCCGGCCTTCTTTTTTTTCCTGAGATGGAGTTTTGCTCTTGTCGCCCAGGCTGGAGTGCAATGGCGCAATCTCGGCTCACCGCAACCTCCGCCTCCTGGGTTCAAGCGATTCTCCTGCCTCAGCCTCCCGAGTAGCTGGGATTACAGGCATGCACCACCATGCCTGGCTAATTTTGTATTTTTAGTAGAGACGGGGTTTCTCCATGTTGGTCAGGCTGGTCTTGAACTCCGACCTCTGGTGATCCATGGGCCTCGGCCTCCCAAAGTGCTGGGATTACAGGCGTGAGCCACCATGCCCGGCCTGCAAGGGTGCTTTCTTCCCAGACACTGACAAATGTGTAAGTTCCTCTTGCGAGGACCACTGTGTAAACACGTGCTTTCTGTCTTTCCAGACATTGACGAATGTGTAACCTCCTCCTGCGAGGGCCACTGTGTGAACACAGAAGGTGGGTTTGTGTGCGAGTGTGGGCCGGGCATGCAGCTGTCTGCCGACCGCCACAGCTGCCAAGGTGAGCTGCAGAGAAGGAATGGCTGCTCTGGGAGGGGTAATGGGGATGCCACATTGAACACTCAGCCCTGCCATGCCCAGTGCAGTGTGCTCTGTGTGCCACTGCATTGAACCTTCACCACCGGCTTCGGAGGGAGATGCTATTATGGTTCCTGTCTGACTGATGTGGAGACTGAGGCTTGCCCAAGGCCAAGTCGTTAGTAAGAGGTGGAGTCAGAGTTTGAATCCCAGCACATCTAACAGTTAGAACCGACTGCTGCTGGCCTGGTGGGTTGACTCACATCTGTAATCCTTGCACTTTGGGAGGTCAAGGCGGGAGGATCACCTCAGGTCAGGAGTTTGAGACCAGCCTGGCCAACATGGTGAAACCTCGTCTCTACTAAAAATACAAAAATTAGCCAGGCGTGGTGGCGAGCACCTGTAATCCCAGCTACTCGGGAGGCTGAGGCAGGAAAACTGCTTGAACCCAGCAGGTGGAGGTTGCAGTGAGCCGAAATTGCACCACTGCACTCCAGCCTGGACGACAGAGTGAGACTTCATCTCAGAAAACAAAGTACCTGCTGCTGCTGTTGCAGGATAAAGGGATGGTGATGGAGGAGAGGCCGTGAGGAGAGCCAGGGCAGAGTGGGCCGACCAACCTGGGGAAGGAGGCCACTGAGATGAGGGAGGGCCGGGAGAGACTCAGGCCATGAGTCCCGAGGAGCCATGGGAGGGGCATACCGGGATGGGGTCATTCACTGACTACATTCATCAGTTTCACCTGCCCCACTGCTGGCCCAGGCTCTGGAGCTACCCTGGGGAGTAGGATCCCCCAAGTCTGATGGGGAGCAGAAGAACAAGCTTAGGATGAGGGATAAGTGTTGGGAAAACCCAGGGAAGAGAAGGAATCCTACCTCTTCAGTTTGCAGGATGAGAGATCTTACAATTATTACTCATTCTTTTAAAATGCCTTTTATTTACACATTATGGAAAGAATCTCACAAGGCCGATAATTGTGACCTCCCCCTGAATCTTACATTATTATTTTCTTTATGTTTGACATTTTCATAAATTATGAGAAAAAATTTAAAAGCCATGGTGCTAGCCCAGGCCCTCTTTCCCACTGCTGCCCTCTGCTCTCCCTGGAGAATAGCCTGCGCGTCTTAGTCTGCTTGGGCGGCCATGATAAAATTCCACAGGCTGGGGGCTTCTACCACTGACATTGATTCTCATAGTTCTGGAGGCTGCAAAGTCCAAGATTAAGGCACTGGCTAATTCAGTTTCTGGTGAGGGCTCTTCCTGGCTTTCAGAAAGCAGTCTTCTTGCTGTGTCCTCACTTGGAGAGAGAGCTCTCTGGTATCTCTTCTTCTTCTTTTTTTTTTTTGACATGGAGGAGGACAGAGGACACTCCCTCTGTTGCCCAGGAGTGCATTGTTGCAATCTCAGTTCACTGCAACCTCCGCCTCCTGGGTTCAAGCGATCCTCCAACCCTCCCAAGTAGCTAGGGTTACAGGTGTGCGCCACCACGACTGGCTAATTTTTGTATTTTTAGTAGAGATGAGGTTTCACCATGTTGGCCAGGCTGGTCTTGAACTCCTGACCTCAAATGATCTGCCCGCCTTGGCCTCCTGAAGTGCTGGGATTACAGGCGTGAGCCACCCAGCTAGGCCTCTCATGTCTCTTCTTAAAAGGACACTAATCCCATCAAGAGGGCACACCCTCATGACCTCATGTAACCCTAATTATCTTCTTATCTACTTATCTTACCTGCATATCTTCCAAATGCCATTACATTGGCGGTTAGGGCTTCAACACGATTTTTGAGGGGACAGAGTTTAGTCCATAGCACTCAGGCATTGGTCTGCTGTGTGCCCTCCTTGCCCCTCCCCATGATGTGTACGTACGTACATGGGCACTTACAGAGATAGGATAGTTGCTGAACTCTCAGGTCCTGGGTCCTGGGCTAAGCACTTTACACGCATTTTCTCCTTTCGCCCTCACAATTACCCAGTGAAGTTGGTATTATCTATCTCCATTTTATTGAAAGGAACACTGAGGCTTAAGGAAATTGTTACTTGCTTAAGATCCCATTAGAGCTAAGGTTTTTTTCTTCTTTCTTTCTTTGTTTTTTTTTTGTAGAGATGAGGTCTTGCTGTGTTGCCCAGGCTGGTCTCAAATTCCTGGCCTTAAGCTATCCTTCCCGCTTTGGCCCCCAAAGGGCTGGGATTCCAGGCATGAGCCACTGCACCCAGCCAGAGTTGGGATTTGAACCTAGTCATTCCTTTGCTTGTTCCCCTTACCCCTGCCCAACGTTGGTCTTGAAGATGTTTCCACATCAGGGTAAATAGACTTGCCTTGTTCCTTTTAACTGCTGACTCTGCAGTGCAAATATTTCATAGTTTACTAACTCTTCTCTTATTGATGAACATGGAGATTATTTCCAGTTTTTCACAATTTCAAACAGCACTAGGGAACTTTTACAGAGGAGGTTCCACTGAAGCTGAGTTTTGAAGTATGAGTAGGAGTTTTCCAGCCAGACAAGAGGGAAAGGCATTCGAGGCAGACAGAGAACATGGGCAAAAGTGGAGCACCAAAAGAGCGTGGTGCATTTGGAAGATGGCAAGAATTTAAGCCAGTGGCCAGGTGCAGTGGCTCACGCCTGTAATGGAGGCCAAGGCAGGTGGATCGCCTGAGGTCAGGAGTTTGAGACCAGCCTGACCAACATGGTGAAACCCCATCTCTACTAAAAATACAGAATTACCCAGGCATGGTGGTGCATGCCTGTAATCCCAACTACTTGGGAGGCTGAGGCAGGAGAACTGCTTGAACCCAGGAGATGGAGACCGCAGTGAGCTGAGATCGCGCCATTGTACTCCAGCCTGGGCAAAAAGAGCAAAACTCTGTCTCAAAAAACAACAACAACAACAAAAAAGAATTTAAGCCAGAGTGAAGGTCAGGGGCAAGGAAGGAGGTGGGCAAGGCAACCAGGACTGTGTTCAAAGGCATCGTGAGCTATGGGGCGGCATTGCTGTCTTACCCTAAGATGAGGTCTGTGGCCTGTGGGAGCAGCGGAGAGGTTTTGAGCAGAAGGGCCCTGATTAGAAATGCCCTTTGGTCAGAACATCCTGGAGGCTGTGCAGAGGATGGCTTGAAGGAACCTAGGTAGAGATAGACACACTGGAGGCTCTGGCTATTCTCCAGACTAGAGATGAATGTGGCCGGGCTAAGGGGTAGCAGTGAGGATGAGAGACGTGGGCTGGTCCAGAGAGTATTTAGGACTGGATGTGGGCAGTGCAGAAGAGGGGCAGCTAAGGTGGTTCCCCACAGCCCTGTGTGTATAGGAGATGGAGATGAGGGAGGAAGAGGGGACCATATATTTCCAAGGTTCTGTTGGGGAAATGAACCCCAGTCTTGTCCCTTTTCCTGCCAGACACTGACGAATGCCTAGGGACTCCCTGTCAGCAGAGATGTAAAAACAGCATTGGCAGCTACAAGTGTTCCTGTCGAACTGGCTTCCACCTTCATGGCAACCGGCACTCCTGTGTAGGTAAGGCGGGGAGGACCCTGTGGTCTGCACACTTAGGCTGCCAATCAGGAGGATGGACAGGGAGCCCAGGGACCCGGGAAGGTTAACAATTAGACTTTCTGGTCCTCTGGAGCTTGAAGGGGCTTGAGCCTTTGGCTCAGAGCCTGCCTGTCCCTGGGGTTGGTGTGGCTCTGCATGAAGACCCTGTCTTGGACTTTTCCTGGCCATTTGCCACTTTCATCCTGTTATGTTTCTCTTCCGCTCCTCTCCCAGATACACCCCAAGGATTCCTCTCTGCTCACCCATTTTCTTGGCTGCCTTTGCTCCCCTTGGTAAATAAAGCACGTTATGTCTTGGTTCCTCTGGTTTAGAAGGAGACCCTGTTTTCTCAGCCCATTAGCAGAAATTTCCAGAAAGGGATTGGCATGTTTGGTTTGAGCTTGGCTCATGGGTTTAAGGTGGGGTCCCATGGGCCTGAAAAAAGACCTTGTTCTAGCGGAGTTAGGTATTTGTCCCGAAGCCTTCCTTCAGCAGCCCAGTGAGTTTTGAGACTTTTTTCGGAAAGAAAAACGGGAGGGTGGAAGGTTTGGAGATGAGCTTCTCATTGGGGCTTACCCCTACCACGCAGCAATTAATTACCGCTGCATAGTGCTGGGGCTGAGTCTCTGATACTCGCATTAAATACCTGCTCGATGTGTGAACCTATTAACAAGACAAGCACTAGATTTCAGCCCCGCTCCCAGCTGTCTGAGTCACATCCCGCACCTCGGGGCAGGCATGGACCCTGTAAGAACATGGCAGAGAAACTCCCCAAGTGTTTTGAGCTAAGGGATGGGCGGAAGAAGGGCTCCGTAGCCCAAACAAAGCAGCTGTCCGCAGCGAGGCTCTCCCGCAGATGTAAACGAGTGTCGGAGGCCATTGGAGAGGCGAGTCTGTCACCATTCCTGCCACAACACCGTGGGCAGCTTCCTATGCACATGCCGACCTGGCTTCAGGCTCCGAGCTGACCGCGTGTCCTGTGAAGGTGAGCGCCAGGCCCCTCCATCCCGGCGGCTGGCCACGCCCCCTCAGTGCCTGCCCCAGCTACGCCCCCCCATAGCCTGGCCCCTCCCCGTCACGCCCTCCCGGCGCCCAGCCACGCCCTCTCAGCTCCTGGCCCCGCCCTACCCCGGCCCCGCCCACCTGGCGCTAGGCTCCCTTTCTGCTCTGCCCTTGTTTTGAGTTCATCTTGTTTGTTACTTTCAACACTCCACTTTCTTCCTCGCTTTCTTTTTCCACTTCTTTATCCATTCTTCCTTCTTCTTTTCACTGTTTCCCCAGCCCTTCTGTTTTTTTCCCAAATGATAAAAGGATAAAACCCAACAGGAGTCCGAGTATCCTGGGCTACAGGGACAGCCATTTCCGTGGTTCGCCCTGCCAAACGGCGACAGTGTCCCCATAAACATAGTAGAATGTTGCGCAGACCACGGGGGGTGAACAGGGACTTGTGGTGGTGGAGCCGAGCCCAGGTCTCCCTAAACCCTGCCTCCTGTCTCTGCTGTCCACCCCAAGAGACCTCCGTGCTTCTGTTTCAGCTTTCCCGAAAGCCGTGCTGGCCCCATCTGCCATCCTGCAACCCCGGCAACACCCGTCCAAGATGCTTCTGTTGCTTCCTGAGGCCGGCCGGCCTGCCCTGTCCCCAGGACATAGCCCTCCTTCTGGGGCTCCAGGGCCCCCAGCCGGAGTCAGGACCACCCGCCTGCCATCTCCCACCCCACGACTACCCACATCCTCCCCTTCTGCCCCTGTGTGGCTGCTGTCCACCCTGCTGGCCACCCCAGTGCCTACTGCCTCCCTGCTGGGGAACCTCAGACCCCCCTCACTCCTTCAGGGGGAGGTGATGGGGACCCCTTCCTCACCCAGGGGCCCTGAGTCCCCCCGACTGGCAGCAGGGCCCTCTCCCTGCTGGCACCTGGGAGCCATGCATGAATCAAGGAGTCGCTGGACAGAGCCTGGGTGTTCCCAGTGCTGGTGCGAGGTGGGTACTAGGGGTCCCCGGAGCTTCCTTGGTCTGGGGCCTTGTGGTGGCTCTAACTCCTGCTTGTGCTTCTAGGACGGGAAGGTGACCTGTGAAAAGGTGAGGTGTGAAGCTGCTTGTTCCCACCCAATTCCCTCCAGAGATGGTGGGTGCTGCCCATCGTGCACAGGTGAGAGCTGGTGCCAGGGAAGGACATAGTCCTGCCTCTTCCTTTCTCTGCACCCTCCTGCAGCCAAAAGGCTGTTCTTTAACATTAGCATACATTAGAATCTCCTGGAGGGTTTACTAAGCCACACTTCCCTTGGCGCTGCTCCCAGAGCTTCTGATGTAGTAGGTCTGGGATAGGGCCAGAACATGTGCGTTTTGAACAGGTTCCCAGGTGATACTGACGTGGCTGGTCTAGGGACCATACTTTGAGAACCACTCATTTATGCTGTAATATGCCTCAAGGGGGACTTTTCATCTTCTGGGCATCTGTTTTCAGCTTCATTCGCTCATTTTCATTTATTCAGTCATTCATTGAGCCTCTTTAAATCCACTGTGCAGTCCCCTTCTCCTGCCCAGTTACCCTCCTACAGGCGGAGGAGTAGTTGTTTCTAAATTCTGCCCCCTTTTTGACTCGCCCCCGCCATCTGCTGATGGTTTTTCATTTGCTTCCCATTGCTGGAAGGATAGGGACCCAAATTCTTCACAGATCCTTAACAGAGCTTCTCGAAACTTGCTCTGCAGTTGAATCAAGGGGATTCTTATTAAAATGCAGATTCTTGGCTGGGCATGCTGGCTCAAGCCTGTAATCCCAGCACTTTGGGAGGCCGAGGTGGGCGGATCACTTGAGCCCAGGAGTTTGAGACTAGCCCCGTGTCTATAGGGAGGACCCGTGTCTACAAAAAATACAAAAAGTTAGCCAGGTATGGTGGCGTGTACATGTAATCTTACCTGCCTGGGAGATTGAGGTGGGAGGATCACCTGAGCTCAGGAGGTCGAGGCTGCAGTGAGCCATGTTTGTGCCACTGCACTCCAGCCTGGGCAACAGAGTGAGACCCTGGCTAAAAAGAAAAAAGAAAAAAAGCAGATTCTCATTCAGTTGGTCTGGGAGGGGATTCTTTGTCTGATGGTCTTGGTGATATGACACTGAGGTTGCTGGAGATTGAGCAGTAGTTAAAAAGTCTTCCTAAGGGTTAAAATGGAAATGCACTGGTTTTTTTTTGTTTTTTTGTTTTTGTTTTTTTTTGAGATGGAGTCTTGCTCTGTCACCCAGGCTGGAGTGCAGTGGTGTGATCTCGGCTCACTGCAGCCTCCGCCTCTAGGGTTTAAGCAATCCTCCCAAGTAGCTGGGATTATAGCCACCCACCACCAAGCCTGGCTAATTTTTGTACTTTTTTTTTATTGGCAACAGTGTTTCGCCATGTTGGCCAGGCTGGTCTTGAACTCCTGACCTCGAGTGATCTGCCCGCCTCGGCCTCCCAAAGTGTTGGGATGACAGGCATGAGCCGCTGGGCCTGGCTTGATTTTCTTAATGACTGTTGTGGGCTATGTCCCCGCAACACGCTGAGTCTTGAGTGCGAAGTATTGGGTACTTTATTGCCCAGGTTTTGGATCCTTCCAAGATCCCTGCAGGGTACATGGTGGTGTTTTCATTTTGCAGTGAAGACAATCTGGGTACTAGAGAGGTGAAGTGACATGTCCAGGGACACGCTGGTTAACGAAGCTGGATGGCCAGTTTTTTTTTTTGTTTTTGTTTTTTTGTTTTTTTTAAGACGGAGTGTTGCTTTGTCACCCAGGCTGGAGTGCAGTGGCGCGATCTCGGCTCACTGCAACGTCTGCCTCCCGGGTTCAAGCGATTCTCCTGCTTCAGCCTCCCGAGTAGCTGGGATTACAGGCACACGCCACCACGCCCAGCTAATTTTTGTATTTTCAGTAGAGACGGGGTTTCACCATGTTGGCCGGGCTGGTCTCAAACTCCTGACCTTGTGGTCTGCCCGCCTTGGCCTCCCAAAGTGCTGGGGTTACAGGTGTGAGCCACTGCACCTGGCCTCAGGTTTTGAAACCAGGCTGCCTTTCCTGCCCTCTGGGAAGAAAATGTTGTGCTCTCCAGACAGTTGTGGGTTTGTGAGACATGAATGGACCCTTCTGGGGCCACCACGGCTGATCCTTGCAGGACCACACAGTCAGAGTACCCTGAATCTACCACTCCTGGGACACCTAGGGCAGTGAGAGAATGTTCCAGGTACATTAAGCATGGAGAAGCAGCGAGACCTCAAGTTTCCTCTTCTTTGAAGAGGTCTGATGCCTCTACCTCCTATTTGTCCTTCAAAGGCTGTTTTCACAGTGGTGTCGTCCGAGCTGAAGGGGATGTGTTTTCACCTCCCAATGAGAACTGCACCGTCTGTGTCTGTCTGGTAAGCGTCACAAGATCCTCAAAGCCTCGTGGGTGTTTTCTTAACCTTTGGGGGTTTTAGAGGAAGGGGAAAAGACCGGATGTTAAAGGTGAGCTTGTTGAGTGGAAGGGAACATTCTCAGGTTGTGGAATTTGGTTAGAAGCTGTAGAATTTAAAAGGGGGAGGGAAGTGTAAAACACGAAGGTTGGTGGAGTAAGGGAGGCTTCTGCTCCGCAGCAGACAGCCAGCAGGCACACAGGGTCCGTCTGTTTAGGAAGGGGAGGGGACGAAACTCCCTTGGAAACTTCCCACCAGGGAAGCTGTTTTTCTCTCCAGGCAAAATATTTGCCAGCACAATAAAGGTCTCCACATTTGGGAAAAAGAAGGCTCATTACCAAACTCAGCTTGTTAAAAGTATTTGGCTTTGGGCAAATTCACTCCTGCAAGAATAGTTATTAAGCACTTACTGTGTGCCTGCCCTGCCAGATGCTGACGTTGCAGTGAGCTGAGATCGCGCCACTGCTCTCCAGCCTGGGCGACAGAGCGAGCCTCTGTCTTAAAAAAAAAAAGAAAATGCTGATTAGGAGCATCTACTGAGTGCCAGGCCCAGGGTTGGTGCTTCTCATCTCTTTCTTCACCGAGGCTCCCAGCAGCTCTTCGGGGTCAGCTTTACTGCCCCTATTCTGCAGATGAAAAGACAGAGGGTGGGAGGTGGCAGAGCTGGGATTTGAGGTCTGTCTGAGCCCAAAGTCAGGGCTCTGTCTACCAGCCCTCACTGCCACCCTCTGACCATCTTTATTTTTTGTTTTAGAGACAGTGTCTTGCTCTGTTGCCCAGGCTGGAGTATAGTGGTGCAGTCATAGCTCATTGCAGCCTCGGGCTCAAGCGATCCTCCCATCTCAGTCTCCCAGGTAGCTGAGACCACAGGCTCATGCCATTACACCCGGCTAATTTTTTTTTTTTTTTTTTGTAGAGGCAGGGTCTCGCTGTGTTGGCCAGGCTGGTCTCAAATTCCTGGGCTCAAGCGATCCTCCCACCTTGGCCTCCCAAAATGCTGGGATTACAGGGATGAGCCACTGCACCGGGTCATGACCATCTTTAAGTGTCTCTTGCTCTGGCATCAAAGGTGGATGCTGCAGTGTGAAATCAGGGGCATGCAGACAACCACCAGCACCCCTTATCGAACTCTTCCTGTGTGCTACATGAAAGCACAGCAGTCAAGTTCCCTCCCTCCCTCCCTCCCTCCTTTTTTCTCTCTTTTTCTTTCTTGTTTCTTTCTTCTCTTTCTCTCTCTTTCTTTCTCTCTCACTTCTCTGTTTCTCTCTTCCTTCCTCTCTCCCTTCCCTCCATCCCTCCCTCCCTCCCTTCCTTCCCTCCCTCTCTCCTTCCTTCCCTCCCTCCCTCCTTCCTTCCTCTGTCTCCTATCCTGCCCCTCTCCTCTCCTGCCCTTCCCCTCCCCTCCCCTCCCCTTCCCTGTCTTCTCCTCTCCTCTCCTCCTCCCTTTCTCCTCTCCTCTCCCTCCCCCTCCCCCCATCCCTCCTCTCTCCTTTCCTCTCCTCTTTTCTTTTCTTACTGATGGCATCTCATTTTGTTGCCCAGGCTGGGGTGCAGCCTTTAAAGGTTTCTTGTGGCCTCCTTTAGGCAGCTTTCCTGTTCGAAGGGCCTGCTGTGAGATGGGGAATGAACCCTGTTCCACACCCGCACCCCCAGTGCCCTCTCTTGCCTCCTCCTCAGGCTGGAAACGTGTCCTGCATCTCTCCTGAGTGTCCTTCTGGCCCCTGTCAGACCCCCCCACAGACGGATTGCTGTACTTGTGTTCCAGGTAAGTGACACTCTTGGAGCATTTTGCTTTTTTTTTTTTTTTTAGATTTTTTGTAGACCTCACTATGTTGCCCAGGCTGGTGTTGAGCCTCAGGTGGTCCTCCTGCTTCAGCCTCTCAAAGTGCTGGGATGACAGGCATGAGCCCCCAAGCCCAGTTTTGCATTTTGCTCCTTTTTTTTTTTTGAGAGGGAGACTTGCTTTCCAGGCTGGAGTGCAGTGGCATGATCTTAGCTCACTGCAACCTCCGCCTCCCAGGTTCAAGTGATTCTCCTGCCTGAGCCTCCGGAGTAGGGAGTAGCTGGGATTACAGGCGCCTGCTGCCACACTGGGCTAATTTTTGTATTTTTAGTAGAGATGGGGTTTCACCATGTTGGCCTGGCTGGTCTTGAACTCCTGACCTCAGGTGATCCACCTGCCTTGGCCTCCCAAAGTGCTGGGATGACAGGCATGAGCCCCCGAGCTCAGTTTTACATTTTGCTTCTTTGTGTGTGTAGGGGAGCATGTCTTTTGAGTATGCGATGGAGTGGGGTGAGTGGAGGAGTGAGGGAGGAGATTGCTTTCTGCTTTACAAACTCAGATCAAGTGAAGCATTTCAAAGTGCCTGTTTTTATTGTGCACTTATGTGCACAGCAGTTTGAGGCTAGACTGTGCTCACAGCCCAGCTTTCCCCTGCCTTAGGAGGCACCTTCAGCTCAGGCAGGATGGAGTTTCAGTCCACCCTTGTCATTGCTCTGTCCCAGGGCAGGGAAGGGTCTCTCCTTAGCCACTAATGAGTTGGTCCTTTGTTAAAAACAAGGTTTTCTTTCCTGGGATGGCTTCATTGCTGTCATGGATGTTCCCTGCTGACTCTGTGCCCCTTGCTGTGTGGGGCGCTTACCAGAACTCCATCTCATGGAACCCTTTATGTCACCACTGTAAGGCAGTACTATTTATTGCCCCATTTTATAGATGGGAACACTGAAGCTTGGAAAGTTCAAGTCACTGCCTAAAGACACACAACCATTAAGTAATGGAGCCGAACTTGAATTCAAGTCTACCTGATTTCAAAGCTGGTGTTCTTTTTAAGTGTTTTTTTTCTTAATGTTTAAATGTTACATTATTTTTAATTGACTTACTTTTGCATAGTCAGTGTAGTCTCTGTGAGATAGGAACCCTTATCGGTCCCATTGTACAGATGAGAAAACTGAGGCTTAGAGAGCTTTAAGTGTGTTGCCCAAAGTCATTCCCTGGTGAGTTGTATAGCTCGGATTTGAGCCCAGGGCAGTCTGACTACTGGCAGGTGGGCCTGGGCAGTTTCTAAGGCTGTTTTTTCGCTGGAGTGGATCTTCAAATCAAAGCCTCTCCCCAAATTCTCACAGCCTCCAGGGGGTGGTAGCATCATTTGTCTAAGGTAGCACCTTTGTCTTAGGTGTTGGACAGTCTCTTTTTATTTCTTTTTTTCTGTTACTTTTTAGTTATTTAGGGCTTCCCCTGCCTTTTTGGCTGAGGACCTCATCTTACATGTGACTCATTCTTTGTCAGACTTTTTTGTTGTTGTTGACATGGGGTCTTGCTCTGTCGCTCAGGCTGTAGTAGAGAGGTGCAATCACTATAACCTCAACCCCTGGTTTCAAGCCATCCTCCTGCCTCAGCCTCCTGATTAGCTAGGACAACAGGCACGCACTGCTGCACTCAGCTAATTTTTTAAAGTTTTTGTAGAGATGGGGTCTCGCTGTTTTGACCAGACTGGTCTCAAACTCCTGGCTGCAAGAGATCCTCCCACCTTGGCCTCCCAGAATGTTGGGATTACAGACATGAACTGCCACACCCACCCCTTTGTCGGCATGACTTGTTTTGTGTCTGGGGTTTGGAGGGGGAGAAGTGCTTTGGGTTCCTGGGCACGGAGCATGCTGTGGAGTGTTGTGGGTGTGTGTTAAGTGCCCCGGGGCTCCCTACCCATTTGTTCCCCCCTTTCTTTAGCTGCCTCTGCCCAAAGACCTTGAGTTGCTTCTCCCTTTCTCCTCTGCAGTGAGATGCTATTTCCACGGCCGGTGGTACGCAGACGGGGCTGTGTTCAGTGGGGGTGGTGACGAGTGTACCACCTGTGTTTGCCAGGTATGGTGGCTGAGCGTCCCAAAGCCTGTGGAATTGATGGAGAGGGGAGCGAGGCACAACACTTTACTCAGGTTGACATGACTAGGAGAACATGAGTTGTCATACAGCAACAGGGAAACTGAGGAAGCAAAGGCACTACAGGGATCCCCCAGGTCTTCCCACAGTCTCTTTGAACTTCATCTTTCAACACTGCTATTTACAGAGCACCTACTGTGTGCTGGGGACACAGCTAAGCACAAGGAAGCCCCAGTCCCCTTGGTCCGGAAGCCCACTGCCTAGGTGGGTTGATGGCCGGGTGCCCAGGGCTCCTGATGCCTTTTTGGAAGGCGGGATGTTAAGTAGAGACCTGGAGGGTGGTAGGGACTCATCAGGTGGGGAGCTGAGGTTGCTGTACCCAGCAGAGGGTGGAGGATTGGAGATGGCCGTTCTGCCTGGAGCATGGAGAGAGTCAGGCAGGCGGCAAGGCTGCAGGTAGGGGTTGCATCTTGGGTTGTGTTCCCTAGAAGCAGGGCCAGTGCAGGCGACTTACCAAGGGAGTGCTCTCAGAAGAAACTGGCGAGGGAAGAAGGGTGGGGCAGGAGAGGAAGCAGGGTGAAGGTGTGGTCTCACACTGATCCCTGGGAAGCTCTGGGCAGTGGACCGTGCTGGGGAGCAAGGCTCTTGCACCTCAGGGCCAGTCAGTTATAGAGACTCTCTCTGCTCCCCAGGGAGTGGGGGTGGTGACCATCTAGGCATCTCTGGAGGACGCAGCTGCCGTCAGCCACTGGCAGTACTTCGGAGACAGGACCTGGGTGGGCACTGACAGCCTCTGCCCCTGACTCAGTCCTGAAGGGCTCCACCAGCTGCATTGAGGGCTTTGCACTCAGTGAAGCTGCCAAATGGTTTAGGCAGTAGGGAGCCTGGATGGAAGCGGGAGGGTGAGAGATGGTGAAGGCCGTGCCTATTCCCAGGATGCCCTCCTGGGCTCACACCCAGCCCCCATTGAAGGACTCCCAGTTCCCCCCACCCCACTGTTGTGCTCCTTGGAGATTTCTTTGTCAGTTTCACTTTAGTAGATTTCTTTGTCAGTTTCACTTGAGTAGCCGGGAGGGTGATGGCAGGCAGCCTGCGGCCTCCTCTAGCTCTCCATGGTCCCCAGGCAGGGTGCCGCCCTCATCATTCTGTGCCTGGGCTCTCTTCCAGAATGGGGAGGTGGAGTGCTCCTTCATGCCCTGCCCTGAGCTGGCCTGCCCCCGAGAAGAGTGGCGGCTGGGCCCTGGGCAGTGTTGCTTCACCTGCCAGGAGCCCACACCCTCGACAGGTGAGCTGGTCCAGGGCTGCCCCGACACAGGGCATGGATACTGGGGAGAGAGGCTGAGCTTCACCTGCTGCTGAGACTGCTGGTGTGTGTGCTGTTTGTGTGTGTGTGTACATGTGTCTTTGTGTGCGTGTGTATGAGTGTGAGTTTTTGTGTAGTGTGTCTGAGTGTGTACCTGTGTGTGTAAGTTTGTGTGTCTCTGAGTTTGTGAGTGGTTATCTGTGTGTTGGTGTGTTAGTGGTACCTGCGTATGTGTGTCTTTGTATTTATGTATATGAGTGTGTGTCTGTGTTTTGTGTAGTATGTCTATGTGTCTCTCTGTGGGTGTGTGTGTATGTGTCTGTGTTTTTGTGTGTGCCTGGGTGAGCATGCATCTTTGTGTCTGTTGTGTCTGCATATGTGTGTGTGCATGTAAGTGTATGTTTGTATGAGTGTGTCTGCGTGAGAGTAAGTTTGTGTGTCTGTGTGTGAGTAGTGTGCGTCTGTGTGAGCATGTATGTGTATGTGTGCATTTGTATGAATGTGTGTAAATTTGTGTACATGTGTCTTTGCCTGTGTACGAGTGTGTATCTGTGTTTTGTGTAGTATGTCTTAGTATGTGCCTGTGTGTGTGTGTTTCTGTGTTTCTGAATAGTTTTCTGTGTGTGTGTGTCAGTGTGTTAATGGTATCTGTGGGAGTCTGTGTACATGTGTCTTTGTGTATGAGCATGTATGTGTATGTTTTGTGTAGTATGAGTGTGTCTCTGTGGTATGTATGTTATGTGTCTGTTTTTGTGTTTTTGTGTGTGCCTGTGTGAGCATGCATGTCTGTATGTGTGTATGTGCATGTAAGTGTATGATTCTATGAGTGTGTCTGTGTGTAAGTTTGTGTCTCTCTGAGTAGTATCTGTGTGTGTGTGTCTGAGCATATGTATGTGTATGTAAGTGTATTTGTATGAGTGTGTGTCTGTGTGAGTTGTATCTGTGTGTGTATGTAAATGTGCATTTGTATGAGTATGTGTGTGTCTGTGTGCATGTGTGTCTGTGTTGTATCTGTGTGTGTATGTAAATGTGCATTTGTATGAGTATGTGTGTGTCTGTGTGCATGTGTGTCTGTGTTGTATCTGTGTGTGTATGCAAATGTACATTTGTATCAGCATGTGTGTCTGTTGTATCTGTGTGTGTATGCAAATGTACATTTGTATCGGTATGTGTATGTCTCTGTGCATGAATGGTATCTGTGTGTACATGTATATTTAAGTGTGCATTTGTATGAGTGTATGTGTATCTGTGTGAATTGTATCTGTGTAAGTGTGCATTTGTATGAGTGTGTGTAAGTTTGTGTGTCCGTGTGTGAGTGATATCGGTGTCTGTGTGTGTTTGTGCGCATGAGGCATCTGTCCTTGCTGCTGTTGTAGTCTAGGTCTTGTGCCGTCTTTTCTCTGCCATTGTCCTCATCCAGGCTGCTCTCTTGACGACAACGGGGTTGAGTTTCCGATTGGACAGATCTGGTCGCCTGGTGACCCCTGTGAGTTATGCATCTGCCAGGTGAATGACAACCTGCTCGCCTTCAGCTGCTTTACCTGGCTGCCCCGCCTCACCCAGAGGAGACAAGCGTCCTGGCCCCTCCAGAGGCTGGCCTCAGGCTGGCCGCAGTCTCCCTCCGGTGCTGTCAAGTTCCACTTTCACAAAAAGGGTTGGACCGAGTTTATCCTGCTCTCAGTAGATGTGTGAGGACGATGGTGCTTGGCAGTTGGCCTTAAGAAGTGTGTATTGTTGGCCAGGTGCGGTGGCTCACGCCTGTAATCCCAGCACTTTGGGAGGCCGAGGTGGGTGGATCACAAGGTCAGGAGATCGAGACCATCCTGGCTAACATGGTGAAACCCTGTCTCTACTAAAAATACAAAATATTAGCCGAGCGTGGTGGTAGGTGCCTGTGGTCCCAGCTACTTGGGAGGCTGAGGCAGGAGAATCGTTTGAACCCGGGAGGAGGAGGTTGCAGTGAGCTGAGATCACGCCACTGCACCCCAGCCTGGCGACAAAGCAAGAAGGAGTCTCAAAAAAAAAGAAAAAAAAAGTGTGTATGGCCAAGAGTGGTGGCTCACGCCTATAATCCCAACATAGCTGAGGTGGGAAGATTGCTTGAGCCCAGGAATTTGAGACCAGCCTGGGCAACATGGTGAGACCCTGTCTCTACAAAAAAATACAAAAATTAGCTGCATGTAGTGACATGCCCCTGTGGTCCCAGCTACTTGGGAGGCTAAGGTGGGAGGATCGCTTCCTCAGCTCCTGAGGCTGACCCAGGAGGTCGAGGCTGCAGTGAGCCGTGATCACATCACTGCATTCCAGCCTGGGCAGAAGAGAAAGATCCTGTTTCAAAAAAAAAAAAAAAAAAAAGTGTGTGTAACACAGTGTGCATGTGCAGGGAGCTGCTGGCATGAGGAGTAAGAATTAGGAATCTTCATAGAAGGTTTTCCCCAGGCATGGATAACTGAGGGAGTGGGGTAGCCTGAGACCCAGTTGTTCAGGCTGTTTCTGTGAAATTGCAATGTTTTCTTCATGACTGCAAAACATGTGACCTCACCATTTCAGAAATGAGTAAGGAGGTGCATGAGTTTGAGTCAGATCAACAACAATGCAAACACAGCTATCCACCCAGAAATACAATTGTTTTAGCTCATTATTGAAGTACTAGTAATTGCAGTTTTTTACCATTACTTACAATGGCAGAAACCGCAATTACTTTTGCACCAATCTAATACATGCTGGCTTTCCTTTCTACTTTAAGAGCTTCGAGTCTTTTAGAGGTTTATTTCTCAAAATGAGGTCCCTTGCACCTGCGTTGGGAGCCCTGGTTAGACGTGCAGCCTTTCGAGGCCCTGCCCACACCTCTGCTCTCACAAACTGCATTTTAACCTCCAGGTGATTTGTGTGCACTTTCATGTGGGAGAAGCCCAGCCTTCTAGTGCCTTCGATGAGCCGTTTGTTAAAAAGCTGTAAGCTGGGCCGGGCGCGGTGGCTCACGCCTGTAATCCCAACGCTTTGGGAGGCCGAGGCAGGTGGATCATGAGGTCAGGAGATTGAGACCATCCTGGCTAACATGGTGAAACCCTGTCTCTACTAAAAATACAAAAAAAATTAGCTGGGCGTGGTGGCGGGCACCTGTAATCCCAGCTACTCGGGAGGCTGAGGCAGGAGAATGGCGTGAACCCGGGAGGCGGAGCTTGCAGTGAGTCAAGATAGAGCCACTGCACTCCAGTCTGGGCAAAAGAGTGAGACTCCGTCTCAAAAAAAAAAAAAAAAAATGCTGTAAGCTGAACACGTCTCATTGAAATTAGAGTTGGGAGGAAAGTCCTTCCTGTGCTGTCTTCTCCTTTATGACTGATTTCGGGCACCCATAATCAGTCACCAAGAGAGTGATACAAAAGGTTCAAACTGTCAGATTGTTTTTGTGTTTTTTTCTTTTAAAGAAAAAGAGGCCGGTTGCGGTGGCTCACACCTGTAATCCCAGCACTTTGGGAGGCCAAGGCAGGTGGATCATCTGAGGTCAGGAGTTCAAGACGAGCCTGACCAACATGGTGAAACCCCATCTCTACTAAATATACAAAAATTAGCCTGGCGTGGTGGCGCATGCTTGTAATCCCAGCTACTCGGGAGGCTGAGGCAGGAGAACCATTTAAGCCCGGGAGGTGGAGTTTGCAGTGAGCCAAGATTGCGCCATTGCACTCCAGCCTGGCAATAGAGTGAGACTCCGTCTTAAAAAGAAAAAAAAAAAAAGAAAGAAACCTTGTATGGCACTTTGGCTCTCTGAAATAGACACTTCTGGTGGCATTGTTTTTTCTAAAAATAGGGTTTTATGGTACTCTGTAGGTTCCTGGTGAGCCAGGGTTCCAGGGAAAAGCTGAGAAAGGATTTGGATGGTGGTGACGGTGCAGGCTTTGGCTGCTACAGGAAGCGGAGGAGACCAGAATCCCAACCCTGACCTTCCTTCTCCTTAAAGATGCATAGACTTCCTGGAAGGCTCACATGGCCTTTCTCAAGTAGCCGATCCTCTTTAGGGGAGACCTGCCATCTTCCAGCCGCGTCATGTTGCCTTTCAGGGCAAGCCTTGGCCAGTTTGCAGCGTTGCTGTTTCTTTTGCAGGGCGGGGAGGCAGGGGCCGGTGTCACCGGTGGGGTCTTGGTGAAGTTCCTCCTTCCTCCAGGCAGATGGCTCGGTGAGCTGCAAGAGGACAGACTGTGTGGACTCCTGCCCTCACCCGATCCGGATCCCTGGACAGTGCTGCCCAGACTGTTCAGCAGGTAATCCCCTGCCTCTGCCCCAAGCCCCCAGGGCAGGGCATCTCAGGCATCGGGCTCCTTAAGCCCTATACAGCCTTCATCTCATGTCGTCCTAACAACCCCAAGGGACAACCCCATTGCACAGATAAGGAAACTGAGGTAGAACAGTTTACCCAAGTCAGGCCCCCTCTGAGTGCTCGAGGCAGATCTGAAGACACGCAGGGCTTACGGTGCAGGTGGGTGGTACAGGAGCTGCACCTGTGAGACAATTGGAGAACAGCAGGAGGAGAGAAGTTTTAACAGTCATTTTTGCCTTTTAATAGTCATTTTTACCTTTTCCATGATTTCAGAAGTAATGTTTTATTATAGAAAATTTATCTTATTTTTTTGAGACAGAGCCTTGCTCTCTTACCCAGGCCGGAGTGCAGTGGCGTGATCTCAGCTCACTGCAACCTCCACCTCCCGGGTTCAAGTGATTCTCCTGCCTCAGCCTTCTGAGTAGCTGGGATCACAGGTGCCCACCACCATGCCTGGCTAATTTTTGTATTTTTAGTAGAGATGGGGTTTCACCATGTTGGCCAGGCTGGTCTCGATCTCCTAACCTCAGGTGATCTGCCTGCCTTGGCCTCCCAAAGTGCTGGGATTACAGGCATGAGCCAATGCACCCAGCTCCATTATAGAAAATTTAGAAAAAAAGTACAGAAAGCAAAAATAAAGAATATTAGCAAGGACCTATTAGCACTGTTAAATTTGTGTTTATGTCCTTCTAGTCTCTTTTTGTGATGCTCACACACATTTAGTAGATGTACATTATATATATAATATATATATAAACATACATATATTTATTTATTTTATTTTATTTTTTTAAAGCTTCCCCTACTGTCTCATCACCTGCTTTTACACTTAGCAGTATATGATAGTATCATCCAAGGTGGCATCACTCACATCAGGCTTCTGGGGCTGTCAGGAATCAGAGAGGGGAGTAGTGTTGGGGAATGTTCTGGACAGGCGGGGTTGGTGGTTTGAGTGAGTTTGGAGGGCAGAGAGGAGGTTGGGAAGATGCTGTGGGGCCTCACACACACCTCGTATTTCCCAGTTCTTCCACCTGATCCCCCCTGGTGAGGAGGTAGAGGATGAATCTCCCCACTCTTCAGGGTGAGGACACTGAGGCCAAGACACTTGATCCTTTTGCTGAATCCAGTGGGAAAAAAGTCAATACCCGATTCAGACAATCCAAACAGGCGTTTTGTCCCTTCCCTAACTCCCAGGGTGACTGCCTGGGGAGGCACATGGCCTCCCCTTTGCCATCCAGATAAGCCTGTGACCTTGGCCCTGGCGGGAAGCCTGGTGCCTGGCCACTCCCAGCTGGTGCTCAGCGCATGCTCTCTCTGGCAGGCTGCACCTACACAGGCAGAATCTTCTATAACAACGAGACCTTCCCGTCTGTGCTGGACCCATGTCTGAGCTGCATCTGCCTGGTATGGACCACCCAGATCTGACTCCCGCCCCTGGAAACTCCCCCACAACTGACATCGGCTCCTGAATCCCAGAGGCAAAATCCAGAGACCTCCAAGACAAGGGATGCTTCTGGTTCATGGTGGAAGTCAGCTCCCTCCAGTCCTGCCCAGGGTGACCCTTTAGACAGGGCCAGAGAAATTTTTTTTGTTTGTTTTTGAGATGGAGCCTTGTTCTGTCACCCAGGCTCCCAGGTTGGAGTGCAGTGGTGTGATCTTGGCTCACTGCAACCTCCGCTTCCCGAGTTCAAGCGATTCTCCTGTGTCAGCCTCCCAAGTAGCTGGGACCACAGGCATGCACCACCACGCCTGGCTAATTTTTGTATTTTTGGTAGAGACGGGATTTCGCCATGTTGGCCAGGCCGTTCCTGAACTCCTGACCTCAGGTGATCTGCCCACCTCAGCCTCCCAAAGTGTTGGGATTACAGGCATGAGCCACTATGCCCAGCCCAGAGAAATATTTTTAAACCTGGCTGGCAAAGTCCTCTGCTTCCGGGTTACCCCCTAGAGAGAGTCTTAGGGATTCTTGATGAGGGTGGAGGTGAAACGCACAAACCCAGAATCCAGTACTGGAACCTTTTCAGTAGACCCATGTGGTCAAGCTCTTGCAGTGTGCCACGCCCTTCATAGGCATGCACTCAGCTAATCCATTCAAGAGTTTATCATCTCATTCTTCTGGATGAGAAAACCAAGGCACAGAGAGAGTCTTTGCTCAGATCCCGTAACTAGTTAATCAAAGTACTGAGAATGGAACCCTAGTATTGTGATTCTGAGATGCATATTTCTTCTCCTGGGTCATACTGCCTCTCAGTCTGAAAAAGCATGTCCCATAGTATCATTTAGTTTTTGGAAAATGAAAAAAAAATTGTTTTTTTTTTGAGACAGGGTGTTGCTCTGTCACCCAGGTTGAAGTGCAGTAGCGTGATCTTGGCTCACTGCAACCTTGACCTCCTGGGCTCAAGCGATCCTCCTATGTCAGCCTCCCAAGTAGGTGGGATCACACCCAGCTGGGATTACCACCACACCTGGCTAATTAAAAAATTCTTTTCATAGAGATGGGGTCGTGTTGTATTGCTCAGGCTGGTATGGAACTTCTGGGCTCAGGCAATCCTCGCACCTTGGCCTCCCAAGGTTTGGGGATTACAGGCATGAGCCACTGCACCCAGCCAAAAATTTTGTTTTTAGCTTTTTTAAAAATGTAGCTAAAAAATTTTACATAAAAAAATACTGAGACAGGATCTTGCTCTGTTGCCTAGGCTGGTCTTGAATTCCTGGCCTCAAGTGATCCTCCTACCTCAGCTTCCCAAAGTGCTGGATTATAGGTGTGAGCCACTATGCCTGGATGAAAAAAATAATTATTTTATTTTATTTTTTTTTTTTTGAGACAGAGTCTCACTCTGTCGCCAGGCTGGAGTGCAGTGGCACAATCTTGGCTCACTGCAACCTCCGCCTCCCAGGTTCAAACGATTCTCCCGTCTCAGCCTCCTGAGTAGCTGGGATTACAGGTGCGCACCACCACGCCCAGCTAATTTTTGTGCTTTTAGTAGAGTCGGAGTTTTGCCATGTTGGCCAGGCTGGTCTCGAACTCCTGACCTCAAATGATCCTCCTGCCTCAGCCTCCCAAAATGTTGGGATTACAGGTGTGAGCCACCACTCCGGGTAAAAAAATTCTTCATGCTTAGCATGCTGACGCCCTGAATGCGGGATGACGCTGCTTTGCTGGTGTGGGTGCAGATGCGGTATTTCTTTGGTGATCAGTGAGCCTCAGCAGAGTACATGCGTGACAAGGGACACGGTCTGCAGAAAGATTGAGAAACTCACGGTAAACAGCCCTGAGCTACTTACCCTGAGTGACCCACTGCACGTAGGCCCTAGTTGTTCTCAGCCTCGGGCTTTGGGGAACTTTGGCCCCTGGATCTTTCTCTATCGGGTTTTGGTGCTTATCTTTTCTGGGCAGTTTATGCAACAGGCACCCGTTAACAGATGCCCTCCGTGGACAAGTCCATGTTCTTACCTTCGAGGGGCTTGAATTCTAGTGGGAAGTTGGACCCCAACAGAGAAAATGCGCCCCCTGCCCCACTGCCCCACCATGGACTCCTCCCACAATGTTGATTGTTCTGATGGACACTCAGTGGCTATAGGAGCGGCATCTTCCTGAGTGTCTTGTCAGCTGCCCTGAACCGAGGGCCTTGTGTGTTTTCTGTGTCCTGCAGCTGGGCTCAGTGGCCTGTTCCCCCGTGGACTGCCCCATCACCTGTACCTACCCTTTCCACCCTGACGGGGAGTGCTGCCCCGTGTGCCGAGGTGAGTGGGACCAGCTGCCCCACGTGCCAGGTTCCCGGCCAGGCCTCGGCTCTCATGGGCTCCTGTCTCCCCTTCCTCCACAGACTGCAACTACGAGGGAAGGAAGGTGGCGAATGGCCAGGTGTTCACCTTGGATGATGAACCCTGCACCCGGTGCACGTGCCAGGTGAGCTGGGCCTGGGAACCCAGGAGCGGCCCCGCCAGAGGGCAGCTTCTTGCCTTTTGTCCCTTTGCAAAACATGGAGCCCTTTAGCCAGCATAAATCCATCCTCCTGCCATCCTCCGCCTTTAATTAACTGCCAGAATATCTTTGGTTTTGACCATCTCCTCCCTCTGTGGAAGTCCAGAGGGAGAAGTGGTTTCCCAAAGGGGGTCCTGCCATAGCTGGCTTTACCTGTTCTCCAGGCGAGGGCTCAGGCACTGCAGCCTCTGTCCTGGGATCTTTCCGTGGGTCCTGCTGCTGGTGCAAGAGGCCCTTGAGGGCACTGCCCAGGGCAGGCAAGATGCTCTGGGCTTCCTCATGGGGTTCCTTCTGCTTCCCCAGCTGGGAGAGGTGAGCTGTGAGAAGGTTCCCTGCCAGCGGGCCTGTGCCGACCCTGCCCTGCTTCCTGGGGACTGCTGCTCTTCCTGTCCAGGTAAGTGGGTCTCTGGGTCCTGGAGTTTCTCCGCCATCTTCTTCCATTTTACTTTTCTTCCCCGGTACATAGAACTTGTAAAGGGCTGGATAAGAGAAAGCCATGTTCAGAGAGGGAACACGGCTCGCGCAAGGTTGTACAGCTGTGCTGTGGCCTGCTGACCCTCATCCCGTGCTCATGATGCCACACACCATGATGTCTGTTTATTTGCACTCCCTTTTTCTTCTTCTTCTGCTTTTTTTTTTTTTTTTTTTTTTTTTTGAGACTGAGTCTCCCTCTGTCACCCAGGCTGGAGTGCAATGGCGCTATCTCACCTCACTGCAAGCTCCGCCTCCCGGGTTCACGCCATTCTCCTGCCTCAGCCTCCGGAGTAGCTGGGACTACAGGTGCCTGCCACTACGCCTGGCTAATTTTTTTGTATTTTTAGTAGAGATGGGGTTTCACCGTGTTAGCCAGGATGGTCTCGATCTCCTCACCTCGTGATCCGCCCGCCTCAGCCTCCCAAAGTGCTGGGATTACAGGCGTGAGCCACTGCGCCCGGCCTGCACTCCCTTTTTCTTCTTTATCCCCTTTCTTAACCTCTTCCTATGCTTTCTTCTTTATTTTAAATTACAACATGGGAACTGAGTCCGTTTTGCAGAAGAGTAATCTCTAATATGTGTTGAGCACCCACGGTGTGCCGGGACACCTCATGTGTCTACACCCCTGCAATACTCTTGTCATCCTCCTGTGCCAGGTGAGAAAACAGGCCCAGGCAGGTGAAGTGCTGTGCTCAAGATCACATAGCTGATTGGTAGTAGAGCCAGGGTTTCAGACTGGAGTCGATGCTTTTAGATAGGACAGTGGATTGATTCCCAAGAACTGACGCCACTGAACTCCAGCCTGGGCCACAGAGAGACACTGTCTCTAAACAACACAAAACACAACACAACACATATTTCTCCTGTCTAGCTGAGATTGTGTACCCTTTGACAATCATCTCCCCATTCCCCTCGCCCCTGCCAGCCTTCGTAACCACGATTCTATTCTCTGCTTCTTTGGCTTCAACCTTTTTAGATTCCACATAAAACTGAGATTTTGCAATAGTTGTCTTTGTGTGTCTGGCTTATTTCGCTTAGCATAATGTCCTCCAGTTTCATCCATGTTGTTGCAAATGACAGAATTTCCTTTTTTTTTTTTTTTTGAGGATTCTCACTCTGTCACCCAGGCTGGAGTGCAGTGGCGCGATCTCAGCTCACTGCAACCTTTGCCTCCCAGGTTCAAGTGGTTCTCTTGCCTCAGCCTCCTGAGTAGCTGGGATTATAGGCGCACACCACCATGCCCGGCTAATTTTTGTATTTTTAGTAGAGACAAGGTTTCGCCATGTTCGTCAGGCTGTTCTCGAACTTCTGACCTCAAGTGATCCACCCACCTCGGCCTCCCAAGGCACTGGGATTACAGGCGTGAGCCTGTAATTTCCTTCTTTTAAAAGGCTAAATAGTATTCCATTCTGGATAAAGAAATGTGGTATATGCACACAATGAAGTACTATTGATGGATGCTTAGGTTGGTTCCATAGCTTGGCTATTGTGAATAGTGTCACAGTGAACACAGGACTGCAGCTCTCTTCCCCAAACTGACTTTAAATCTTTTGGATAAATACTCAGCAGTGGGATTGCTGGATCTATTTTATGTTTTTTAAACTTCTAGGAAGACAGGGAATTTTTTTCACTGATGGTGGCCTGAATTCCCTTTTTTATAAAATATTTGTTTAACTCCTTTGACCTTTTGAAGAGTATGTTCTGTTTTCGGGGGCAGCTCTTCAGATCTGTGGATGATGAGCTTTTAGGGCGGGTGGCGCCAGGAATATCCATTGAGCCTTCAAATCCATCATGTTGGGGACATTATAGATTGTACTTCATTGTAACCACCACAAACCTCTCTGCATGCTAGTGGATATTAGTCCCCTGACTGTCTAGAGACTGATTGCTAGCTAATGTGCCAGGCAGCATACTGAGCATTTTATACCTTATTTAAATGTATTACCTCATTTAAATGTTCATGGAGTGTTCCAGCGTGGCTGCTATGTTATCTCCATTTTGCAGGTGGGGAAATGGAGGCTCAAAGAAGTTAAGTTTCTAGTTGGTGTGTAAGACTTAAGCCTAGGTCTCTCTTATTTCCTATCCTGTCCTCTTTCCCACCGTGCCCTCCTACCTCCACCTGGGGAAACTGAGACCCAAAGAGGTGACCTCCAGGTCTGGCGTGGTGGCTCACGCCTGTAATCCCAGCACTTTGGGAGGCTGATGTGGGTGGATCGCCTGAGGCCAGGAGTTTGAGACCAGCCTGTCCAACATGGTGAAACCCTGTCTCTACTAAAAATAGAAAAATTAGCCGGGCATGTTGGTGCACACCTGTAATCTCAGCTATTTGGGAGGCTGAGGCAGGAGAATTGCTTGAACCTGGGAGATGGAGGTTGCAGTGAGCTGAGACTGCGCCCTGCCCTCCAGCCTGGGCAACAGAGCAAGACTCTGTCTCAAACAAAAACAAAAACCAAGAGGTAACCTCCAGAGCCCAGCTCCTTCTCCTGAAGCACACTATGTTTACCACCTACCTCTTATTAACAAGAGCTCCCTTTAAGGAAAAACAACTTTTTATTGAAGTAGAATATGAATTGCTTTCTTTTGATGATTTTTTTTTTTTTTTGAGACAGGGTCTCACTCTGTTGCCCAGGCTGGAGTGCAGTGGTGCGATCACAGCTCACTGCAGCCTCGACCCCTGGGCTCAAGCAATCCTCCTACTTCAGTCTCACAGGTAGCTGGGACTACAGGTGCATGCCACCCTGCCTGGCTAATTTTTTGTTTCTATTTTTGTTTTATTTCCAAGCCCATGAAGTGATAAACACTTGGTTAATTTTTTTACTTTTTTTTTTTTAGAGACAAGGTCTTGCTATGTTGCCCAGGCTGGTCCCAACTCCTGGACTCAAGCAATCGTCCCGCCTTGGCCTCCCAAACTGTTGAGATTACAGGCATGAGCCACTGAGCCCAGCCTCTTTTGATGATTTTTTTAAAAGTATAACAGCTTTCTAAAGATAAAGTTCATATGTCATACAATTCACACATTTAAAGTGTATGATTCAGTCATTTTAAGCATATTTTTAGAGTTACGCAACCATCTATTAATATGAATAGTTGATTTTTAAAATATAATCATTCCAGTTTTTTATGTGCTTGACAACGTCTGATTTTTCCTTGATCATACCTTCGATACTCTTTCTTCTTTTTTTTTTTTGAGATGGAGTCTCTCTCTGTTGTCCAGGCTGGAGTGCAGTGGCATGATCTTGGCTCACTGCAACCTCCACCTCCCGGTTTCCAGCAACTCTCCTGCCTCAGCCTACCAAGTGGCTGGACTACAGGCACCACCATACCTTGCTAATTTTTGTATTTTTAGTAGAGATGGAGTTTCACCATGTTGGCCAGGATGGTCTCAAGCTCCTGACCTCAAGTGATCTGTCCACCATGGCCTCCCAAAATGCTGGGATTATGGGCATGAGCCACTGCGCCTGGGCCGATACTTTTTCTTTTTTTGCTTCTTCACTCTTCATTTTCTTTTTGCTGAGCTTCTTCCTTCTTTCACAGATGATTCCTGACTTTCTGGTGGTTTATCTTAATGATTTTTTGACTTTACAATGATGTGAAACCATCAAAATTTTGCTGTATTTTGTATTTTGAATTTTGATCTTTTCCTGGGTTATCAATATGTGACACATGGATATTCAGCACTTTATTAAAAAATAGGGATTTACTTAGATGATTTTGCCCAACTGTGGGCCAGTATAAGGGTTCTGAACACGTGTAAGGTCAGCCAGGGTAAGCTGTGGTGTTCAGGAAGTGAGCTGTATTAAATGCATTTTTGCTGGGCACCGTGGATCACACTTATAACCCCGGCACTTTGGGAGGCTAAGGCAGGAGGATCACTTGAGCTCAGGAGTTTGAGACCAGCCTGGGTAACAAAGTAGGATCCTGTCTCTACAAAAATAAAATAGAACAGAACAGAACAGAACAGAACAGAATGCCAGGTGTGGTAGCATGTGACTGTGGCCCCAGCAAGTAGGACAGCCGAGATGGGAGGATCGCTTGAGCCCAGGAGGTTGAGGGTACAGTGAGCCATGTTTGCACCACTGCACTCCAGCCTGGACAAGTGAGTGAGAACCTGTCCCCCCCACCCCAAAAAAAAGCCTTTTTTTAAATTTTGGTGAAACGGAGTCCTGCTCTGTCTCCCAGGCTGGAGTGCAGTGGCACGATCTCAGCTCACTGCAACCTCTGCCACCTGGGTTCAAGTGATTCTCGCGCCTCAGCCTCCCGAGTAGCTGGGACTACAGGCACGCGCCACCACGTCCGGTTAAGTTTTGTATTTTTAGTAGAGATGGGGTTTCACCATGTTGACCAGGCTGGTTTTGAACTCCTGACCTCAGGTGATCCGCCGCCTCGGCTTCTCAAAGTGTTGGGATTACAGGCGTGAGCCACTGCGCTTGGTCAGAAATGCATTTTTGATTTACAGGTTTATTGGGACGTGACCCCATCGTAAGTCAAGGAGCATCTGTGTTTATTTTCTCCTTGTGTACTGAGCCTTTATGATATGCCAGGCCCTAGGCTGAGACTTTTTAAAAAATTCTTCAAAGAAACTATTTTTTAGAGCAGTTTGATGATCATGGCAAAATTGAGTGGAAAGTACAGAGAGTTCCCATATGCCTCAGACTCCACATGATACAGCGTTGCCCCCTATTAGCACCCCATACCAGCGTGGCATGTTTGTTATAATCGGTGATCCTACACTGACACTGACATGTCATTGACATCCAATGTCTATAGTTCACATTGAGGTTTAGGCTGAGACTCTCCGTGCACCCTTTCATTCACACTCAGTCCTTACTGCTGTGCCCATTTTACAGATGAGGAAACAGAGGCCCAGGAGAGTTGCATGCCTTGCGTGAGGTCACACAGCTAACTGCCTGCCTCCCTCCGTTCATGGCTCCTTCAGTCTTCCCTTCCTGGAGGCAGGAGCTGGCTGGTCCTCACCAGGTGTGCTGAGGCCCCTCTGAGGACAGAGCTTGGGTGTCCCTGGTATACCTTGTCCCAGAGCCACCTTGGCCACTGGAGAGAGCCATTGTGCATCTCGTTTCACCCTCGTCTCTCTAGATTCCCTGTCTCCTCTGGAAGAAAAGCAGGGGCTCTCCCCTCACGGAAATGTGGCATTCAGCAAAGCTGGTCGGAGCCTGCATGGAGACACTGAGGCCCCTGTCAACTGTAGCTCCTGTCCTGGGCCCCCGACAGCATCACCCTCGAGGCCGGTGCTTCATCTCCTCCAGCTCCTTTTAAGAACGAACTTGATGAAAACACAGACTTTACCTACAAGCCCGGCAGGAGCTCATGGTCCACACTCACTCGCTTTGGGGCTGACAGCCACTTTCCCAGGGGAGCCTGGGGCCTCCCCTCGACTCTCACCAGGGCCTTCGACCCCTCCAGGAGCCCCCACTCTACCTCTAGCTTCCCCAGGGGCTCCTCAGCCACCTCCTGTGACTCCAGAGCGCTCGTTCTCAGCCTCTGGGGCCCAGATAGTGTCCAGGTGGCCTCCTCTGCCTGGCACCCTCCTGACGGAAGCTTCAGCACTTTCCATGATGGACCCCAGCCCCTCGAAGACCCCCATCACCCTCCTCGGGCCTCGCGTGCTTTCTCCCACCACCTCTAGACTCTCCACAGCCCTTGCAGCCACCACCCACCCTGGCCCCCAGCAGCCCCCAGTGGGGGCTTCTCGGGGGGAAGAGTCCACCATGTAAGGAGGTCACTGTGTCCGGGAGACTCTGGAGAGAGGACCTCTGCCAGTGGCCCAGGGTGTGTGCAGGGCAGCTCCAAGGATGAACCTGGTGGGGATGCCTGGGCTCCCTCCTGCAGGGGCCCTGGTGAGGATGGAAGACCCCCAAGGCTGGATGTAACCTTGTTCCCAAGAAGTGTTTGGAATGTGCTGTAAGAATGGAGGAAGTCGTTTCCACTGTCAGCATCCTCCCTGGACCGCGTGGCTGGCTCATCTTTTGAGAAGGGTTGGGACTGCCAAGTTCTCCTGGAGGAAGAGTTGCGTCCGGCTGGGATTCCACTCACTGGGACTGTACCGCCAGGTGTCATGCGTCTCTCTGAGGTTTCCTGATTAAAGGTTGTCTCGGTTTCCCCATGCTGCACTGCTCATTCACCGCTTACCTGTGGGAAGGTGGGAAACGTGACCCCAAGCCCACAGGTGGTAAGTGAGCATCCACCTTTACCCCACTGCTGGGGAGAAAAGCTGGCACCAAATTGTGACTGGGCTGGGGAAGGGTCTCCTGTAAGCACTTGGCGGCCTTTTATATTGGGAGACTTCTTTTTATTTTTTTCCCCAAGATCATGATTTTCTTTTCTGTTTTCTTTTTTCTTTTTTTCACTTTTATTTTAAGTTCAGGGGTACATGTGCAGGTTTATTATATAGTTAAACTCGTGTCACAGGGGTTTGTCATACAGATTATATTATTTCATCACCCAGGGATTAAGCTTAGTACCCATTAGTTATTTTTCCTAAGTCTCTCCCTCTACCCTCCCTCCACCCTTCCATAGACCCCAGTGTGTGCTTTTCGTGTCTATGTGTCCATGTGTTCTCATCATTTAGCTCCCACTTACAAATGAGAACATGCGGTATTTGGTTTTCTCTTCCTGCGTAACTTTGCTAAGGATGATGGCCTCCAGCTCCATTCATGTTCCTGCAAAGGACATTATCTCATTCTTTTTTATGGCTGCATAGTATGTACACCATGGAATACCATACAGACACTGGGGGGCTTCCACAGTGAGAAGGGAAAAGATGATGGAGAGGACTTGCTTCTGGGAAGGAACCTCTGAGACGAAATGACAGACCAGCAGTTTCTTTTTTGAGATGGAGTTTCGCTCTTGTTGCCCAGGCTAGAGTGCAATGGCAAGGTCTTGGCTCACTGCAACCTCTGCCTCCTGGGTTCAAGCGGCTCTCCTGCCTCAGCCTCCTGAGTATCTGGGATTACAGGTGCCCGCCACCACACCTGACTAATTTTTTGTATTTTTAGTAGAGTTGGGGTTTCACCATGTTGGCTAGGCTGGTCTCGAACTCCTGACCTCAGGTGATCTGCCCACCTTGGGCTCCCAGAGTGCTGGGATGACAGGCCTGAGCCACCGCGCCGGGCCGGGCCAGCAGTTTCTTAAGACGTGTTTTCAGCAGGAACACCTGTGGGCAGCGGGGAAGGAGCAGGGAGGGAGAGTTGGGGCTGCTGGGCCTTCTCGAAGCCTCAGCCAGCCCCCTCTGGGAGCTCTGGGGTTAGGCTGGCCCTTCGGAGCTGTCCTGAGCTGGAGCTACGGGGCAGGGCTTTCTGCCTCATATTGACCAGAGAGCTGCTATCAACCACCTTCCCAGCAGCTGGGAGACTGATCCTTCAGTCCTAGTGGGGGGATCTGGGCAGTGTAGCACAGTGTGCATGAGAGACGGAAAGAGGACAGTGCCGTCATGAATGGGGGGATGCGGATTTGTGATAAGGGAAGTGATGTGGGGCTGGAAAGCAGAAGCTGCTCTGTCACCAAGTCACCACTTGCTACCATTTTTTTTTTTTTGAGACAGGATGTTGCCCTGTCATCCAGGCTGGAGTGTAGTGGCATGATCACGGCTCATTGCAGCCTCAACCTCATGGGCTCAAGCCTTCCTCCCACCCCAGCTTCCCGGGTGGGTGGGATTAGAGGCACATGCCACCACGCCTGTCTAACTTTTAAAAAAATTTTGTAGAAATAGGGTCTCGCTGTGTTGCCCAGACTGGTCTTGAACTCCTAGGCTCAAGCGATCCTCCCACTTCAGCCTCCCTGAGTACTGGGATTACGGGCCTGCAGCCCCACACTTGCTACCACTGAAACCCATGGAGGCTGCGGAGTGAAAGCACCCCCGGGCATGGCCCATCGCTTTGCCGAGGCCGCCCTCTTCTGAGCCCTTCTCTGACCTGCTACTCACTCTGTGTCCCAGGGCGAAGGGTCTGCTGAAGTGTTTCCTGGCTGCAAAGGCAACCTGGTATCCAGTCCAGACGACAGTGTAGTCCTGGCCTCTAACCTGCGGCTGGTGGCAGGAATAATAAATGTGGGAGATAGGAGCATGGAAACCAAACAGTTTAGAGAGGCAAAGGACTTAGAGGCCGTTTTGTCCAGTAAGATACAAAGGGTCATGGTCATGAGCGGGGTCTGCAGCCAATGAATCTCAAGTTGGAGCCTTGCTCAGCTGGACTAGCTGTGGGATATTAGGTCTCTGCTCCCTTATTATTATTATTTTTTGAGACAGAGTCTTGCTTTGTCACCCAGCCTGGAGTGCAGTGACATGATCTCGGCTCACTGCAACCTCCACCTCCCAGGTTCAAGCGATTCTCCTGCCTCAGCCTCCCGAGTAGCTGGGATTACAGGCACACGCCACCATGCCCAGCTAGTTTTTGTATTTTTTGTAGAGATGGGGTTTCGCCACGTTGGCCAGGCTGGTCTCAAACTGACCTCAGGTGATCTGCCTGCCTCGGCCTCCCAAAGTGCTGGGATTACAAGCATGAACCACCGCGCCAGGCCTCTGCTCCCTTATTTGGACAATGGGGATAATAACAGGCCTACTTTATGGAGTTGTGACAATGACGTGTGATAATGCCTCCATAAGTCTCAGTGGTTTGCACTTGTGGCCCTGTGGCCCCTAAACTTGCTACAGCCCACCCGGCTTGGTGATGCCACGTGGGGTCTGATTTCAGGATAAAAGCGTAGAATTCTCATTGCCCCCATGCTGCAACTTTTCAAACAAGTCCATCTGTCAAAATGGTAGTGGCTAAAAATTAGTGCCAATTTCCTCATTGCTGTTCCTTTATGCAATAAGTTAGCATGCAATTTAAGTTTAATACTAGTCCCCCCCACCTGCCTCTGCAAATAGGACTCATGTCAATGATGTTCATTTTGAATGTTTAAAAAAAAGGAGTCCGGGTGTGGTGGCTCATGCCTGTAATCCCAGCATTTTGGAAAGCTGAGGTGGGCGGATCACGAGGTCAGGAATTCAAGACCAGCATGACCAATATGGTGAAACCCCATCTTTACTAAAAATACAAAAATTAGCCAAGCGTGATGGTATGTGCCGATAGTCCCAGCTACTCAGGAGGCTGAGGCAGGAGAATCGCTTGAACCTGGGAAGCAGAGGTTGCAGTGAACCAAGATCGCACCACTGCACTCAGAGCCTGGGTGACAGAGCGAGACTCCATCTCAAAAAAAAAAAAAGATTGGTTGGGGGTGGGGCAGGGGGACAGCTGTAAACACTTTTCCCAAGTTTTTCCGAGTATAAAAACATGTTTAACTGGACTGTTCCCCACCCAATATTACAGCTGAGAAGCAGAGGCTCAGAGAAGTTAGGAGAGTGTTCTAAGGCTGCACAGATTATGACGGCTGAATGGGAAGACAGCCTCATTCGTCTGACTCCCAGTCCAGGTGTTTTTCCTTCGCTTCACATTTCACCTGATGAGGTTCTCCTGTTGGTGTTTGGAGAGACAGCTGATGGCCCACAGTTTAGGAGGGGCCCTGTGAACACTATTTTAGTTTGGGTTCCCCCTAAAGCAGACCCAGAGATAGTATTCGGGTGAGAGCCAAGAGAAAAAGACCAATCAAGGGGCATTGATGAGCCGGTTGCAGCTATGGGCAATTGGCACTTTGTCCTAGGGACCTTCTGGAAGACTGTGGAGCCCATGCCTTGCCTGAGGATTGTCCCCCAAGGGTGTGAAGATGCACCAGTAGTTGTCCCTCAACTTTCGTCCCTCACTGGTCGAGCCTTGTCCTGGGCTTTTGGCTCTCTAGCACACCCTGCTGGCCTTGCCATAGTACTGAGCCTGCCTTTCTGCTTGTCCCCAGGCACCAGAAGGCTCTTGGGGCAGAGGTGCAGGAGCCATGGGTGGAGGGCTGGGTCAGGGCTCTCACTGGGCCATGTAAGCACATGTTCTGTGCACGGTAAACCGCAGTGCACCAGGAGGCAGGAGTCCACCTGAAGCCCCCAGCGGGGCGCGCAGTGCCTTTAATGGGATAAGCTGCTCTGAATTCTCGGGAGCCTGTGCTCCAACAAGCAAGGGAGTGTTTGTTCTTGGATGGAGACACCTTGCATTTTTCCTGAGCTAGGATTCCACTTTTAGGGTTCTGAGAAACAGAACAGAATGGGGGTGTGTCGGAAGCTTATTCTGTGGCCTCAGTTTCCCTTGCACCTGGCAGCTTCTCAAAGGGCAGAATGATCAGACCTGTTTCAAGAGACCTGATTTTAAAGGTTATTAGATGCATGGCCTGAAGGCAAGTCACGGTAGGTTTCTAAGTAGGACAAACTTACAGAGGCTCAAAATCGCTGTAATTCACTTTTTTTTTTTTTTAACTTACCCTCTTTTTAAGATCTTTCCGAGGCTGGGAGTGGTGGCTCACATCTGTAATCTCAGCACTTTGGGAGGCCGAGGTGGGTGGATCATGAGGTCAGGAGTTCCAGACCAGCCTGGCCAACATGGTGAAATCCCGTCTCTACTAAAAATACAAAAATTAGCTGGTGTGGTGGCAGGTGCCTGTAATCCCAGCTATTCAGGAGGCTGAGGCGGGAGAATTGCTTGAACCCGGGAGGCCGAAATTGCAGTGAGCTGAGATCATGCCACTGCACTCCAGCCTGGGAGACAGAGCAAGACTCCGTCTTAAAAAAAAAAAGGTCTTTCCATCTTAGCACCCAGTGAGCACATTTGCTTCTTCCTTTTACAGCTGTATATTGTGTGGATGCACCATAAGTTGTTGAACCAACTCCTGTGGATGCACTTTTGGGTCATTTCAAATCTTGCTTTTCCACATGATGCTACAAAAAATCATGTCCTTACATCGCTTTGCACATCTACTAGTGTATCTTTAAGGTAAATTTTCAGAAGGGAAGTTACTGAGCCATATGCTTTTTTTTCTTTCAGACGGAGTTTCACTCTTGTTGCCCAGGCTGGAGGGCAGTGGTGTGATCTTGGCTCACTGCAACCTCCACCTTCCAGGTTCAAGCAATTCTCCTGCCTCAGCCTCCCAAGTAGCTGGGATTACAGACATGGGTCACCACACCCGGCCAATTTTGTATTTTTAGTAGAGATGGGGTTTCACCATGTTGGCCTGGCTGGTCTCAAACTCCTAACCTCAGCTGATCTGCCTGCCTTGGCCTCCCAAAGTGCTGGGATTGCAGGCATAAGCCACCACACACGGCTGGGAAGTGACATTTAAGCCACGTCTGCAGATGCTAGGTGTTAGCTAGTCAAGAAAGAGGGAAAAGCAACCCAGGCAAAGGGAACAGCATGTGCAAAGTCTGGAGGTGGGAAGAACACATGGGCTTTTGTGGCCGTGGGAGGCCAGGGTGGACGGAGCTCAGGGTAACGGGATCAGAGTGAAGCAGGGAAGGTTTGGAGGGAAAGGAGCACACAGGACCTGGAACTATGCCAAAGATTTGCTGTTTTATTCCAACGGCAATGGCAAGAAGGCATTAAGAGTTTAAAGCAAGGAAGGGATGAGATGAAATTTATGTTTCCTAAAGTTTATTCAGCTATGGAAAATGGGCTTGGGAGGGTGAGAGTGACCCTGGGGAGACTGGGTGTTGGAGCTCACCCCCGCCCTTCCTAGAGCCCAGCTCCAGCCTCTGGGTTTGTGTCTTCAGCAGACAGCCTAGGTCGGCTGTCACCAGAAGCAGGAGCTATGGGAATTTTCCCAGCATGCATGCCGGGGAGCCCAGGGCTGTAATAGACTTACTAGCAAGAGAGAGTCTGAGATGAAGCTCAGCTGAGTAAAAAAGAAACAGATCACTTTGCAGCAGGACTTGTCAGAGCTTTTGATTGGGAACTGTAGCTGGTGAACCCTGGGGAAGGGCCTAGAATGTAGCATGTTCTATACTTATTCTGAAACTGTGTTTTCCATTGAACATTTTGCTACCAAGCCCAGTCTGAGAAACTGCTCCATTTCCTCTTTGCCTTTCTAGGGCATATATGCTAATGAACATGCTTAATTCTCTGTCTCACAACCTCTGCTCAGGGAAGTGGAAGACCTTTCTCTTTGGTTACAGATGGGGAAACAGATGGATTCAGTGTCTTATGCCTGGGACTTGGGGGAGATTAACTGTTAGTCTTGGTAGCCAGCGAATCACAAGGGCATCCTATAAGATTGTGGGGTGTCAGCTTCTTCCACTTCTCTTGTCCATGTCTTGCAGACAACACTGCCCTGTCCTATCTACTTAGGGACATCACCATTAGTGTCCGCCTTTCCTGACTCTCCTGATTGCTTTCCTTTCCTCATGAGCTCTTTTTTTTTTTTTTTTTTTGAGATGGAGTCTCGCTCTGTCGCCCAGGCTGGAGTGCAATGGTGCGATCTCAGCTCACTGCAACCTCTGCCTTCCAGATTCAAGCGCTTCTCCTGCCTCAGCCTCCCGAGTAGCTGGGATTACAGGCACACACCACCATGTCCAGCTAATTTTTACATTTTTAGTGGAGACAGGGTTTCACTGTGTTGGCCAGGCTTGTCTCAAACTCCTGACCTCAGGTGACCTGTCCGCCTCAGCCTCCCAAAGTGCTGGGATTACAGGTGTGAGCCACTGTGCCCAGCCTTCTCATGATCTCTTATTGGCTTTGGGAGAAAGAAGAAGTTGACTCCCTCAACTAAGAGCTTCAGTGCCCTATTTTTTTTTTCTTTGAGCTGGAGTCTCTCTGTGTCGCCCAGGATAGAGTACAATGGCAGGATCTCAGCTCTGTGTCCCTTCTATGAGAAGACAATTAGCTCAGTATTTTGGCCCCCAGGTCTTTTTATGATGCTTCCAGCACAACCCCCTGAAGCCTCTCTGTCTTCCTGGCTCCATCATGAAGTGTCAGCTGCTGGGGTCACTATGTTGGGTGCCATCCAAGTGGATGTGGTCATTTTCATCCCTGCCCTGGCGTTCTAACCCCAGTAATGTGAAGGAAAAAGACCAGCAAAGAGAAGCAGCTCCACAAAACCTGTTTCAGTGGGTTATGTTTTTATTCTACGTTATTGGTAGGACAGGGAACAGGGCCAAGACCTTCACACTCCCCTGGGAAGAACAGTCAGGAGAATTAGATACATCTAAAGTGGGCATAGGACGGAGGCCAGATCTTCCTGGGAGGTGGCTGAAGAGACTTAGGCTTAAGCCACAGGGGCCAGGCCGACCTGGTTGTTTGCCCTGTCGAAGACGGTAAAGTACTGGCGGATGAAGACATCACCCAGGATCCAAAGCTCTCCAGATTCGGTGGGGACGTTCATGCCCTGGAAGCCACTGATGCAGCTCCCCTCGCTCTGGAGAAAAGGAGAATAAAAGTGGAGCTGGGACACCGATTCAGCCGTGATAGGCGCTGGGTGATAAACATCCAGGGAGCCCTGGTCCAGCTGTAAGGCACGTGCAAGGAGGAGCTTCCTGGCTCAGTGTCCAGGGATTCGGCTGTTCTTGGCCTGGAGTCAGCCTGTAGAAGCCATCCAATGCACGACTGGTTTCTACGCATTACTGGACATTATCTGGTGTTTCTGGCAGGCACACGAACCCTGACATCAGCATCGGTGCTAAGGGGCTTAGGTAGAATTCAGCTGCTAGGAAGGAGTTTAAAAACCCTGCCACTACATCCTTTTCTCATTATTATTCTTATCTCATCAGGGACAAACCAGATGAGCTATTAGCCCTCTTGCCTCACTAAGTCACTGGGCTGCGACCTTGTCTGCACATCACCTGGGGAGCTTTGAACCCCCGCAGCCCCATCCCATTGCTCAGGCCTTGCCCTCTCCTAATGTAATCAGAATCAGTGGGGGAGCCCAGGCATCAGTGCTTCTTGTTGAATAACTTGAGTCCACTGGCAAAATTAGTTTTCCACCTGACGTTATAATAACAGAAGGGAAAGAGTTTTCTTGTGGCTCGTATAGCTAAAGATTTGCTACTTGGTAGAGATGGTAGAAGTGTTGGAAGCCCCAGCCTATGGAAATTAGGATTTCCATTTGCCCAACCCTTGGTAGCTCTGATGTGATCAGTCTCACTTGGTTGACCTAACCGCACTCTGAGGGTGGGGAAAGCTGCCATCTCTACCTTTTGGATGCGAAAACTGAGGGTGAGATGAGCTGTAGCTTGTTCAGAATCAATGGGCTAGTAATTCAGACCCAGGACTTGGACGCAGGGGTCCAAATAGAATCCTCTTTTCACTCCATTAACCTTTGCTTCACTTGTTCCCTTAGGGGGCTGTATCCGAGTTCTTATTCCTGCATTTGTTTTTAATATATTCTTTTTCTCTGGAGGCTGTCTAGGGCAGATGTTCGTCTGCCTCTGCCTGCTGGCTTCAGCTCGTGGAAGTGTACTTTCCCTCTGCAGAAGGGGACTCTGTGTCCACATTCTGTGTGAACCTCTCTAGTGGATGGTCCAGAGCCTCCTCACCTGCAGGATGTAGGCACTGGGTGGCACGGGGTACTGGACTCCATTGATGGTGAAGACGATGTCGGGCAGGCTGCTGATGGCTGAGCAGCTGACCACCATCTGGAAAGAGTGAGGGTGAGAAAAGTTAGAAGGGTTTTCGTCGCTTCTGCCTGGCACACCCACTACTTGAGTGTAGAACAGGGCAGTCGGGGCTGGACTCACGTCGCCATCTGAGTTCTCGCTGGCTCCGATGTCGCTCTGGATGTTGGCAATGGGGCTGGTTGGGCCGGTCAGCAGAGAGGTGCCGGTGTCAACAATGGCCTGGCAGCCCTCAGCACAGGCGATGGTCTCTCCGTTCATGGTGATGCTGAGGGTAAGAAGCAAGTTAAGCTCCCTGAGCCCTCAGGGGTTCATCTCTCCAAGGAGGAACCAGGAGGTGAGCCCAGACATTCCTTCCCCACCCATCCATTGGCCAATGCGTGAAATTTCTGTTCCTCTCGTTCACGCACTCATTCATCCCGCATTCATTTACCCTACAAATATTTCCCAAGTGCCTACCCTCTGCCAGGCATGGGAAACGCCAAGCGAAACAAGACAGCCTCACAGTTCCAGGCTGCAGGGAGCTCCCGGCCTAGCTGGCAAGATAAGTTATGTTGGCAGAAGGGCAAGATGATCAGTCAGGCATGAGGCAGGGAACAAAAACAGGGCCCAGGGTGAGAGGTGGTGGAGGGGAGCAGCCAGGGGAACAGACACCCAGGAATGCCAGGCAGGTGAAGAGAGAAGGAGGACATCATCAGGGGATGGTATGCGGGGAGGTACAGAGACCAGAGGGCTGGGGCAGGTGTTGGAGGAACTGGTGAAATTCTAGCATGGCTGGGCAGACATGAGGTGATCCATGTGTCCTGGTTTGCCTGGGCTGGTCCCAGTTTTAGTACTGAAAGTCTCTGTCCTGGGAAATTGTTCATTCTTGGGAAAACCCACACCACTGAGCACGCTAGCAGGCTAGCTGGGGAAGAACAGCGTAGAAATGAAGCTGCCAGGGAGACAGGGGAGGCCCCGAAGGGGAGGGTGGAATGAAGTGACTTCACACAATTTCTTAGCCATTTTGCCCCACTTCTAGACGGAAAGTGACATGTTTCCTCGAGTGGCAGGAGCGTGTGCTTGTTCACAGCCCCCTTAAATTGTGAGATGCGTGGACAGGTGGGTCCCCCAGCTCTCCCCAGGGATGCTGGTGGATGGTCCTGCCTCCGTGACTAGGAGGACAGTGGCCATCTCACCCTTGCAGAGTCTCAGCTTCCCAGACAGCTCTTCCCTCCTCCTGCAGGGAGGTGTCTTTCTAGGGGTCTCTTTGGCTTGGCCAACTTCCACCTTCCCCCTGGAGTGTGTTCCCCTGTGCCAGCTGTTCCTGGGGGGATTCTGGAAAGCTGATTGGCTATGAATCCATAAGGAAATGGGATCTGGGGCCCAGGCCTGGATGCTGCCCGTTCATGGCAGTCTCACCTGTCCACGGTGATCTGCCAGTAACCCTCGACGGTAACAGGCACCCAGTTCAGACTTCCAGTGTAGTAAGAAGAGTCAATGCCACCAAAGATCACCACGCTGCCACTCTTGTCATCGCTGTGGAAAGTGAGGGGAGAAGACATGAATTTTTTTGTTCGTCCATTTGTGTGACCATCTGCTGTTGCCTCCTCAGAGCGACCGTTGATTGGGCACTTTCCAGGGCTGTCCTGGGGTGTGACCAATGTGGTTTCTTTTCCTCTTAGGCCAGGGCCCATGCAGTGGGCACCGTCACTGTTGTTTCCACTTACCATGAGGACACTGAGCCTGAGGGAGGTGAGGCCACCTGCCCAAGGTCACACAGCGGGGGAGTGGTGGAACTACGTTTGGAAGAACACAGGCCTTATAGTTTGAATGTGTGGTTTCCACCGTGGTACCCACTCTGGTTGCCATGGGGACCCCAGGGAAGTGAATGCATGACAGTGTCCGCTCTTAAGGACTTGAGGGTGGAGGTCACTGGTTCTTAGCTGGGAGCAGTTTTGCCCCCAGGGGCATGTCTGGAGACATTTTGGATTGTCATGATTGGGTGGGGGTAGGGGATGCTGCCGGCATCTCATGGGTAGAGGCTGGGGATGCTGCCAAACATCCTACAATGCACGGGACAGTCCTTGGCGGCAAGGAATTATGGTGGTCTGAAATGTTAACAGTGCCCAGATTGAGAAACTCGGATCTGGCTGGGGAGATACAATGGCCCCACATGAAATATTTAAGTGCTCATAAAGGCAGATGATGTTTCAGAGCCACCTTGAACATTAACTGGCCAAGAAGAATACATGACAAAGAGCCTTCCTGTTGTAAATTGCAGGAGTCCTTGTTATTGCAATATTCATTTTCTAAATCTCTGCAGTTTCAGGTTAGATGTGGAAGGAAATGTAGACGGCAATAAGAAATTAATTATCCGGGGCTGGGCGTGGTGGCTCATGCCTGTAATCCCAGCACTTTGTGAGGCCAAGGCAGGTGGATCACGAGGTCAGGAGATGGAGACCATCCTGGCTAACAGGGTGAAACCCCATCTCTACTAAAAATACAAAAAATTAGCTGGGCATGGTGGCCCATGCCTGTAGTCCCAGCTACTCGGGATGCTGAGGTAGACAATGGCATGAACCCAGGAGGCAGAGCTTGCAGTGAGGCGAGATAGCGCCACTGCACTCCAGCCTGGGCGACAGAGCGAGACCCCATCACAAAAAAAAAAAAAAAGAAATTAATCATCCGAGAACTGGCCATTTCTAAAACATGACCCCACTCACTGAACCCACCCCACCTTTGCTGCGAACATCTCACAGTGCAAGGCAATATAGTGAGGACCTAGACGTGTAGTTACCAACCGAGGAGACACATGAATGACGGCGAACCCTTTCAAGAGAGGACGATGTAGGTGAGTGTTAGAGGAAAGCTGAATGTCTTAAGAAAGTGGAGGATGCCCTCAGGTATTCTTGCATAACACTCTACTCAGCCCAAACTGACATTTGGTTTATTCTTTGTTCATTTGTTTGTTTGTTCATTTATTCTTTGTTCATTCCTAGAATTAGCCCCCGGTCACAAATGGAACCTAGATTTTATTAAATCATAAAAGAAACTTGCTTTCATGATTGAAAAATGTCATCATTCATGATACATCTTGATCAAATCTTTTCATTTTTGTGCTATGGAATTTTGGTCTAAGTATAGTCACTTTATTTTATTTATTTATTTATTTATTTATTTATTTATTTATTGAGATGGAGTCTTGCTCTGTTGCCCAGGCTAGGATGCAGTGGTACAATCTTTGTTCACTGCAACCTATGCCTCCCAGGCTCAAGCGATTCTCCCTGCCTCAGCCTCCTGAGTAGCTGGGAGTACAGTTGCCTGCCATCATACCTGGCTAATTTTTGTATTTTTTAGTAGAGACAGGGTTTTGCCATGTTGGCCAGGCTGGTCTTGAACTCCTGACTTCAGGTGATCCTCCCGCCTCAGTGCTGTAATCCCAAAGTGCTGGGATTACAGGCATGAGACACCATGCCTGGCTAACTGTATTCACTTTAAATGGTATCTTTGGGGGCCAAGGGTGAGGGAAGTGGCACTAAGGGGCAAATGGCTGATGACATTTGAGTTGTGCACATCAAGGGGACAAAGATGCTGGTAAAATAAGATGGAGTGCACATGGCCCGTCAGAGACAGACTTGGCACTATTACTCTCCAAAGACACACTTCTCCAGCCTCAGACATTGACTTTCAAATCCCTTGCTTCCCAAGACCCTCTCCATCGCACCCAGCCTTGGACAGCTCCTGCTGGGCAGGAACACTGTGACCTCTGGAGGGGGAGGTGGGAGGAGGCCCCTCTCCACTCAACTTACGCGCTGAGGTAGACAGAGAAGAGGTCCTGAGAAACCAGGCCCTGGTTCCAGATGTTGTCAAAGACGGGTGTGGCCCCGGAGGAGGAAATGCTGGGGTAGGCCAGCCCCAGGATGCCATCGAAGGGAGCATAATACAGGAAGGAGCCAGGTTCCGTCTCGCTCAGGCCGAAGATCTGATTGGTGTCAGAGATGCCTCCAACCTGGGTGGGGAAACCGAGATGATGTTCACCATCGGGTCATGTTCACTGAGCTCTGGATGCCAGCCTCAGGCCCAGAGCCACCCTGGTTCATCTCATGCAGGACTTGGCTTCCAGGGTATCAGCCCGGGAGGAGGGCAGAGGGACTGTCTGCTGGAATGCTGGTTCCTCTGCTGGAGGTAACCATGGCAGCTGATCTCCAGATGGCTACAGTCTATGACTCAGGGTGAGATTTTGCTGGAGAACAGATGGTCACTGTGTGTTTGTGTTTCTGATGAACAAACGCAAAGCAGACCCCAGACCCCAGGCCTTTGACCCCTGCCATGCCCCGAAAGTGGCAGGGAGGGCTTGTGGAGATTTCGTGACTTGGGGTGCTGCATGTCGGGAGAAGAAGGAAGAGGAGGAGGTGCTAGTAGAGAAGTGAGCCTTTACTGACTCTCCCCACACTCCATAACATTCTGCTTGGGTGGAGCTGAGTCTGGGTTATGGCTCCTGGCACCCCACCCTTTTACTCACTGCCACCCGAGCTAGCAATGTCTGTGACATCTCTGCTGCTTCTCCCCCACCCCGCACCCCCAATCAGGTTACTTCTGTGATCACCAAGACTCATCTTGCTGGAATAAGCTTATTTTGGGGGTGCCTGATGGGGGGATGCAGCGGCAGCCTGCAGGTGCCCACCTGGACAGTGTCGTATCCGAGGATGCCTGTCATGCTGCCGGTGCCGTAGGTGATGGAGACTGTCTCGCTGGTGGACTGGTAGGTGGAAGAATCCTCAGGGTTGAAGCGGTTGTGGTTGGCTGCAAGGACAAGCGGTGAGTGTTATTCTCTGAGAGCTGGGTGAAGGTCATGGGCTGGATGTCTTCCTGGGATGGGGTGCCCTGGCCCTGGGACGGGCTCTGGAGGTGAGCAGCGACCTTTCGCCCTAGACCCTTGGAGCCCAAGAGACCCCAGGTTCTGTCCTGTCTCGTTGAACTACTGGGACCATTCACTGGTGGCAGTTTCCCCAGCCAACCCCAAGGGCCTCCTGGAGACCTCCCCAGACCAACATAGAGCGGAGCAGGCCCGTGGCTACCCAGTGACGAGCGCTTTCACCCTCTAGCCCCCAGCCAGTGCTCCCGTTATGATGTGGATGATGCCACAGGCACCTCATCTTCATTAAAACTCCAGTGAAAACACTAGAAGAGGAAGGAACCTGCAACACACATTGTTCATGACTTCCAAAGACAAACTCTCTTTCATTAGCAAACCAATGATTCTTTTTTTTTTTTTAAATGAGCTCAGCACTGACCTCTAGCCTGTCCTAGCCAGGCTTTGAAGCCATTTTCTCACACTGGACTCTTTCCTGGTGGGCTATTCTACAGCCCTTTGGCCCTGTCTTGCTTTGGGCCCCCCATACTTCCTCTCCCAGCCTGTGGTTATTGAGGAGAGCTTCTCTCTGCCCTCAGACTGTGTAGTCTTTGACCGCAGGGATCATATCACTCATCCCTTTACCCCCTGGAGCACCTGAGCCCAGTGCTTGGCACGTAGTAGGTGCTCAATAAATGCCTGTTGAGTGGCTCCAGCAGGCTTGAGGTGGGAACTGTTTGAAGCCCGTGGGTGTCCAGGGTTCCCCAGGGTCGGCTGGTGCTGGGGAGTGAGAGTGGGGTAGGGCGGTCTGGGCACTTACTGCAGGCAAGACTGGAGCAGTAGACTGAGGGCACCCACAGGTTGGAGGAGCCGGTGTCAAAGACGACGGTGAAATCCTGGGCAGGAGTTCCGATGCCGATAGTGCCGAAGTACTCCATCTGTCCAGGCGAGGACAGGGCAGTTCACGGAACGGGGTCTCTCTGTCAGGGCCTCCCTAGGGGCTGTCTCTGGGTCATCTCCTCAGTCTGCCTCTCCATCTTTTCCTTCATTCCTCACAGTTCTTATCTTTCTCTTCCCAGCCACTGTCTTCATCCTTCAAATCCCAGCCCTGGCGTCCCTTCCTCCTTGAAGTCTTCCCTGATTGCTCCCCCAATTTACCCTCTGCTCTCTGTTAAGCACCACAAGCACCTAACAATCTGCTGTTCCCTCTTTAGCCATTGTCTTGTCTGTCACAGTCTTCCCATCCGTACAGCGCATGTTCTCAGAGGATGGCGGTGGAACCTTCTAGCACCGGGCAAGTTACAGCTTAAGTGCTTGTGCCTTAAATTGTTTATCAGAAGCTAAGCAAGCCACTTAAAGATGGAAACCTGTCCAGTTTTCTTATTTCTACATCTAGATGTGTATAGCAGGTTGCAAGAAAGGGCATTGACAGTATTTTTATTCTTTTTTTTTGAGACAAGTCTCACTCTGTTGTCCAGGCGGGAGTGCAGTGGCGCGACCTCGGCTCACTGCAGCCTCCTCCTCCTGGGTTCCAGTGATTCTCCTGCCTCAACCTCCCAAGTAGCTGAGATTACAGGTGTGTGCCATCATGCCCGGCAAATTTTTGTATTTTTAGTAGAGACGGGGTTTCACCATGTTGCCGGGCTGGTCTCGAACTCCTGACCTCAAGTGATCCACCCGCCTCCGCCAATCAACCAGTATTTTTCTTGTTAGTGGCAGCATTTTCCCCCTGCCGGCTCTGTTCCCGCCACACTGGTCTGCTTGCTGTTCTTTGGCGATGACCAGTCACTCCTGCCCTAGGGCCTTTGCACTGGCTATTCCTTGTGCTAGGAAAATGTTTATTCTAGATCTTTCCTTGGCTGATCCTTTTATCAAAAATCAATCATTCAGCTCTCTAGTCAAATGTCCCCTCTGCCAACAGGCCTTCCGTGACCACTTTATCTAAATTTGCCCCCTCTCAATCTTCTTGTTCCCCATGCTCCCATTAATTAATTTGCCAAGGCCCTTATCATTACCTGAAATTATCTTACATGGTTGTTTATTTGTTATCCCCTTTAGAGTATAAGCTCCAGGAACTTTGATTATTCACCATCATTTTGGCAACTTGCATAGCCTCTGGCACATAGAGAGGTGCCAATATTTGTTAAATATTTGTGAACTAAATAAATGCGCTAATTAAGCCTCTTACCAAGGGCCTGGCAGACCCCATGCTAAGCACTCCAGAAAACATGATCGTGTTAATTCCTGGCAACATCCTCTGACGGTAGATATTAGTGGTTCTGTTTTCCAGACCAAGACACAGGCTCAGAGTATTTAAATGACTTGGCCAAGGTCCTGTGGCTTAGAGGCACTAGGACCCATATTTGCACCAGGTCTGCTGGATGGCAGAGGCCAGTCTCTGAACCACAGGCATCACTGCTTTGTGCCCTGTGCCAGTCACAGAGGGGACATACAATATCTGCAGGAGGGCAGGGTGTTTGCTATCGGGTCTCAAATAACAAAGTCAGGGTGATCTTTCTGAAACTCAGATCTGATCTTGTCATCCCCCTGTTTAAGATAAATCAGAGGCAGTTAGGATGGAGCCTCTCTGCGTCCACCCCTCAGTTCCTCGGACCGCAGTCTGCAGCACCCTTCTTCCCTCCCTCTCGGCTCCCCTTCAAAGGCACTGTGCTCCCGCCTGCTACAGGGTTTGGCACAAGGGATCAGGCTATGCGGAGTTCTGTCTTGTTCTCTTGGAAACTCCTGCTCTTCCTGCGTGGCTCCAGGGAGGCTCCCTGCCCAAGTGGCAGACTCTCGCAGTGTGACACCGTCACTCTGTAGTCCTCCTGCTGCCTGTTCTTTTCATTGGTTTGCGAGACCCCTTGATGACTGTGTTTGTCTCCTAGGCTATGAGTTTGCTCACTGCTGTCTCCCCCTGAGCCCAGCACAGGCCCTGAAATAGAATGAGGCGCTCAGAGAAATTAACATTGCATGAACGAGTGAACGAATGAATGAATGAACTCTGACTGTGAGCTTTCCTGCCTGCCCTGGGCCACTGACATCTAGGGGGCAGACTCTGGGTCACTGCCTGGAGCCACAGAGCCCAGGCCCGTCCTCCAAGACCCCTGGGACACCCTCTTTCCTGCGGGCCAAGTCCTCAGAGCTGGCCCCACCACTTGCCCGCACACTCACATCCAGGTAGTTCTCCAGGGGCTGTTCATCTACCAGGGTGGGAGCCTCCCACTGGGGGAAGTACTTTCTGGCTGGGTTGAGGTTGTGCTTCTTCAGGAAGTCCTTCAGCAGGCCACGCTCGGACAGGGTGCGCCTCAAGGACTTCTTTCTGATGAGGGGGACCCTGTGGTTTGGAGAAGGAAGAGGAATTAGGCAAGGATTCTGCTGACCGGGTGCTGTGGCAGCCCCAGAAGGGAAGGGAAGCTGGTCTAAGAGAGGAAGAAGGAAGGAAAGGAGACGCCCCCTCTTCTGCCCAACAATGCAAAGAAGTTAAGTTGACTAGTGCTGGAGCTGGGAGCCAAACCCAGGCTGGACTCTTAACCAGCTGATCTAAGAGAGGAAGATGGAAGGAAGGGAGAAGCTCCCACTTCTGCCCCATAATGCAAAGAAGTTAAGCTGACTAGGGCTGGAGCTGGGAACCACAGTCAGGCTGGGCCCGAGTTTTAACCATGTCTGCAGGGCTGCCTCCCAAAAAGGCAGAGAGAGAGGCGGAAAAGGGGGATGGAGACAGCTGAAGAGAGAGAGAAAAAAAAGGGAAGAAGGAAGACACGGGAGGAAAGAAAGGTGATGTGGGAGGCAGCGTCTTCACACCCACACCACCCGGACTCACTTGTACATGATGCACTCAGAGAGCGCCACCAGACCCAGCAGCAGCAGCCACTTCATGGTTCTTCCCGGGTCCCAACTCGAGGGAGAAGGCAAGATGGGAGGAAGGTGCAGAGCAGCAGCATGAGCTGCCCCTTATATACAAGTTGGGTCCCGCCTTATCGGCCTCTGAAAGTCACCGGTTCCCCTGATCCCAAACAGAGAAGCTCCTGATAAGATTGTGGCTGCCCTGAGCCACATTCTGAGACCTTTCCAGCTGAGGCACTTTCCATTGTAACCTTGCACCATGGGGAGGGGGGAGGGTGCCATGGGGGTGGACCCGCAGAGAGAGAGAGGAGCAATGACCGGGAGGCTATTTTCTTTTCTTTTCTTTTTCTTTCTTTTCTTTCTTTCTTTTTTCTTTTTCTTTCTAAGCAATGACCTGGAGGCTTATTTGTTTTCTTTTCCTTTCTTTCCTTTCTTTTCTTTCCTTCCTTTCCTTCTTTCTTTCCCTTTCTTTCTTTTTCTTTCTTTCTTTTCTTTCTTTCTCTTTCTCTCTTTCTCTCTCTCTCTCTCTTTCTTTCTTTCTTTCTTTCTTTTCCTCTCTTTCTCCCTTTCTCCCTTTCTCCATTTCTTTCCTTTCTTTCCTGAGGGAGTTTTGCTCTGTCGCGCCGCCAGAGGCTTATTTCTGAAGCATTGACAAGGGCCTACATTAAAACTTTACAAGCTGAGCATTTCGACAAAGTTGTTTAAAAGTACTTTTAACACAGCAATGGACAGATGTGAAGGAGCCCCAGGTGGCCTGATTTGTCCCCGTGGTCACGCAGCTGGGGTTCTTAGAGAGCAGCCTCCCGACTCAGTCATAGGTGGTACTGGTTGTGGTCACTGCTTATTCACAGCACATTGGGGGGGTCAGTCGTTTGGGACTCAGGACACAATTCCCCACATAAGTGTCATTGTGTGGGGTTGTTGGGCATCTGACTAGCCTATGGGCCTTGTGGCTTGCTTTTGGTGCAACTGGGCTGAGTCTGGGAAGGAGATGTGCACAGTACACGGGGGAGGAGGGAGAGAGCACCGGGAGAATGCTGCCTTCCCTTCCTGGAGGAGGCAAACTTCAGACAGGCCAGGTATGTCTTTGGAATCTGTGTCCCTCCCTTTCTGCACCGCTTCTCTTTCTTTTGCTCCTTTCCCACCCTCTCCACCTTTGAGATCCCACCTGGGTCTGATTTCTCCAGGTGCTCCAGGCTTACAACTGGGTTGAAATCAGCTACAATGGAGCGAAGCAATCTGGGCAAACAATTCATACTCATGGGTGAGTGACTTAGAAAGAGGATGCTTGGCCGGGCGCCGTGGCTCACGCTTGTAATCCCAGTACTTTGGGAGGCTAAGACAGGTGAATCACCTGAGGTTAGGAGTTCAAGACCAGCCTGGCCAACATAGTGAAACCCCGTCTCTACTAAAAGTAGAAAAGTTAGCTGGGCATGGTGGTGGGCGCCTGTAATCCCAGCTACTGGGTAGGCTGAGGCAGGAGAATCACTTGAACCCAGGAGGCAGAGGTTGTAAGAGGTGAAGCCGTCTGGGCTTCTGAGTCGATTAGGGACTTGGAGAACTTTCGTGTCTAGCTAAAGGATTGTAAATGCACCAATCAACATTGTGTGTCTAGCTAAAGGCTTGTAAATGCACCAGTCAGCACTCTGTGTCTAGCTGAAGGGTTTGTAAATGCACCAGTAAGCACCAGCTATTACACTCCCCGCGAAGGTCTGCAGCTTCACTCCTGAAGCCAGTGAGAGCACGAACCCACCAGAAGGAAGAAACTCTGGACACATCTGAACATCTGAAGGAACAAACTCCGGACACACCATCTTGAAGAACTGTAACACTGATCGCGAGGGTCCACGGCTTCATTCTTGAAGTCAGTGAGACCAAGAACCCACCGGAAGGAACCAATTCAGGACATAGTTGCAATGAGACGAGATCTTGCCTCTGTACTCCAGCCTGCGTGACAGAGCTAGACTCCGTCTCAAACAAAACAACAACAATAACAAAAAAAAAAAGACAAAAGAAAAAAGAAAGAGGATCCTTACCAACCCAATGGATCCTCCACTTTGTGAGCTTTTATTCAGTGAAGAAAGTAGAGTGAAAACTCTGATGCAGAAATTGCTGGGGAGGAGGACAGGGGAGCGGGGAGGTCACCAGGTAGATAGGAAGCCCTGTCTCAGGGTCTTGTTCTGAAATCGGATCCCCTGGGGCATCCTCAGACTGTCCAGCCATGAGAGCCACAGGTTCTATAAAAGCTCCAAGTTGCCCCCAGTGCCTCCAGGTGAGTATTGAGGAGTGGGCAGTGTGGATAAGTTCAGGGACAGTGGTGGTTGGTAGAAAACACATTGACATTACACACTCCCCAGTTAGTTGAAATCTTTGTGCCCCAAATGTGAATCCTGGGCCCATTTTCTTTTGTTTTCTTTTCTTTTTTTTAACTGTGAATGTTACTCCAGTATGACTAGCCCTTGTATTTTCCACGTTCACGTCCTCTGGTGCCTCCTTCTCTTCCTCTCAAGCTTCTCTCTCTCTCTCTCCCTTTCTTTTTTTTTGAGACAGGGTCTTATTCTGTCACTCAGGGTAGAGCGTAGTGGCATGAACATGGCTTACTGCAGCCTCAACCTCCCACGCTCAATCAGTCCTCTGGCCTCAGGCTCTGAGTAGCTGGGACGAAAGGCATGAGCCACTACACCCAGCTAACTTTTGTATTTTCTGTAGAGACAGGGCTTCACTATGTGGCCCAGGCTGGTTTCGAACTCCTGGGCTCAAGCGATCTTCCTGCCTCAGCTTCTCAAAGTGCTGGGATTACAGTGAACCACACTGCACCTGGCCCTCTCTCTCTTTATGGATACATAATATTTTACATATTTTTTGGGTTCATGTGATATTCTGTTACATGCATAGAAAGAGTAATGATGAAGTCAGGGTATTTGGAGTATCCGTCACCTTAAGTATGGGTTGATCCTAGCACTCATGTGAGGAACCTGATGGTCCTGAAGATGCTGCCTAAGTTCTGGGGGCACCAGATGGAATCCCCTCACTCAAGGCTGCCACCAGATGGAAGGGAGGGAGCTTAGAGCCCAAGGATGGGCACTGATTTTGGGGGCACAGTTTGTCTGGGGCCCACATGGGAATTTTGAGCAGAGAAGTATATTTGGGAAGCAGAAGGAAGATTCCCCAGGCAGAAACGTGCAAGCCCCTTTACACATTCATTCAAATGCCTTATTGTGCACTTGCTGTGTACCGTGCAGGGATGCTCTAGCTCCGGAGGGTACATCCCTGAGCATGGTAGGACTAGGCCGTGCCTTTGGCGCATTTGTGGTCAGTTGAAGGGAAAGCTGGTGTGGAAGGGGCTCTTCCTTTCCACCTGGATGGATATTTGGATCACATTGAGGGGAAGCTCTCAGATTGGTGAAGATGATAATGTTTCTCCACATTAGAGATTTTAGCACCCTGAGGGACGCTGGCATGCTTGCTGACACCAATTCAGGGGTATGGCAGAGAGACTGTAGGATGGCCCCCAATTATTCATGCTGCTGGTGGTCACACCCCTGTATAATCCCCTCCCCTTTTGTGTAGGCAGGACTTGCTTCTAACTAACAGGATACAGCAAAGTAGATGGGATGTCAGTTTTGTGATGACATTATACAGGCTTGTAGCTTGTGTCTTGCTAGCACACTCTCTGTATAGACTCTTCCCCTTGCTGACTCTGATAAAGAAAGCTGCTCTATAAAGAGGCCCAAGAGGAAGGAACGAAGGGTGGCCTCCAGCTGACAGCCAGCAAGGAACTCAGGCTTTCAGTGTGACAATCTGCAAGTAACTGAATCCTGCCAGCAAGCGTGTGAGCATGGAAGCAGATCCTTCTCCAGTCAAGCCTCAGATGAGACCACAGACCAGGCTGACATCCCTGACTGACAGAGGCCTCAGCTGAACCGAGCCTGGATTCCTGACCCACAGAAACTGAGATAGTGAGTCAATGTGAGTTGTTATAAGTCATTCAATGTGTGTTAACTTCTCATCAGCAATAGAAAACAGGACTGGAAACCTTGTTGATAACTCGAAAAGGATCCACCTGATTGCCTCTTGCTCTTCCCTCTTTTGGGACCATTTCAGTGCTCTGCTAGTTGTTTTTCTGCTCAGGTAATGTGAGTGATCTGAAAAGGGGGAAGGTGACATTGTTGGTCAGGTCATCTGCAAATCTCCCACCACACAGCAGTGCTTACATTTGTGTGCCTATTTGTGCTTTTCTGAATGCTTTGAATTATTTTAAAAAAGAATTATTATACTATAACCCCCACTTTTTCGCAAGTGATGTAGCTCAAAGGGGTTAAGTGATCAGTGCAGGTTCACATAACTAAGTAATGACACAGATGGGACCTGAACCTGGGTCTCCGGAGGCTCTGGTCCCTGGCCAGACTATGTGACCATGTACATCCACCTGGTTTCTGTTCATGGGTTAGCGTGTGACAGGAATATTCCATGATGGCTGCAGCCTCCCTCCCAGGTGCACTTGGAGAAGCCATTCCACTCAGCCCCCTTTACTAGAGGAACCCTTGGGATGGAAAAGGGAATCCTGATTCTGCAACCACGTGCTCCCATGGGATCTGATTGTCAGCCAGGGCTGATCCGTGGCTGCCAGCAAGGAAGCCGCAACATCTCATTGTACGAGACTGGCCCGGCAGAAAGATTAGACAGCAACGTTTGCTTTGCCATTAGCCCTGCCTGGCACTCAGTATGGTATTGCCTGGCTTTCAGGGGGACTGGTAGCAGTGTCTCTGATGCAGGGCAGCCCCTGCCAATGGCACAGGTGTTCATAAATGTTCCATGAACCAATCAAATCAAGCAATGGAATGAGATCTAAGGAACCCAATCATGGCAAGGCTGAGATGGAGCACTTAAGCATGATAAGTGTTATCAAGCTGGTGTGATAGGCATTGGGGCAGCTGGTCCCCTAGCAGCTTTCAATCAAGGTCTCACCCCAGGGACATGATCTTCCAACACCAAAGAGAACACTGTGTTTTCCACTCCCCAGTCCCAGACCTGGGCTGCTTCTCCAGAGATGCCTGCAGGTTTTCAAAGCTAAATTGATGATAACTTTTTTGGCTCAAGTATAGAAGTAATACATGATCACTGTAGATTATTTATAGATAAATACAATTTTAAAAATGACTTTTAACCCCACTACCCAGAACTAACCACCACTGGCGTAGTAAATGAATATATTGATTTACTTACAAATATAGGACCACAAGATATGGCACATGTTGTTTTGCAAGCAACCCGCTTTGATGGGCCCAGCTCACTTCTGCTGCGCTACTCTATCTGCAACCTGAACCCGCTTTTAAAAGAAAAATCATGGTTCTGTATTTTACAAGTGATTTTTATAAATCTACATGATCATTTTAAAACTTTTCTCAAAATATGATATGCACACAGAAAGGTGCATATCATAAGAAACAGCTTGATGAATTTTCACAAACCAAGCACACACGTGTAACCACAACCCAGACCCAGCAAAAGAGCATGTCAGGTACCCCTGGAGCCCACCCCAGGCTCTTCCCAGTCACTATCCTAGGGCCAAACCAAGCGTATCACTACTCTGATTTCCAAACAGCAAAGATTCATTTCACCTGTTTTTGTACTTTTGCTAAGCAGTACCACATAACAAGCACTTTAGTTTGCATTGCGCTTCTTTGCTCAAAATCATGTTTAGGAGAGGCATCCACGAATGGCGGTGTGTGGAGTTGTTACTCAGTCATTTTCATTGCTGTGTATTATTCCTCTGCATCAATATACCCGCTATTTTCTCTTTTTCAGTTCATAGGCATTTGGGTAGCTTCCAGTGTGGAGTTCTTAGGAACAGTGCTCTATGAATGTTCTCTTGTATACACATCTTCTTTCTTTTCCTTTTATTTATTTATTAAAAACAATAGAAATGAAGTCTTGGTATGTTGCTCAGGCTGGTCTTGAACTATGGCCCGAAGCAGTCCTGCCGCCTTGGCCTTCCCAAGTGCTGGGGTTACACCATGAGCTACTGTGCCTGGCTGTTTTCTTTTTAATTGACATGTAATAATTGTACATATTTATGGGTACATAAGGATGTTTCTGTACATATAATGTTTAGTGATCAGATCAGAGTAATTAGCATATTTATCATCTTGAACATTTATCATTCCTTTGTTTTTTTTTTGGAGACAGAATCTCGCTGTGTCGCCCAGGCTGAAGTGCAATGGTGCCATCTCGGCTCACTGCAACCTCCACCTCCCGGGTTCGAGAGATTCTCCTGGCTCAGCCTCCCAAGTAGCTGGGAATTACAGACATGTGTCAACACGCCCGGCTCATTTTGTATTTTTTGTGGAGATGAGGTTCCACCATGTTGGCCTGGCTGGTCTCAAACTCCTCACCTCAGGTGATCCACCTGCTTCGGCCTCCCAAAGTGCTGGGATTACAGGCGTGAGGATTATGTGAGCCACCGTGCCTGGCCGGCATATGCATTTTTAATTTTGATAGATACAGCCACATCATGCTTCTTAGGGTGGTGCCAGTTTACACTCCCACCAGCAGCGTGTGGAGTGATCATTTGGGACAGGTGAGGATGGATGGGGCAGGAGACCTGTGAGATTAAAATAACACTCCTGGATGAGTGTGAATGAAAAGGATGGAAGGAGCTGTGCTTCGACCCCAGGGCCCTTCGAGGAGGATGCATGGAGCAGAGGCCTGAGACTGCAGGAAAGGATTGTGAATTCATCTTCTGTTGTGCAGCAACATGAGGAGGATGAAATCAGATATGTTGGCACAGGGCTTTCTGGTCAAATGATCTGTCTGATGAGGAACGTCTTTAGATTGTGACAGGGTTCAGGAATCCCAGGGTGGGAATGGAAGAGGTGCTGGGCGAGAGAGGCTGAGCTGCAGCTGCTGGTGTTGAGATGGGGGAGGAAGGAAGGCTGGGATCAGGTGCAGGAGAACAGATAGGATCCAGGAAGACCTGCCTTCCTATATCCCCGGAGCCTAGCACACTGCCTAGCTTCAAAGTAGGTACATGGGAAATATCAGAAAAATAAATCCAGCAAAGAAGCCAGGACAGGGTGAAATTCCTTCCCAGAAACTTGAGAAATCCACCTGCTTATCCCATGACAGAATATGACGGGGATGGAATGTTGGTGGGGGTGGGAGCTGACCCACCTGTTGTTATTCACATGGCCTTTGTCAAACCATATCCCCACTCTCATACTCTCATCCTATCTGAGATGGTTCCTTTCAAAAAGTCTTCTCTAATCACTCATTCAGCAAATATTTATTGACCTCCTAGTATGTGCCAAGCCCGGCTCTTGCTGCTTGGGCTTCAAACCTAATTAAAACCATCACCATCCCTGTCCTTGTGAATCTTAAACACTGAAATGCATGGTTATAGGTAGTGCCAAGTACCATGAGGGAAAATGTAGGCCCAGGCTCTCTGAGAGAGTGGTGAGGGAGGGCTGATCACTTTTACAGGGAAGTGACATTTTTTTTTTTTTTGAGACGGAGTTTTGCTCTTGTTGCCCAGGCTGGAGTCCAGTGGTGCAATCTCGGCTCACTGCAACATCCACCTCCTGGGTTAAAGCGATTCTCCTGCCTCAGCCTCCTAAATAGCTGGGACTACAGGTGCCCACCACCACACCCAGCTAATTTTTTGTATATTTTTAGTGGATATGGGGTTTCACCATGTTGGCCAGGCTGGTCTCAAATTCCTGACCTCAGTTAATCTGCCCACCTCGGCCTCCCAAAGTGCTGGGATTATAGGCGTGAGCCACCAAGCCTGGCTGAGAAGTGACATTTAAGCCACGTCTGCAGATGCTAGGTGTTAGCTAGTCAAGAAAGAGGGAAAAGCAACCCTGGCAAAGGGAACAGCATGTGCAAAGTCTGGAGGTGGGAAAACACTTGGGCTATTGTGGCCGTGGGAGGCCAGGGTGGAGGGAGCTCGGGGTAACGGGATCAGAGTGAAGCAGGGAAGGTTTGGAGGGAAAGGAGCACACAGGACGTGGGACTATGCCAAAGATTTGCTGTTTTATTCCAACGGCAATGGCAAGAAGGCATTAAGAGTTTAAAGCAAGGAAGGGATGAGATGAAATTTATGTTTCCTAAAGTTTATTCAGCTATGGAAAATGGGCTTGGGAGGGTGAGAGTGACCCTGGGGAGACTGGGTGTTGGAGCTCACCCCCGCCCTTCCTAGAGCCCAGCTCCAGCCTCTGGGCTTGTGTCTTCAGCAGAAAGCCTGGGTCGGCTGTCACCAGAAGCAGGAGCTATGGGAATTTTCCCAGCATGCATGCCGGGGAGCCCAGGGCTGTAATAGACTTACTAGCAAGAGAGAGTCTGAGATGAAGCTCAGCTGAGTTAAAAAGAAACAGATCACTTTGCAGCAGGGCTTGTCAGAGCCTTTGATTGGGAACTGTAGCTGGTGAACCCTGGGGAAGGGCCTAGAATGTAGCATGTTCTATACTTATTCTGAAACTGTGTTTTCCATTGAACATTTTGCTACCAAGCCCAGTCTGAGAAACTGCTCCATTTCCTCTTTGCCTTTCTAGGGCATATATGCTAATGAACATGCTTAATTCTCTGTCTCACAACCTCTGCTCAGGGAAGTGGAAGACCTTTCTCTTTGGTTACAGATGGGGAAAGAGATGGGTTCAGTGTTTTCTGCCTAGGACCTTGGGGAGATTAACTGTTAGTCTTGGTCTTGGTAGCCAGTGAATCACAAGGGCATCCTGGAAGACTGTGGGGTGTCAGCTTCTTCCACTTCTCCTGTCCACGTCTTGCAGACAACTCTGCCCTGTCCTATCTACTTAGGGACATCACCATTAGTGTCTACCTCTCGTGACTCTCCTGATTGCTTTCCTTTCCTCATGATCTCTTTTCTTTTTTTGTTTTTTTTTGAGATGGAGTCTCGCTCTGTCGCCCAGGCTGGAGTGCAGTGGTGCGATCTCAGCTCACTGCAACCTCCGCCTTCCAGGTTCAAGCGATCTCTTGGCTCAGCCTCCTGAGTAGCTGGGATTATAGGTGCGCACCACCACACCCAGCTCATTTTTGTAAATTTATTAGACAGGGTTTCACCATGTTGGCCAGGCTGGTCTCAAACTCCTGACCTCAGGTGACCTGTCCGCCTCAGCCTCCCAAAGTGCTGGGATTACAGGCGTGAGCCACTGTGCCCAGCCTTCTCATGATCTCTTATTGGCTTTGGGAGAAGTAGGAGGTTGACTCCCTCAACTAAGAGCTTCAGTGACCTATTTTTTTCTTTCTGAGCTGGAGTCTCTCTGTGTCGCCCAGGCTGGAGTACAATGGCACGATCTCAGCTCTGTGTCCCTTCTATGAGAAGACAATTAGCCCAGTATTTTGACCCCCAGGTCTTTTTATGATGCTTCCAGCACAACCCCCGAAGCCTCTCTGTCTTCTTGGCTCCATCATGAAGTGTCAGCTGCTGGGGTCACTATGTTGGGTGCCATCCAAATGGATGTGGTCATTTTCATCCCTGCCCTGGCGTTCTAACCCCAGTAATGTGAAGGAAAAAGACCAGCAAAGAGAAGCAGCTCCACAAAACCTGTTTCAGTGGGTTATGTTTTTATTCTACGTTATTGGTAGGACAGGGAACAGGGCCAAGACCTCCACACTCCCCTGGGAAGAACAGTCAGGAGAATTAGATACATCTAAAGTGGGCACAGGACAGAGGCCAGATCTTCCTGGGAGGTGGCTGAAGAGACTTAGGCTTAAGCCACGGGGGCCAGGCCGACCTGGTTGTTTGCCCTGTCGAAGACGGTAAAGTACTGGCGGATGAAGACATCACCCAGGATCCAAAGCTCTCCAGATTCGGTGGGGAGGTTCATGCCCTGGAAGCCACTGATGCAGCTCCCCTCGCTCTGGAGAAAAGGAGAATAAAAGTGGAGCTGGGACACCGATTCAGCCGTGATAGGCGCTGGGTGATAAACATCCAGGGCGCCCTGGTCCAGCTGTAAGGCACGTGCAAGGAGGAGCTTCCTGGCTCAGTGTCCAGGGACTCGGCTGTTCTTGGCCTGGAGTCGGCCTGTAGAAGCCGTCCACTGAACGACTGGTTTCTACGCATTACTGGACATTATCTGGTGTTTCTGGCAGGCACACGAACCCTGACATCAGCATTGGTGCTAAGGGGCTTAGGGAGAATTCAGCTGCTAGGAAGGAGTTTGAAAACCCTGCCGCCATAGCCTTTTCTCATTATTATTCTGATCCGGTCAGAGGCAAACCAGATGAGCTATTAGCCCTCTTGCCTCACTAAGTCACTGGGCTGCGACCTTGTCTGCACATCACCTGGGGAGCTTTGAACCCCCGCAGCCCCATCCCATTGCTCAGGCCTTGCCCTCTCCTAATGTAATCAGAATCAGTGGGGGAGCCCAGGCATCAGTGCTTCTTGTTGAGTAACATGAGTCCACTGGCAAAATTAGTTTTCCACCTGACGTTATGATAACAGAAGGGAAAGAGTTTTCTTGTGGCTCGTATAGCTAAAGATTTGCTACTTGGTAGAGATGGTAGAAGTGTCAGAAGCCCCAGCCTATGGAAATTAGGATTTCCATTTGCCCAACCCTTGGTAGCTCTGATGTGATCAGTCTCACTTGGTTGACCTAACCGCACTCTGAGGGTGGGGAAAGCTGCCATCTCTACTTTTTGGATGAGAAAACTGAGGGTGAGATGAGCTGTAGCTTGCTCAGAATCAATGGGCTAGTAATTCAGACCCAGGACTTGGACCCAGGGGTCCAAATAGAATCCTCTTTTCACTCCATTAACCTTTGCTTCACTTGTTCCCTTAGGGGGCTGTATCCGAGTTCTTATTCCTGCATTTGTTTTTAATATATTCTTTTTCTCTGGAGGCTGTCTAGGGCAGATGTTCGTCTGCCTCTGCCTGCTGGCTTCAGCTCGTGGAAGTGTACTTTCCGTCTGCAGAGGGGAACTCTGTGTCCACATTCTGTGTGAACCCCTCTAGTGGATGGTCCAGAGCCTCCTCACCTGCAGGATGTAGGCACTGGGTGGCACGGGGTACTGGACTCCATTGATGGTGAAGACGATGTCGGGCAGGCTGCTGATGGCTGAGCAGCTGACCACCATCTGGAAAGAGTGAGGGTGAGAAAAGTTAGAAGGGTTTCTGTCCCTTCTGCCTGGCACACCCACTACTTGAGTGTAGAACAGAGCAGTCGGGGCTGGACTCACGTCGCCATCTGAGTTCTCGCTGGCTCCGATGTCGCTCTGGATGTTGGCAATGGGGCTGGTTGGGCCGGTCAGCAGAGAGGTGCCGGTGTCAACAATGGCCTGGCAGCCCTCAGCGCAGGCGATGGCCTCTCCGTTCATGGTGATGCTGAGGGCAAGAAGCAAGTTAAGCTCCCTGAGCTCTCAGGGGTACTTCTCTCCAAGGAGGAACTAGGAGGTGAGCCCAGACATTTCTTCCCCACCCATCCATTGGCCAATGCGTGAAATTTCTGTTCCTCTCGTTCACGCACTCATTCGTCCCGCATTCATTTGCCCAACAAATATTTCCCAAGTGCCTACTCTCTGCCAGGCATGGGAAATGCCAAGTGAAACAAGACAGCCTCACAGTTCCAGGCTGCAGGGAGCTCCCTGCCTAGCTGGCAAGATAAGTTATGTTGGCAGAAGGGCAAGATGATCAGTCAGGCATGAGGCAGGGAACAAAAACAGGGTCCAGGGTGAGAGGTGGTGGAGGGGAGCAGCCAGGGGAACAGACACCCTGGAATGCCAGGCAGGTGAAGAGAGAAGGAGGACATCATCAGGGGATGGTATGCGGGGAGGTACAGAGACCAGAGGGCTGGGGCAGGTGTTGGAGGAACTGGTGAAATTCTAGCATGGCTGGGCAGACATGAGGTGATCCATGTGTCCTGGTTTGCCTGGGCTGGTCCCAGTTTTAGTACTGAAAGTCTCTGTCCTGGGAAATTGTTCATTCTTGGGAAAACCCACACCACTGAGCACGCTAGCAGGCTAGCTGGGGAAGAAGAGCGTGGAAATGAAGCTGCAAGGGAGACCGGGGAGGCCCTGAAGGGGAGGGTGGAATGAAGTGACTTCACACAATTTCTTAGCCATTTTGCCCCACTTCTAGACGGAAAGTGACATGTTTCCTCGAGTGGCAGGAGCGTGTGCTGGTTCACCGGCCCCTTAAATTGTCAGATGCGTGGACAGGTGGGTCCCCCAGCTCTCCCCAGGGATGCTGGTGGATGGTCCTGCCTCCGTGACTAGGAGGACAGTGGCTATCTCACCCTTGCAGAGTCTTGGCTTCCTAGACAGCTCTTCCCTCCTCCTGCAGGGAGGTGTCTTTCTAGGGGTCTCTGGCTTGGCCAACTTCCACCTTCCCCCTGGAGTGTGTTCCCCTGTGCCAGCTGTTCCTGGGGGGATTCTGGAAAGCTGATTGGCTATGAATCCATAAGGAAATGGGATCTGGGGCCCAGGCCTGGATGCTGCCCGTTCATGGCAGTCTCACCTGTCCACGGTGATCTGCCAGTAACCCTCGACGGTAACAGGCACCCAGTTCAGACTTCCAGTGTAGTAAGAAGAGTCAATGCCACCAAAGATCACCACGCTGCCACTCTGGTCATCGCTGTGGAAAGTGAGGGGAGAAGACATGAATTTTTTTGTTCGTCCATTTGTGTGACCATCTGCTGTTGCCTCCTCAGGGCTACCCTTGATTGGGCACTTTCTAGGGCTGTCCTGCGGTGTGACTAATGTGGTTTCTTTTCCTCTTAGGCCAGTGCCTATGCAGTGGGCACTGTCACTGTTATTTCCACTTACCATGAGGACACTGAGCCTGAGGGAGGTGAGGCCACCTGCCCAAGGTCATACAGCGGGGGAGTGGTGGAACTACGTTTGGAAGAACACAGGCCTTTTAGGTTGAGTCTGTGGTTTCCATGGTGGTACCCACTCTGGTTGCCATGGGGACCCCAGGGAAGTGAATGCATGACAGTGTCCGCTCTTAAGGACTTGAGGGTGGAGGTCACTGGTTCTTAGCTGGGAGCAGTTTTGCCCCCAGGGGAATGTCTGGAGACATTTTGGATTGTCATGATTGGGTGGGGGTAGGGGATGCTGCCGGCATCTCATGGGTAGAGGCTGGGGATGCTGCCAAACATCCTACAATGCACGGGACAGTCCCTGGCGGCAAGCTCTTATGTTGGTCTGAAATGTTAATAGTGCCCAGATTGAGAAACTCGGATCTGGCTGGGGAGATGCAATGGCCCCACATGAAATATTTAAGTGCTCATAAAGGCAGATGATGTTTCAGAGCCACCTTGAACATTAACTGGCCAAGAAGAATACATGACAAAGAGCCTTCCTGTGGTAAATTGCAGGAGTCCTTGTTATTGCAATATTCATGTTCTAAATTTCTGCAGTTTCAGGTTAGATGAGGAAGCAAATGTAGACAGCAAGAAGAAATTAGTCATCCAGGGCCGGGCACGGTGGCTCACGCCTGTAATCCCAGCACTTTGGGAGGCTGAGGCAGTCAGGTGATCGAGACCATCCTGGCTATCACCATGAAACCCAGTCTTGAATTCCTGACTTCAGGTGATCCTGCTGCCTCAGACTCCCAAAGTGCTGGGATTACAGGCATGAGCCACCACACCTGGCCAAGTGTATTCACTTTAAATGGCATCTTTGCGGGCCAAGGATGAGGGAAGTGGTACTGAGGGGGAAATGGCTGATGACATTTGAGTTGTGCACATCAAGGGGACAAAGATGCTGGTAAAATAAGATGGAGTGCACATGGCCCGTCAGAGACAGACTTGGCACTATTACTCTCCAAAGACACACTTCTCCAGCCTCAGACATTGACTTTCAAATCCCTTGCTTCCCAAGACCCTCTCCATCGCACCCAGCCTTGGACAGCTCCTGCTGGGCAGGAACACTGTGACCTCTGGAGGGGGAGGTGGGAGGAGGCCCCTCTCCACTCAACTTACGCGCTGAGGTAGACAGAGAAGAGGTCCTGAGAAACCAGGCCCTGGTTCCAGATGTTGTCAAAGACGGGTGTGGCCCCGGAGGAGGAAATGCTGGGGTAGGCCAGCCCCAGGATGCCATCGAAGGGAGCATAATACAGGAAGGAGCCAGGTTCCGTCTCGCTCAGGCCGAAGATCTGATTGGTGTCAGAGATGCCTCCAACCTGGGTGGGGAAACCGAGATGATGTTCACCATCGGGTCATGTTCACTGAGCTCTGGATGCCAGCCTCAGGCCCAGAGCCACCCTGGTTCATCTCATGCAGGACTTGGCTTCCAGGGTATCAGCCCGGGAGGAGGGCAGAGGGACTGTCTGCTGGAATGCTGGTTCCTCTGCTGGAGGTAACCATGGCAGCTGATCTCCAGATGGCTACAGTCTATGACTCAGGGTGAGATTTTGCTGGAGAACAGATGGTCACTGTGTGTTTGTGTTTCTGATGAACAAACGCAAAGCAGACCCCAGACCCCAGGCCTTTGACCCCTGCCATGCCCCGAAAGTGGCAGGGAGGGCTTGTGGAGATTTCGTGACTTGGGGTGCTGCATGTCGGGAGAAGAAGGAAGAGGAGGAGGTGCTAGTAGAGAAGTGAGCCTTTACTGACTCTCCCCACACTCCATAACATTCTGCTTGGGTGGAGCTGAGTCTGGGTTATGGCTCCTGGCACCCCACCCTTTTACTCACTGCCACCCGAGCTAGCAATGTCTGTGACATCTCTGCTGCTTCTCCCCCACCCCGCACCCCCAATCAGGTTACTTCTGTGATCACCAAGACTCATCTTGCTGGAATAAGCTTATTTTGGGGGTGCCTGATGGGGGGATGCAGCGGCAGCCTGCAGGTGCCCACCTGGACAGTGTCGTATCCGAGGATGCCTGTCATGCTGCCGGTGCCGTAGGTGATGGAGACTGTCTCGCTGGTGGACTGGTAGGTGGAAGAATCCTCAGGGTTGAAGCGGTTGTGGTTGGCTGCAAGGACAAGCGGTGAGTGTTATTCTCTGAGAGCTGGGTGAAGGTCATGGGCTGGATGTCTTCCTGGGATGGGGTGCCCTGGCCCTGGGACGGGCTCTGGAGGTGAGCAGCGACCTTTCGCCCTAGACCCTTGGAGCCCAAGAGACCCCAGGTTCTGTCCTGTCTCGTTGAACTACTGGGACCATTCACTGGTGGCAGTTTCCCCAGCCAACCCCAAGGGCCTCCTGGAGACCTCCCCAGACCAACATAGAGCGGAGCAGGCCCGTGGCTACCCAGTGACGAGCGCTTTCACCCTCTAGCCCCCAGCCAGTGCTCCCGTTATGATGTGGATGATGCCACAGGCACCTCATCTTCATTAAAACTCCAGTGAAAACACTAGAAGAGGAAGGAACCTGCAACACACATTGTTCATGACTTCCAAAGACAAACTCTCTTTCATTAGCAAACCAATGATTCTTTTTTTTTTTTTAAATGAGCTCAGCACTGACCTCTAGCCTGTCCTAGCCAGGCTTTGAAGCCATTTTCTCACACTGGACTCTTTCCTGGTGGGCTATTCTACAGCCCTTTGGCCCTGTCTTGCTTTGGGCCCCCCATACTTCCTCTCCCAGCCTGTGGTTATTGAGGAGAGCTTCTCTCTGCCCTCAGACTGTGTAGTCTTTGACCGCAGGGATCATATCACTCATCCCTTTACCCCCTGGAGCACCTGAGCCCAGTGCTTGGCACGTAGTAGGTGCTCAATAAATGCCTGTTGAGTGGCTCCAGCAGGCTTGAGGTGGGAACTGTTTGAAGCCCGTGGGTGTCCAGGGTTCCCCAGGGTCGGCTGGTGCTGGGGAGTGAGAGTGGGGTAGGGCGGTCTGGGCACTTACTGCAGGCAAGACTGGAGCAGTAGACTGAGGGCACCCACAGGTTGGAGGAGCCGGTGTCAAAGACGACGGTGAAATCCTGGGCAGGAGTTCCGATGCCGATAGTGCCGAAGTACTCCATCTGTCCAGGCGAGGACAGGGCAGTTCACGGAACGGGGTCTCTCTGTCAGGGCCTCCCTAGGGGCTGTCTCTGGGTCATCTCCTCAGTCTGCCTCTCCATCTTTTCCTTCATTCCTCACAGTTCTTATCTTTCTCTTCCCAGCCACTGTCTTCATCCTTCAAATCCCAGCCCTGGCGTCCCTTCCTCCTTGAAGTCTTCCCTGATTGCTCCCCCAATTTACCCTCTGCTCTCTGTTAAGCACCACAAGCACCTAACAATCTGCTGTTCCCTCTTTAGCCATTGTCTTGTCTGTCACAGTCTTCCCATCCGTACAGCGCATGTTCTCAGAGGATGGCGGTGGAACCTTCTAGCACCGGGCAAGTTACAGCTTAAGTGCTTGTGCCTTAAATTGTTTATCAGAAGCTAAGCAAGCCACTTAAAGATGGAAACCTGTCCAGTTTTCTTATTTCTACATCTAGATGTGTATAGCAGGTTGCAAGAAAGGGCATTGACAGTATTTTTATTCTTTTTTTTTGAGACAAGTCTCACTCTGTTGTCCAGGCGGGAGTGCAGTGGCGCGACCTCGGCTCACTGCAGCCTCCTCCTCCTGGGTTCCAGTGATTCTCCTGCCTCAACCTCCCAAGTAGCTGAGATTACAGGTGTGTGCCATCATGCCCGGCAAATTTTTGTATTTTTAGTAGAGACGGGGTTTCACCATGTTGCCGGGCTGGTCTCGAACTCCTGACCTCAAGTGATCCACCCGCCTCCGCCAATCAACCAGTATTTTTCTTGTTAGTGGCAGCATTTTCCCCCTGCCGGCTCTGTTCCCGCCACACTGGTCTGCTTGCTGTTCTTTGGCGATGACCAGTCACTCCTGCCCTAGGGCCTTTGCACTGGCTATTCCTTGTGCTAGGAAAATGTTTATTCTAGATCTTTCCTTGGCTGATCCTTTTATCAAAAATCAATCATTCAGCTCTCTAGTCAAATGTCCCCTCTGCCAACAGGCCTTCCGTGACCACTTTATCTAAATTTGCCCCCTCTCAATCTTCTTGTTCCCCATGCTCCCATTAATTAATTTGCCAAGGCCCTTATCATTACCTGAAATTATCTTACATGGTTGTTTATTTGTTATCCCCTTTAGAGTATAAGCTCCAGGAACTTTGATTATTCACCATCATTTTGGCAACTTGCATAGCCTCTGGCACATAGAGAGGTGCCAATATTTGTTAAATATTTGTGAACTAAATAAATGCGCTAATTAAGCCTCTTACCAAGGGCCTGGCAGACCCCATGCTAAGCACTCCAGAAAACATGATCGTGTTAATTCCTGGCAACATCCTCTGACGGTAGATATTAGTGGTTCTGTTTTCCAGACCAAGACACAGGCTCAGAGTATTTAAATGACTTGGCCAAGGTCCTGTGGCTTAGAGGCACTAGGACCCATATTTGCACCAGGTCTGCTGGATGGCAGAGGCCAGTCTCTGAACCACAGGCATCACTGCTTTGTGCCCTGTGCCAGTCACAGAGGGGACATACAATATCTGCAGGAGGGCAGGGTGTTTGCTATCGGGTCTCAAATAACAAAGTCAGGGTGATCTTTCTGAAACTCAGATCTGATCTTGTCATCCCCCTGTTTAAGATAAATCAGAGGCAGTTAGGATGGAGCCTCTCTGCGTCCACCCCTCAGTTCCTCGGACCGCAGTCTGCAGCACCCTTCTTCCCTCCCTCTCGGCTCCCCTTCAAAGGCACTGTGCTCCCGCCTGCTACAGGGTTTGGCACAAGGGATCAGGCTATGCGGAGTTCTGTCTTGTTCTCTTGGAAACTCCTGCTCTTCCTGCGTGGCTCCAGGGAGGCTCCCTGCCCAAGTGGCAGACTCTCGCAGTGTGACACCGTCACTCTGTAGTCCTCCTGCTGCCTGTTCTTTTCATTGGTTTGCGAGACCCCTTGATGACTGTGTTTGTCTCCTAGGCTATGAGTTTGCTCACTGCTGTCTCCCCCTGAGCCCAGCACAGGCCCTGAAATAGAATGAGGCGCTCAGAGAAATTAACATTGCATGAACGAGTGAACGAATGAATGAATGAACTCTGACTGTGAGCTTTCCTGCCTGCCCTGGGCCACTGACATCTAGGGGGCAGACTCTGGGTCACTGCCTGGAGCCACAGAGCCCAGGCCCGTCCTCCAAGACCCCTGGGACACCCTCTTTCCTGCGGGCCAAGTCCTCAGAGCTGGCCCCACCACTTGCCCGCACACTCACATCCAGGTAGTTCTCCAGGGGCTGTTCATCTACCAGGGTGGGAGCCTCCCACTGGGGGAAGTACTTTCTGGCTGGGTTGAGGTTGTGCTTCTTCAGGAAGTCCTTCAGCAGGCCACGCTCGGACAGGGTGCGCCTCAAGGACTTCTTTCTGATGAGGGGGACCCTGTGGTTTGGAGAAGGAAGAGGAATTAGGCAAGGATTCTGCTGACCGGGTGCTGTGGCAGCCCCAGAAGGGAAGGGAAGCTGGTCTAAGAGAGGAAGAAGGAAGGAAAGGAGACGCCCCCTCTTCTGCCCAACAATGCAAAGAAGTTAAGTTGACTAGTGCTGGAGCTGGGAGCCAAACCCAGGCTGGACTCTTAACCAGCTGATCTAAGAGAGGAAGATGGAAGGAAGGGAGAAGCTCCCACTTCTGCCCCATAATGCAAAGAAGTTAAGCTGACTAGGGCTGGAGCTGGGAACCACAGTCAGGCTGGGCCCGAGTTTTAACCATGTCTGCAGGGCTGCCTCCCAAAAAGGCAGAGAGAGAGGCGGAAAAGGGGGATGGAGACAGCTGAAGAGAGAGAGAAAAAAAAGGGAAGAAGGAAGACACGGGAGGAAAGAAAGGTGATGTGGGAGGCAGCGTCTTCACACCCACACCACCCGGACTCACTTGTACATGATGCACTCAGAGAGCGCCACCAGACCCAGCAGCAGCAGCCACTTCATGGTTCTTCCCGGGTCCCAACTCGAGGGAGAAGGCAAGATGGGAGGAAGGTGCAGAGCAGCAGCATGAGCTGCCCCTTATATACAAGTTGGGTCCCGCCTTATCGGCCTCTGAAAGTCACCGGTTCCCCTGATCCCAAACAGAGAAGCTCCTGATAAGATTGTGGCTGCCCTGAGCCACATTCTGAGACCTTTCCAGCTGAGGCACTTTCCATTGTAACCTTGCACCATGGGGAGGGGGGAGGGTGCCATGGGGGTGGACCCGCAGAGAGAGAGAGGAGCAATGACCGGGAGGCTATTTTCTTTTCTTTTCTTTTTCTTTCTTTTCTTTCTTTCTTTTTTCTTTTTCTTTCTAAGCAATGACCTGGAGGCTTATTTGTTTTCTTTTCCTTTCTTTCCTTTCTTTTCTTTCCTTCCTTTCCTTCTTTCTTTCCCTTTCTTTCTTTTTCTTTCTTTCTTTTCTTTCTTTCTCTTTCTCTCTTTCTCTCTCTCTCTCTCTTTCTTTCTTTCTTTCTTTCTTTTCCTCTCTTTCTCCCTTTCTCCCTTTCTCCATTTCTTTCCTTTCTTTCCTGAGGGAGTTTTGCTCTGTCGCGCCGCCAGAGGCTTATTTCTGAAGCATTGACAAGGGCCTACGTTAAAACTTTACCAGCTGAGCATTTTGACAAAGTTGGTTAAAAGTGCGTTTAACACAGCATTGGAGAGATGTGAAGGAGCCCCAGGTGGCCTGATTTGTCCCAGAGGGCATGCAGCTGGGGTTCTTAGAGAGCAGCCTCCCGACTCAGTCATAGGTGGTACTGGTTGTGGTCACTGCTTATTCACAGCACATTGGGGGGGTCAGTCGTTTGGGACTCAGGACACAATTCCCCACATAAGTGTCATTGTGTGGGGTTGTTGGGCGTCTGACTAGCCTATGGGCCTTGTGGCTTGCTTTTGGTGCAACTGGGCTGAGTCTGGGAAGGAGATGTGCACAGTACACGGGGGAGGAGGGAGACAGCACCGGGAGAATGCTGCCTTCCCTTCCTGGAGGAGGCAAACTTCAGACAGGCCAGGTATGTCTTTGGAATCTGTGTCCCTCCCTTTCTGCACCGCTTCTCTTTCTTTTGCTCCTTTCCCACCCTCTCCACCTTTGAGATCCCACCTGGGTCTGATTTCTCCAGGTGCTCCAGGCTTACAACTGGGTTGAAATCAGCTACAATGGAGCGAAGCAATCTGGGCAAACAATTCATACTCATGGGTGAGTGACTTAGAAAGAGGATGCTTGGCCGGGCGCCGTGGCTCACGCTTGTAATCCCAGTACTTTGGGAGGCTAAGACAGGTGAATCACCTGAGGTTAGGAGTTCAAGACCAGCCTGGCCAACATAGTGAAACCCCGTCTCTACTAAAAGTAGAAAAGTTAGCTGGGCATGGTGGTGGGCGCCTGTAATCCCAGCTACTGGGTAGGCTGAGGCAGGAGAATCACTTGAACCCAGGAGGCAGAGGTTATGAGAGGTGAAGCCGTCTGGGCTTCTGAGTCGATTAGGGACTTGGAGAACTTTCGTGTCTAGCTAAAGGATTGTAAATGCACCAATCAACATTGTGTGTCTAGCTAAAGGCTTGTAAATGCACCAGTCAGCACTCTGTGTCTAGCTGAAGGGTTTGTAAATGCACCAGTAAGCACCAGCTATTACACTCCCCGCGAAGGTCTGCAGCTTCACTCCTGAAGCCAGTGAGAGCACGAACCCACCAGAAGGAAGAAACTCTGGACACATCTGAACATCTGAAGGAACAAACTCCGGACACACCATCTTGAAGAACTGTAACACTGATCGCGAGGGTCCACGGCTTCATTCTTGAAGTCAGTGAGACCAAGAACCCACCGGAAGGAACCAATTCAGGACATAGTTGCAATGAGACGAGATCTTGCCTCTGTACTCCAGCCTGCGTGACAGAGCTAGACTCCGTCTCAAACAAAACAACAACAATAACAAAAAAAAAAAGACAAAAGAAAAAAGAAAGAGGATCCTTACCAACCCAATGGATCCTCCACTTTGTGAGCTTTTATTCAGTGAAGAAAGTAGAGTGAAAACTCTGATGCAGAAATTGCTGGGGAGGAGGACAGGGGAGCGGGGAGGTCACCAGGTAGATAGGAAGCCCTGTCTCAGGGTCTTGTTCTGAAATCGGATCCCCTGGGGCATCCTCAGACTGTCCAGCCATGAGAGCCACAGGTTCTATAAAAGCTCCAAGTTGCCCCCAGTGCCTCCAGGTGAGTATTGAGGAGTGGGCAGTGTGGATAAGTTCAGGGACAGTGGTGGTTGGTAGAAAACACATTGACATTACACACTCCCCAGTTAGTTGAAATCTTTGTGCCCCAAATGTGAATCCTGGGCCCATTTTCTTTTGTTTTCTTTTCTTTTTTTTAACTGTGAATGTTACTCCAGTATGACTAGCCCTTGTATTTTCCACGTTCACGTCCTCTGGTGCCTCCTTCTCTTCCTCTCAAGCTTCTCTCTCTCTCTCTCCCTTTCTTTTTTTTTGAGACAGGGTCTTATTCTGTCACTCAGGGTAGAGCGTAGTGGCATGAACATGGCTTACTGCAGCCTCAACCTCCCACGCTCAATCAGTCCTCTGGCCTCAGGCTCTGAGTAGCTGGGACGAAAGGCATGAGCCACTACACCGAGCTAACTTTTGTATTTTCTGTAGAGACAGGGCTTCACTATGTGGCCCAGGCTGGTTTCGAACTCCTGGGCTCAAGCGATCTTCCTGCCTCAGCTTCTCAAAGTGCTGGGATTACAGTGAACCACACTGCACCTGGCCCTCTCTCTCTTTATGGATACATAATATTTTACATATTTTTTGGGTTCATGTGATATTCTGTTACATGCATAGAAAGAGTAATGATGAAGTCAGGGTATTTGGAGTATCCGTCACCTTAAGTATGGGTTGATCCTAGCACTCATGTGAGGAACCTGATGGTCCTGAAGATGCTGCCTAAGTTCTGGGGGCACCAGATGGAATCCCCTCACTCAAGGCTGCCACCAGATGGAAGGGAGGGAGCTTGGAGCCCAAGGATGGGCACTGATTTTGGGGGCACAGCTTGTCTGGGGCCCACATGGGAATTTTGAGCAGAGGAGAAGTATATTTGGGAAGCAGAAGGAAGATTCCCCAGGCAGAAACGTGCAAGCCCCTTTACACATTCATTCAAATGCCTTATTGTGCACTTGCTGTGTACCGTGCAGGGATGCTCTAGCTGCGGAGGGTACATCCCTGAGCATGGTAGGACTAGGCCGTGCCTTTGGCGCATTTGTGGTCAGTTGAAGGGAAAGCTGGTGTGGAAGGGGCTCTTCCTTTCCACCTGGATGGATATTTGGATCACATTGAGGGGAAGCTCTCAGATTGGTGAAGATGATAATGTTTCTCCACATTAGAGATTTTAGCACCCTGAGGGACGCTGGCATGCTTGCTGACACCAATTCAGGGGTATGGCAGAGAGACTGTAGGATGGCCCCCAATTATTCATGCTGCTGGTGGTCACACCCCTGTATAATCCCCTCCCCTTTTGTGTAGGCAGGACTTGCTTCTAACTAACAGGATACAGCAAAGTAGATGGGATGTCAGTTTTGTGATGACATTATACAGGCTTGTAGCTTGTGTCTTGCTAGCACACTCTCTGTATAGACTCTTCCCCTTGCTGACTCTGATAAAGAAAGCTGCTCTATAAAGAGGCCCAAGAGGAAGGAACGAAGGGTGGCCTCCAGCTGACAGCCAGCAAGGAACTCAGGCTTTCAGTGTGACAATCTGCAAGTAACTGAATCCTGCCAGCAAGCGTGTGAGCATGGAAGCAGATCCTTCTCCAGTCAAGCCTCAGATGAGACCACAGACCAGGCTGACATCCCTGACTGACAGAGGCCTCAGCTGAACCGAGCCTGGATTCCTGACCCACAGAAACTGAGATAGTGAGTCAATGTGAGTTGTTATAAGTCATTCAATGTGTGTTAACTTCTCATCAGCAATAGAAAACAGGACTGGAAACCTTGTTGATAACTCGAAAAGGATCCACCTGATTGCCTCTTGCTCTTCCCTCTTTTGGGACCATTTCAGTGCTCTGCTAGTTGTTTTTCTGCTCAGGTAATGTGAGTGATCTGAAAAGGGGGAAGGTGACATTGTTGGTCAGGTCATCTGCAAATCTCCCACCACACAGCAGTGCTTACATTTGTGTGCCTATTTGTGCTTTTCTGAATGCTTTGAATTATTTTAAAAAAGAATTATTATACTATAACCCCCACTTTTTCGCAAGTGATGTAGCTCAAAGGGGTTAAGTGATCAGTGCAGGTTCACATAACTAAGTAATGACACAGATGGGACCTGAACCTGGGTCTCCGGAGGCTCTGGTCCCTGGCCAGACTATGTGACCATGTACATCCACCTGGTTTCTGTTCATGGGTTAGCGTGTGACAGGAATATTCCATGATGGCTGCAGCCTCCCTCCCAGGTGCACTTGGAGAAGCCATTCCACTCAGCCCCCTTTACTAGAGGAACCCTTGGGATGGAAAAGGGAATCCTGATTCTGCAACCACGTGCTCCCATGGGATCTGATTGTCAGCCAGGGCTGATCCGTGGCTGCCAGCAAGGAAGCCGCAACATCTCATTGTACGAGACTGGCCCGGCAGAAAGATTAGACAGCAACGTTTGCTTTGCCATTAGCCCTGCCTGGCACTCAGTATGGTATTGCCTGGCTTTCAGGGGGACTGGTAGCAGTGTCTCTGATGCAGGGCAGCCCCTGCCAATGGCACAGGTGTTCATAAATGTTCCATGAACCAATCAAATCAAGCAATGGAATGAGATCTAAGGAACCCAATCATGGCAAGGCTGAGATGGAGCACTTAAGCATGATAAGTGTTATCAAGCTGGTGTGATAGGCATTGGGGCAGCTGGTCCCCTAGCAGCTTTCAATCAAGGTCTCACCCCAGGGACATGATCTTCCAACACCAAAGAGAACACTGTGTTTTCCACTCCCCAGTCCCAGACCTGGGCTGCTTCTCCAGAGATGCCTGCAGGTTTTCAAAGCTAAATTGATGATAACTTTTTTGGCTCAAGTATAGAAGTAATACATGATCACTGTAGATTATTTATAGATAAATACAATTTTAAAAATGACTTTTAACCCCACTACCCAGAACTAACCACCACTGGCGTAGTAAATGAATATATTGATTTACTTACAAATATAGGACCACAAGATATGGCACATGTTGTTTTGCAAGCAACCCGCTTTGATGGGCCCAGCTCACTTCTGCTGCGCTACTCTATCTGCAACCTGAACCCGCTTTTAAAAGAAAAATCATGGTTCTGTATTTTACAAGTGATTTTTATAAATCTACATGATCATTTTAAAACTTTTCTCAAAATATGATATGCACACAGAAAGGTGCATATCATAAGAAACAGCTTGATGAATTTTCACAAACCAAGCACACACGTGTAACCACAACCCAGACCCAGCAAAAGAGCATGTCAGGTACCCCTGGAGCCCACCCCAGGCTCTTCCCAGTCACTATCCTAGGGCCAAACCAAGCGTATCACTACTCTGATTTCCAAACAGCAAAGATTCATTTCACCTGTTTTTGTACTTTTGCTAAGCAGTACCACATAACAAGCACTTTAGTTTGCATTGCGCTTCTTTGCTCAAAATCATGTTTAGGAGAGGCATCCACGAATGGCGGTGTGTGGAGTTGTTACTCAGTCATTTTCATTGCTGTGTATTATTCCTCTGCATCAATATACCCGCTATTTTCTCTTTTTCAGTTCATAGGCATTTGGGTAGCTTCCAGTGTGGAGTTCTTAGGAACAGTGCTCTATGAATGTTCTCTTGTATACACATCTTCTTTCTTTTCCTTTTATTTATTTATTAAAAACAATAGAAATGAAGTCTTGGTATGTTGCTCAGGCTGGTCTTGAACTATGGCCCGAAGCAGTCCTGCCGCCTTGGCCTTCCCAAGTGCTGGGGTTACACCATGAGCTACTGTGCCTGGCTGTTTTCTTTTTAATTGACATGTAATAATTGTACATATTTATGGGTACATAAGGATGTTTCTGTACATATAATGTTTAGTGATCAGATCAGAGTAATTAGCATATTTATCATCTTGAACATTTATCATTCCTTTGTTTTTTTTTTGGAGACAGAATCTCGCTGTGTCGCCCAGGCTGAAGTGCAATGGTGCCATCTCGGCTCACTGCAACCTCCACCTCCCGGGTTCGAGAGATTCTCCTGGCTCAGCCTCCCAAGTAGCTGGGAATTACAGACATGTGTCAACACGCCCGGCTCATTTTGTATTTTTTGTGGAGATGAGGTTCCACCATGTTGGCCTGGCTGGTCTCAAACTCCTCACCTCAGGTGATCCACCTGCTTCGGCCTCCCAAAGTGCTGGGATTACAGGCGTGAGGATTATGTGAGCCACCGTGCCTGGCCGGCATATGCATTTTTAATTTTGATAGATACAGCCACATCATGCTTCTTAGGGTGGTGCCAGTTTACACTCCCACCAGCAGCGTGTGGAGTGATCATTTGGGACAGGTGAGGATGGATGGGGCAGGAGACCTGTGAGATTAAAATAACACTCCTGGATGAGTGTGAATGAAAAGGATGGAAGGAGCTGTGCTTCGACCCCAGGGCCCTTCGAGGAGGATGCATGGAGCAGAGGCCTGAGACTGCAGGAAAGGATTGTGAATTCATCTTCTGTTGTGCAGCAACATGAGGAGGATGAAATCAGATATGTTGGCACAGGGCTTTCTGGTCAAATGATCTGTCTGATGAGGAACGTCTTTAGATTGTGACAGGGTTCAGGAATCCCAGGGTGGGAATGGAAGAGGTGCTGGGCGAGAGAGGCTGAGCTGCAGCTGCTGGTGTTGAGATGGGGGAGGAAGGAAGGCTGGGATCAGGTGCAGGAGAACAGATAGGATCCAGGAAGACCTGCCTTCCTATATCCCCGGAGCCTAGCACACTGCCTAGCTTCAAAGTAGGTACATGGGAAATATCAGAAAAATAAATCCAGCAAAGAAGCCAGGACAGGGTGAAATTCCTTCCCAGAAACTTGAGAAATCCACCTGCTTATCCCATGACAGAATATGACGGGGATGGAATGTTGGTGGGGGTGGGAGCTGACCCACCTGTTGTTATTCACATGGCCTTTGTCAAACCATATCCCCACTCTCATACTCTCATCCTATCTGAGATGGTTCCTTTCAAAAAGTCTTCTCTAATCACTCATTCAGCAAATATTTATTGACCTCCTAGTATGTGCCAAGCCCGGCTCTTGCTGCTTGGGCTTCAAACCTAATTAAAACCATCACCATCCCTGTCCTTGTGAATCTTAAACACTGAAATGCATGGTTATAGGTAGTGCCAAGTACCATGAGGGAAAATGTAGGCCCAGGCTCTCTGAGAGAGTGGTGAGGGAGGGCTGATCACTTTTACAGGGAAGTGACATTTTTTTTTTTTTTGAGACGGAGTTTTGCTCTTGTTGCCCAGGCTGGAGTCCAGTGGTGCAATCTCGGCTCACTGCAACATCCACCTCCTGGGTTAAAGCGATTCTCCTGCCTCAGCCTCCTAAATAGCTGGGACTACAGGTGCCCACCACCACACCCAGCTAATTTTTTGTATATTTTTAGTGGATATGGGGTTTCACCATGTTGGCCAGGCTGGTCTCAAATTCCTGACCTCAGTTAATCTGCCCACCTCGGCCTCCCAAAGTGCTGGGATTATAGGCGTGAGCCACCAAGCCTGGCTGAGAAGTGACATTTAAGCCACGTCTGCAGATGCTAGGTGTTAGCTAGTCAAGAAAGAGGGAAAAGCAACCCTGGCAAAGGGAACAGCATGTGCAAAGTCTGGAGGTGGGAAAACACTTGGGCTATTGTGGCCGTGGGAGGCCAGGGTGGAGGGAGCTCGGGGTAACGGGATCAGAGTGAAGCAGGGAAGGTTTGGAGGGAAAGGAGCACACAGGACGTGGGACTATGCCAAAGATTTGCTGTTTTATTCCAACGGCAATGGCAAGAAGGCATTAAGAGTTTAAAGCAAGGAAGGGATGAGATGAAATTTATGTTTCCTAAAGTTTATTCAGCTATGGAAAATGGGCTTGGGAGGGTGAGAGTGACCCTGGGGAGACTGGGTGTTGGAGCTCACCCCCGCCCTTCCTAGAGCCCAGCTCCAGCCTCTGGGCTTGTGTCTTCAGCAGAAAGCCTGGGTCGGCTGTCACCAGAAGCAGGAGCTATGGGAATTTTCCCAGCATGCATGCCGGGGAGCCCAGGGCTGTAATAGACTTACTAGCAAGAGAGAGTCTGAGATGAAGCTCAGCTGAGTTAAAAAGAAACAGATCACTTTGCAGCAGGGCTTGTCAGAGCCTTTGATTGGGAACTGTAGCTGGTGAACCCTGGGGAAGGGCCTAGAATGTAGCATGTTCTATACTTATTCTGAAACTGTGTTTTCCATTGAACATTTTGCTACCAAGCCCAGTCTGAGAAACTGCTCCATTTCCTCTTTGCCTTTCTAGGGCATATATGCTAATGAACATGCTTAATTCTCTGTCTCACAACCTCTGCTCAGGGAAGTGGAAGACCTTTCTCTTTGGTTACAGATGGGGAAAGAGATGGGTTCAGTGTTTTCTGCCTAGGACCTTGGGGAGATTAACTGTTAGTCTTGGTCTTGGTAGCCAGTGAATCACAAGGGCATCCTGGAAGACTGTGGGGTGTCAGCTTCTTCCACTTCTCCTGTCCACGTCTTGCAGACAACTCTGCCCTGTCCTATCTACTTAGGGACATCACCATTAGTGTCTACCTCTCGTGACTCTCCTGATTGCTTTCCTTTCCTCATGATCTCTTTTCTTTTTTTGTTTTTTTTTGAGATGGAGTCTCGCTCTGTCGCCCAGGCTGGAGTGCAGTGGTGCGATCTCAGCTCACTGCAACCTCCGCCTTCCAGGTTCAAGCGATCTCTTGGCTCAGCCTCCTGAGTAGCTGGGATTATAGGTGCGCACCACCACACCCAGCTCATTTTTGTAAATTTATTAGACAGGGTTTCACCATGTTGGCCAGGCTGGTCTCAAACTCCTGACCTCAGGTGACCTGTCCGCCTCAGCCTCCCAAAGTGCTGGGATTACAGGCGTGAGCCACTGTGCCCAGCCTTCTCATGATCTCTTATTGGCTTTGGGAGAAGTAGGAGGTTGACTCCCTCAACTAAGAGCTTCAGTGACCTATTTTTTTCTTTCTGAGCTGGAGTCTCTCTGTGTCGCCCAGGCTGGAGTACAATGGCACGATCTCAGCTCTGTGTCCCTTCTATGAGAAGACAATTAGCCCAGTATTTTGACCCCCAGGTCTTTTTATGATGCTTCCAGCACAACCCCCGAAGCCTCTCTGTCTTCTTGGCTCCATCATGAAGTGTCAGCTGCTGGGGTCACTATGTTGGGTGCCATCCAAATGGATGTGGTCATTTTCATCCCTGCCCTGGTGTTCTAACCCCAGTAATGTGAAGGAAAAAGACCAGCAAAGAGAAGCAGCTCCACAAAACCTGTTTCAGTGGGTTATGTTTTTATTCTACGTTATTGGTAGGACAGGGAACAGGGCCAAGACCTCCACACTCCCCTGGGAAGAACAGTCAGGAGAATTAGATACATCTAAAGTGGGCACAGGACAGAGGCCAGATCTTCCTGGGAGGTGGCTGAAGAGACTTAGGCTTAAGCCACGGGGGCCAGGCCGACCTGGTTGTTTGCCCTGTCGAAGACGGTAAAGTACTGGCGGATGAAGACATCACCCAGGATCCAAAGCTCTCCAGATTCGGTGGGGAGGTTCATGCCCTGGAAGCCACTGATGCAGCTCCCCTCGCTCTGGAGAAAAGGAGAATAAAAGTGGAGCTGGGACACCGATTCAGCCGTGATAGGCGCTGGGTGATAAACATCCAGGGCGCCCTGGTCCAGCTGTAAGGCACGTGCAAGGAGGAGCTTCCTGGCTCAGTGTCCAGGGACTCGGCTGTTCTTGGCCTGGAGTCGGCCTGTAGAAGCCGTCCACTGAACGACTGGTTTCTACGCATTACTGGACATTATCTGGTGTTTCTGGCAGGCACACGAACCCTGACATCAGCATTGGTGCTAAGGGGCTTAGGGAGAATTCAGCTGCTAGGAAGGAGTTTGAAAACCCTGCCGCCATAGCCTTTTCTCATTATTATTCTGATCCGGTCAGAGGCAAACCAGATGAGCTATTAGCCCTCTTGCCTCACTAAGTCACTGGGCTGCGACCTTGTCTGCACATCACCTGGGGAGCTTTGAACCCCCGCAGCCCCATCCCATTGCTCAGGCCTTGCCCTCTCCTAATGTAATCAGAATCAGTGGGGGAGCCCAGGCATCAGTGCTTCTTGTTGAGTAACATGAGTCCACTGGCAAAATTAGTTTTCCACCTGACGTTATGATAACAGAAGGGAAAGAGTTTTCTTGTGGCTCGTATAGCTAAAGATTTGCTACTTGGTAGAGATGGTAGAAGTGTCAGAAGCCCCAGCCTACGGAAATTAGGATTTCCATTTGCCCAACCCTTGGTAGCTCTGATGTGATCAGTCTCACTTGGTTGACCTAACCGCACTCTGAGGGTGGGGAAAGCTGCCATCTCTACTTTTTGGATGAGAAAACTGAGGGTGAGATGAGTTGTAATTTGTTCAGAATCAATGGGCTAGTAATTCAGACCCAGGACTTGGACCCAGGGGTCCAAATAGAATCCTCTTTTCACTCCATTAACCTTTGCTTCACTTGTTCCCTTAGGGGGCTGTATCCGAGTTCTTATTCCTGCATTTGTTTTTAATATATTCTTTTTCTCTGGAGGCTGTCTAGGGCAGATGTTCGTCTGCCTCTGCCTCTTGGCTTCAGCTCGTGGAAGTGTACTTTCCGTCTGCAGAGGGGAACTCTGTGTCCACATTCTGTGTGAACCCCTCTAGTGGATGGTCCAGAGCCTCCTCACCTGCAGGATGTAGGCACTGGGTGGCACGGGGTACTGGACTCCATTGATGGTGAAGACGATGTCGGGCAGGCTGCTGATGGCTGAGCAGCTGACCACCATCTGGAAAGAGTGAGGGTGAGAAAAGTTAGAAGGGTTTCTGTCCCTTCTGCCTGGCACACCCACTACTTGAGTGTAGAACAGAGCAGTCGGGGCTGGACTCACGTCGCCATCTGAGTTCTCGCTGGCTCCGATGTCGCTCTGGATGTTGGCAATGGGGCTGGTTGGGCCGGTCAGCAGAGAGGTGCCGGTGTCAACAATGGCCTGGCAGCCCTCAGCGCAGGCGATGGCCTCTCCGTTCATGGTGATGCTGAGGGCAAGAAGCAAGTTAAGCTCCCTGAGCTCTCAGGGGTACTTCTCTCCAAGGAGGAACTAGGAGGTGAGCCCAGACATTTCTTCCCCACCCATCCATTGGCCAATGCGTGAAATTTCTGTTCCTCTCGTTCACGCACTCATTCGTCCCGCATTCATTTGCCCAACAAATATTTCCCAAGTGCCTACTCTCTGCCAGGCATGGGAAATGCCAAGTGAAACAAGACAGCCTCACAGTTCCAGGCTGCAGGGAGCTCCCTGCCTAGCTGGCAAGATAAGTTATGTTGGCAGAAGGGCAAGATGATCAGTCAGGCATGAGGCAGGGAACAAAAACAGGGTCCAGGGTGAGAGGTGGTGGAGGGGAGCAGCCAGGGGAACAGACACCCTGGAATGCCAGGCAGGTGAAGAGAGAAGGAGGACATCATCAGGGGATGGTATGCGGGGAGGTACAGAGACCAGAGGGCTGGGGCAGGTGTTGGAGGAACTGGTGAAATTCTAGCATGGCTGGGCAGACATGAGGTGATCCATGTGTCCTGGTTTGCCTGGGCTGGTCCCAGTTTTAGTACTGAAAGTCTCTGTCCTGGGAAATTGTTCATTCTTGGGAAAACCCACACCACTGAGCACGCTAGCAGGCTAGCTGGGGAAGAAGAGCGTGGAAATGAAGCTGCAAGGGAGACCGGGGAGGCCCTGAAGGGGAGGGTGGAATGAAGTGACTTCACACAATTTCTTAGCCATTTTGCCCCACTTCTAGACGGAAAGTGACATGTTTCCTCGAGTGGCAGGAGCGTGTGCTGGTTCACCGGCCCCTTAAATTGTCAGATGCGTGGACAGGTGGGTCCCCCAGCTCTCCCCAGGGATGCTGGTGGATGGTCCTGCCTCCGTGACTAGGAGGACAGTGGCTATCTCACCCTTGCAGAGTCTTGGCTTCCTAGACAGCTCTTCCCTCCTCCTGCAGGGAGGTGTCTTTCTAGGGGTCTCTGGCTTGGCCAACTTCCACCTTCCCCCTGGAGTGTGTTCCCCTGTGCCAGCTGTTCCTGGGGGGATTCTGGAAAGCTGATTGGCTATGAATCCATAAGGAAATGGGATCTGGGGCCCAGGCCTGGATGCTGCCCGTTCATGGCAGTCTCACCTGTCCACGGTGATCTGCCAGTAACCCTCGACGGTAACAGGCACCCAGTTCAGACTTCCAGTGTAGTAAGAAGAGTCAATGCCACCAAAGATCACCACGCTGCCACTCTGGTCATCGCTGTGGAAAGTGAGGGGAGAAGACATGAATTTTTTTGTTCGTCCATTTGTGTGACCATCTGCTGTTGCCTCCTCAGGGCTACCCTTGATTGGGCACTTTCTAGGGCTGTCCTGCGGTGTGACTAATGTGGTTTCTTTTCCTCTTAGGCCAGTGCCTATGCAGTGGGCACTGTCACTGTTATTTCCACTTACCATGAGGACACTGAGCCTGAGGGAGGTGAGGCCACCTGCCCAAGGTCATACAGCGGGGGAGTGGTGGAACTACGTTTGGAAGAACACAGGCCTTTTAGGTTGAGTCTGTGGTTTCCATGGTGGTACCCACTCTGGTTGCCATGGGGACCCCAGGGAAGTGAATGCATGACAGTGTCCGCTCTTAAGGACTTGAGGGTGGAGGTCACTGGTTCTTAGCTGGGAGCAGTTTTGCCCCCAGGGGAATGTCTGGAGACATTTTGGATTGTCATGATTGGGTGGGGGTAGGGGATGCTGCCGGCATCTCATGGGTAGAGGCTGGGGATGCTGCCAAACATCCTACAATGCACGGGACAGTCCCTGGCGGCAAGCTCTTATGTTGGTCTGAAATGTTAATAGTGCCCAGATTGAGAAACTCGGATCTGGCTGGGGAGATGCAATGGCCCCACATGAAATATTTAAGTGCTCATAAAGGCAGATGATGTTTCAGAGCCACCTTGAACATTAACTGGCCAAGAAGAATACATGACAAAGAGCCTTCCTGTGGTAAATTGCAGGAGTCCTTGTTATTGCAATATTCATGTTCTAAATTTCTGCAGTTTCAGGTTAGATGAGGAAGCAAATGTAGACAGCAAGAAGAAATTAGTCATCCAGGGCCGGGCACGGTGGCTCACGCCTGTAATCCCAGCACTTTGGGAGGCTGAGGCAGTCAGGTGATCGAGACCATCCTGGCTATCACCATGAAACCCAGTCTTGAATTCCTGACTTCAGGTGATCCTGCTGCCTCAGACTCCCAAAGTGCTGGGATTACAGGCATGAGCCACCACACCTGGCCAAGTGTATTCACTTTAAATGGCATCTTTGCGGGCCAAGGATGAGGGAAGTGGTACTGAGGGGGAAATGGCTGATGACATTTGAGTTGTGCACATCAAGGGGACAAAGATGCTGGTAAAATAAGATGGAGTGCACATGGCCCGTCAGAGACAGACTTGGCACTATTACTCTCCAAAGACACACTTCTCCAGCCTCAGACATTGACTTTCAAATCCCTTGCTTCCCAAGACCCTCTCCATCGCACCCAGCCTTGGACAGCTCCTGCTGGGCAGGAACACTGTGACCTCTGGAGGGGGAGGTGGGAGGAGGCCCCTCTCCACTCAACTTACGCGCTGAGGTAGACAGAGAAGAGGTCCTGAGAAACCAGGCCCTGGTTCCAGATGTTGTCAAAGACGGGTGTGGCCCCGGAGGAGGAAATGCTGGGGTAGGCCAGCCCCAGGATGCCATCGAAGGGAGCATAATACAGGAAGGAGCCAGGTTCCGTCTCGCTCAGGCCGAAGATCTGATTGGTGTCAGAGATGCCTCCAACCTGGGTGGGGAAACCGAGATGATGTTCACCATCGGGTCATGTTCACTGAGCTCTGGATGCCAGCCTCAGGCCCAGAGCCACCCTGGTTCATCTCATGCAGGACTTGGCTTCCAGGGTATCAGCCCGGGAGGAGGGCAGAGGGACTGTCTGCTGGAATGCTGGTTCCTCTGCTGGAGGTAACCATGGCAGCTGATCTCCAGATGGCTACAGTCTATGACTCAGGGTGAGATTTTGCTGGAGAACAGATGGTCACTGTGTGTTTGTGTTTCTGATGAACAAACGCAAAGCAGACCCCAGACCCCAGGCCTTTGACCCCTGCCATGCCCCGAAAGTGGCAGGGAGGGCTTGTGGAGATTTCGTGACTTGGGGTGCTGCATGTCGGGAGAAGAAGGAAGAGGAGGAGGTGCTAGTAGAGAAGTGAGCCTTTACTGACTCTCCCCACACTCCATAACATTCTGCTTGGGTGGAGCTGAGTCTGGGTTATGGCTCCTGGCACCCCACCCTTTTACTCACTGCCACCCGAGCTAGCAATGTCTGTGACATCTCTGCTGCTTCTCCCCCACCCCGCACCCCCAATCAGGTTACTTCTGTGATCACCAAGACTCATCTTGCTGGAATAAGCTTATTTTGGGGGTGCCTGATGGGGGGATGCAGCGGCAGCCTGCAGGTGCCCACCTGGACAGTGTCGTATCCGAGGATGCCTGTCATGCTGCCGGTGCCGTAGGTGATGGAGACTGTCTCGCTGGTGGACTGGTAGGTGGAAGAATCCTCAGGGTTGAAGCGGTTGTGGTTGGCTGCAAGGACAAGCGGTGAGTGTTATTCTCTGAGAGCTGGGTGAAGGTCATGGGCTGGATGTCTTCCTGGGATGGGGTGCCCTGGCCCTGGGACGGGCTCTGGAGGTGAGCAGTGACCTTTCGCCCTAGACCCTTGGAGCCCAAGAGACCCCAGGTTCTGTCCTGTCTCGTTGAACTACTGGGACCATTCACTGGTGGCAGTTTCCCCAGCCAACCCCAAGGGCCTCCTGGAGACCTCCCCAGACCAACATAGAGCGGAGCAGGCCCGTGGCTACCCAGTGACGAGCGCTTTCACCCTCTAGCCCCCAGCCAGTGCTCCCGTTATGATGTGGATGATGCCACAGGCACCTCATCTTCATTAAAACTCCAGTGAAAACACTAGAAGAGGAAGGAACCTGCAACACACATTGTTCATGACTTCCAAAGACAAACTCTCTTTCATTAGCAAACCAATGATTCTTTTTTTTTTTTTAAATGAGCTCAGCACTGACCTCTAGCCTGTCCTAGCCAGGCTTTGAAGCCATTTTCTCACACTGGACTCTTTCCTGGTGGGCTATTCTACAGCCCTTTGGCCCTGTCTTGCTTTGGGCCCCCCATACTTCCTCTCCCAGCCTGTGGTTATTGAGGAGAGCTTCTCTCTGCCCTCAGACTGTGTAGTCTTTGACCGCAGGGATCATATCACTCATCCCTTTACCCCCTGGAGCACCTGAGCCCAGTGCTTGGCACGTAGTAGGTGCTCAATAAATGCCTGTTGAGTGGCTCCAGCAGGCTTGAGGTGGGAACTGTTTGAAGCCCGTGGGTGTCCAGGGTTCCCCAGGGTCGGCTGGTGCTGGGGAGTGAGAGTGGGGTAGGGCGGTCTGGGCACTTACTGCAGGCAAGACTGGAGCAGTAGACTGAGGGCACCCACAGGTTGGAGGAGCCGGTGTCAAAGACGACGGTGAAATCCTGGGCAGGAGTTCCGATGCCGATAGTGCCGAAGTACTCCATCTGTCCAGGCGAGGACAGGGCAGTTCACGGAACGGGGTCTCTCTGTCAGGGCCTCCCTAGGGGCTGTCTCTGGGTCATCTCCTCAGTCTGCCTCTCCATCTTTTCCTTCATTCCTCACAGTTCTTATCTTTCTCTTCCCAGCCACTGTCTTCATCCTTCAAATCCCAGCCCTGGCGTCCCTTCCTCCTTGAAGTCTTCCCTGATTGCTCCCCCAATTTACCCTCTGCTCTCTGTTAAGCACCACAAGCACCTAACAATCTGCTGTTCCCTCTTTAGCCATTGTCTTGTCTGTCACAGTCTTCCCATCCGTACAGCGCATGTTCTCAGAGGATGGCGGTGGAACCTTCTAGCACCGGGCAAGTTACAGCTTAAGTGCTTGTGCCTTAAATTGTTTATCAGAAGCTAAGCAAGCCACTTAAAGATGGAAACCTGTCCAGTTTTCTTATTTCTACGTCTAGATGTGTACAGCAGGTTTTGAGAAAGGGCATTGCCAGAATTTTTATTCTTTTTTTTTGAGACAAGTCTCACTCTGTTGTCCAGGCGGGAGTGCAGTGGCGCGACCTCGGCTCACTGCAGCCTCCTCCTCCTGGGTTCCAGTGATTCTCCTGCCTCAACCTCCCAAGTAGCTGAGATTACAGGTGTGTGCCATCATGCCCGGCAAATTTTTGTATTTTTAGTAGAGACGGGGTTTCACCATGTTGCCGGGCTGGTCTCGAACTCCTGACCTCAAGTGATCCACCCGCCTCCGCCAATCAACCAGTATTTTTCTTGTTAGTGGCAGCATTTTCCCCCTGCCGGCTCTGTTCCCGCCACACTGGTCTGCTTGCTGTTCTTTGGCGATGACCAGTCACTCCTGCCCTAGGGCCTTTGCACTGGCTATTCCTTGTGCTAGGAAAATGTTTATTCTAGATCTTTCCTTGGCTGATCCTTTTATCAAAAATCAATCATTCAGCTCTCTAGTCAAATGTCCCCTCTGCCAACAGGCCTTCCGTGACCACTTTATCTAAATTTGCCCCCTCTCAATCTTTTTGTTCCCCATAGTCCAATTAATTAATTTGTCATGGTCCTCATCATTATCTGAAATTCTCTTACATGGTTGTTTATTTGTCATCCCCTTTAGAGTATAAGCTCCAGGAACTTTGATTATTCACCATCATTTTGGCAACTTGCATAGCCTCTGGCACATAGAGAGGTGCCAATATTTGTTAAATATTTGTGAACTAAATAAATGCGCTAATTAAGCCTCTTACCAAGGGCCTGGCAGACCCCATGCTAAGCACTCCAGAAAACATGATCGTGTTAATTCCTGGCAACATCCTCTGACGGTAGATATTAGTGGTTCTGTTTTCCAGACCAAGACACAGGCTCAGAGTATTTAAATGACTTGGCCAAGGTCCTGTGGCTTAGAGGCACTAGGACCCATATTTGCACCAGGTCTGCTGGATGGCAGAGGCCAGTCTCTGAACCACGGGCATCACTGCTTTGTGCCCTGTGCCCTGTGCCAGTCACAGAGGGGACATACAATATCTGCAGGAGGGCAGGGTGTTTGCTATCGGATCTCAAATAATAAAGTCAGGGTGATCTTTCTGAAACTCAGATCTGATCTTGTCACACCCCTGTTTAAGATAAATCAGAGGCAGTTAGGATGGAGCCTCTCTGCGTCCACCCCTCGGCTCCTCGGACCGCAGTCTGCAGCACCCTTCTTCCCTCCCTCTCGGCTCCCCTTCAAAGGCACTGTGCTCCCGCCTGCTACAGGGTTTGGCACAAGGGATCAGGCTATGCGGAGTTCTGTCTTGTTGTCTTGGAAACTGCCGCTCTTCCTGCGTGGCTCCAGGGAGGCTCCCTGCCCAAGTGGCAGACTCTCGCAGTGTGACACCGTCACTCTGTAGTCCTCCTGCTGCCTGTTCCTTTCATTGCTTTGCGAGACCCCTTGATGACTGTGTTTGTCTCCTAGGCTATGAGTTTGCTCACTGCTGTCTCCCCCTGAGCCCAGCACAGGCCCTGAAATAGAATGAGGCGCTCAGAGAAATTAACATTGCATGAACGAGTGAACGAATGAATGAATGAACTCTGACTGTGAGCTTTCCTGCCTGCCCTGGGCCACTGACATCTAGGGGGCAGACTCTGGGTCACTGCCTGGAGCCACAGAGCCCAGGCCCGTCCTCCAAGACCCCTGGGACACCCTCTTTCCTGCGGGCCAAGTCCTCAGAGCTGGCCCCACCACTTGCCCGCACACTCACATCCAGGTAGTTCTCCAGGGGCTGTTCATCTACCAGGGTGGGAGCCTTCCACTGGGGGAAGTACTTTCTGGCTGGGTTGAGGTTGTGCTTCTTCAGGAAGTCCTTCAGCAGGCCACGCTCGGACAGGGTGCGCCTCAAGGACTTCTTTCTGATGAGGGGGACCCTGTGGTTTGGAGAAGGAAGAGGAATTAGGCAAGGATTCTGCTGACCGGGTGCTGTGGCAGCCCCAGAAGGGAAGGGAAGCTGGTCTAAGAGAGGAAGAAGGAAGGAAAGGAGACGCCCCCTCTTCTGCCCAACAATGCAAAGAAGTTAAGTTGACTAGTGCTGGAGCTGGGAGCCAAACCCAGGCTGGACTCTTAACCAGCTGATCTAAGAGAGGAAGATGGAAGGAAGGGAGAAGCTCCCACTTCTGCCCCATAATGCAAAGAAGTTAAGCTGACTAGGGCTGGAGCTGGGAACCACAGTCAGGCTGGGCCCGAGTTTTAACCATGTCTGCAGGGCTGCCTCCCAAAAAGGCAGAGAGAGAGGCGGAAAAGGGGGATGGAGACAGCTGAATAGAGAGGGAGAAAAAAGGGAAGAAGGAAGACACGGGAGGAAAGAAAGGTGATGTGGGAGGCAGCGTCTTCACACCCACACCACCCGGACTCACTTGTACATGATGCACTCAGAGAGTGCCACCAGACCCAGCAGCAGCAGCCACTTCATGGTTCTTCCCGGGTCCCAACTCGAGGGAGAAGGCAAGACGGGAGGAAGGTGCAGAGCAGCAGCATGAGCTGCCCCTTATATACAAGTTGGGTCCCGCCTTATCGGCCTCTGAAAGTCACCGGTTCCCCTGATCCCAAACAGAGAAGCTCCTGATAAGATTGTGGCTGCCCTAAGCCACATTCTGAGATCTTTCCAGCTGAGGCACTTTCCACTATAACTTTGCACCATGGGGAGGGGGGAGGGTGCCATGGGGATGGACCCGCAGAGAGAGAGAGGAGCAATGACCGGGAGGCTTTTTTCTTTCTTTTTTCTTTTCTTTTTTTTTCTTTCTTTTTCTTTCTAAGCAATGACCTGGAAGCTTATTTGTTTTCTTTTCCTTTGTTTCCTTTCTTTTCTTTCCTTTCTTTCCTTCTTTCTCTTTCTCTCTTTCCTTCCTTCCTTCCCTCCTTCCTTCCTTTCCTTTCTTTCCTTACTTTCCTGACGGAGTTTTGCTCTGTCGCGCCGCCAGAGGCTTATTTCTGAAGCATTGACAAGGGCCTACGTTAAAACTTTACCAGCTGAGCATTTTGACAAAGTTGGTTAAAAGTGCGTTTAACACAGCATTGGAGAGATGTGAAGGAGCCCCAGGTGGCCTGATTTGTCCCAGAGGGCATGCAGCTGGGGTTCTTAGAGAGCAGCCCCCGACTCAGTCATAGGTGGTACTGGTTGTGGTCACTGCTTATTCACAGCACATTGGGGGGTCAGTCGTTTGGGTCTCAGGACACAATTCCCCACATAAGTGTCATTGTGTGGGGTTGTTGGGCGTCTGACTAGCCTATGGGCCTTGTGGCTTGCTTTTGGTGCAACTGGGCTGAGTCTGGGAAGGAGATGTGCACAGTACACGGGGGAGGAGGGAGACAGCACCGGGAGAATGCTGCCTTCCCTTCCTGGAGGAGGCAAACTTCAGACAGGCCAGGTATGTCTTTGGAATCTGTGTCCCTCCCTTTCTGCACCCCTTCTCTTTCTTTTGCTCCTTTCCCACCCTCTCCACCTTTGAGATCCCACCTGGGTCTGATTTCTCCAGGTGCTCCAGGCTTACAACTGGGTTGAAATCAGCTACAATGGAGTGAAGCAATCTGGGCAAACAATTCATACTCATGGGTGAGTGACTTAGAAAGAGGATGCTTGGCCGGGCGCCGTGGCTCACGCTTGTAATCCCAGTACTTTGGGAGGGTGAGGCAGGTGAATCACCTGAGGTTAGGAGTTCAAGACCAGCCTGGCCAACATAGTGAAACCCCGTCTCTACTAAAAGTAGAAAAGTTAGCTGGGCATGGTGGTGGGCGCCTGTAATCCCAGCTACTGGGGAGGCTGAGGCAGGAGAATCGCTTGAACCTGGGAGGCAGAGGTTGTGAGAGGTGAAGCCCTCTGGGCTTCTGAGTCGGGTGGGGACTTGGAGAACTTTTGTGTTTAGCTAAAGGATTGTAAATTCACCAATCAGCACTCTGTGTCTAGCCAAAGGTTTGTAAACACACCAGTCAGCACTCTGTGTCTAGCTAATGGGGTGGGGACTTGGAGAACTTTTGTGTCTGGCTAAAGGATTGTAAATGCACCAAGCAGCACTGTGTCTAGCTGAAGGCTTGTAAATGCACCAATCAGCATTCTGTGTCTAGAGAATCAGGTGGGGAATTGGAGAACTTTTGTGTGTAGCTAAAGGATTGTAAATGCACCAATCAGTTCTCTGTAAAATGGACCAATCAGCAGGATGTGTGTGGCGCCAAATAAGGGACTAAAAGCAAGCCACTGGAGCCAACAGTGGCAACCTGCTCGGGACATCTTCCAGGCTGTGGAAGCTTTGTTCTTTCGCTCTTCACAATAAATCTTGCTGCTACTCACTCCTTGGGTCTGCACTACTGTTATGAGCTGTAACACTCACCGCGAAGGTCTGCAGTTTCATTCCGGAAGCCAGCGAGATCACGAACCCACCGGGAGGAATAAACAACTCTGGACGCGCCACCTTTAAGAGCTGTTACACTCACCGCGAAGGTCTGCAGCTTCACTCCTGAAGCCAGCGAGACCACAAACCAACTGGGAGAAACTCTGGACACATCTGAACATCTGAAGGAACAAACTCCAGACACACCATCTTGAAGAACTGTAACACTCACCGTGAGGGTCGGCGGCTTCATTCTTGAAGTCAGCGAGACCAAGAACCCACCGGGAAGGAACCAATTTGGGACACAGTTGCAATAATCCGTGATCGCGCCACTGCACTCCAGCCTGGGCAACAGAGCTAGACTCCATCTCAAACAAACAAACAAACAAACAAAAAAAAAAAAAAGAAAAAAGAAAGAGGATGCTTACCAACCCAATGGATTGTGAGATTTTATTCAGTGGACAAAGTAGAGTGAAAACCCTGATGCATAAATTGCTGGGGAGGAGGACAGGGGAGCGGGGAGGTCACCAGGTAGATAGGAAGCCCTGTCTCAGGGTCTTGTTCTGAAATCGGATCCCCTGGGGCATCCTCAGACTGTCCAGCCATGAGAGCCACAGGTTCTATAAAAGCTCCAAGTTGCCCCCAGTGCCTCCAGGTGAGTATTGAGGAGTGGGCAGTGTGGATTAGTTCAGGGACAGTGGTGGTTGGTAGAAAACACATTGACATTACAGACTCCCCTGTTAGTTGACATCTTTGTGCCCCAAATGTGAATCCTGGGCCCATTTTCTTTTGTTTTCTTTTCTTTTTTTTTAACTGTGAATCTCACTCCAGTATGACTAGCCCTTGTATTTTCCACGTTCATGTCTTCTGGTGCCTCCTTCTCTTCCTCTTTCTTTCCTCCCTCTCAAGCCTCTCTCTCTGTTTTATGAGACAGGGTCTTATTCTGTCACTCAGGGTAGAGCGTAGTGGGGTGATCATGGCTTACTGCAGCCTCAGCCTCCCACGCTCAATTAGTCCTCTGGCCTCAGGCTCTGAGTAGCTGGGATGAAAGGCATGAGCCACTACACCGAGCTAACTTTTGTATTTTCTGTAGAGACAGGGCTTCACTATGTGGCCCAGGCTGGTTTCGAACTCCTGGGCTCAAGCGATCTTCCTGCCTCAGCTTCTCAAAGTGCTGGGATTACAGTGAACCACACTGCACCTGGCCCTCTCTCTCTTTATGGATACATAATATTTTACATATTTTTTTTGGGTACATGTGATATTCTGTTACAGGCATAGAAAGAGTAATGATGAAGTCAGGGTATTTGGAGTATCCATCACCTAAGTATGGGTTGATCCTAGCACTCATGTGAAGAACCTGATGGTCCTGAAGATGCTGCCTAAGTTCTGGGGGCACCAGATGGAATCCCCTCACTCAAGGCTGCCACCAGATGGAAGGGAGGGAGCTTGGAGCCCAAGGATGGGCACTGATTTTGGGGGCACAGTTTGTCTGGGGCCCACATGGGAATTTTGAGCAGAGAAGTATATTTGGGAAGCAGAAGGAAGATTCCCCAGGCAGAAACCTGCAAGCCCCTTTACACATTCATTCAAATGCCTTATTGTGCACTTGCTGTGTACCGTGCAGGGATGCTCTAGCTGCAGAGGGTACATCCCTGAGCATGGTAGGACTAGGCCGTGCCTTTGGCGCATTTGTGGTCAGTTGAAGGGAAAGCTGGTGTGGAAGGGGCTCTTCCTTTCCACCTGGATGGATATTTGGATCACATTGAGGGGAAGCTCTCAGATTGGTGAAGATGATAATGTTTCTCCACATTAGAGATTTTAGCACCCTGAGGGACGCTGGCATGCTTGCTGACACCAATTCAGGGGTATGGCAGAGAGACTGTAGGATGGCCCCCAATTATTCATGCTGCTGGTGTTCACATCCCTGCGTAATCCCCTCCCCTTTTGTGTAGGCAGGACTTGCTTCTAGCCAACAGGATACAGCAAAGTAGATGGGATGTTGCTTTTGCGATGACATTATACAGGCTTGTAGCTTGTGTCTTGCTAGCACACTGTCTGTATAGACTCTTCCTCTTGCTGGCTCTGATAAAGAAAGCTGCCCTATAAAGAGGCCCAAGGGGAAGGACCCAAGGGTGGCCTCCAGCTGACAGCCAGCAAGGAACTCAGGCCTTCAGTGTGACAATCTACAAGTAACTGAATCCTGCCAGCAAGCGTGTGAGCATGGAAGCAGATCCTTCTCTAGTCAAGCCTCAGATGAGACCACAGACCAGGCTGACATCCCTGACTGACAGAGGCCTCAGCTGTACCGAGCCTGGATTCCTGACCCACAGAAACAGTGAGATAGTGAGTCAGTGTGAGTTGTTGTAAGTCATTCAGTGTGTGTTAACTTGTCATCAGCAATAGAAAGCAGGACTGGAAACCTCTTGAAAACTCCAAAAAGATCCACCTGGTTGCCTCTTGCTCTTCCCTCTTTTGGGACCATTTCAGTGCTCTGCTAGGTGGTTTTCTGCTCAGGCAATATGAGTGATCTGAAAAGGGAGAAGGTGACGTTGTTGGTCAGGTCATCTGCAAACCTCCCTCAACATAGTAGTGCTTACATTTGTGTGCCTATTTGTGCTTTTCTGAATGCTTTGAATTATTTTAAAAAGAATTATTAAACTATTACTCCCACTTTTTCCCAACGGACATAGCTCAGAGGGGTTAAGTGATCAGTGCAGGTTCACATAACTAAGTAATGACACAGATGGGACCTGAACCTGGGTCTCAGGAGGCTCTGGTCCCTGGCCAGACTATGTGACTATGTACATCCACCTGGTTTCTGCTCATGGGTTAGTGTGTGACAGGAACATTCCATGATGGCTGCAGCCTCCATCCCAGGGGCACTTGGAGAAGCCATTCCACTCAGCCCCCTTGACCAGAAGAACCCTTGGGATGGAAAAGGGAATCCTGATTCTGCAACTACGTGCTCCCATGAGATCTGATTTTCAGCCAGGGCTGATCCGTGGCTGCCAGCAAGGAAGCCACATCATCTCATTGTACTAGACTGGCCCGGCTGAAAGATTAGACAACAACGTTTACTTTGCCATTAGCCCTGCCTGGCACTCAGTATGGTATTGCCTGGCTTTCAGGGGCACTGGTAGCAGTGTCTCCGATGCAGGGCAGCCCCTGCCAAGGGCACAGGTGTTCATAAATATTCCATGAACCAATCAAATCAAGCAATGGAATGAGATCTAAGGAACCTAGTCACGGCAAGCCTGAGACAGAGCACTTAAGCATGATAAATGTTATCGAGCTGGTCTGATAGGCATTGGGGCAGCTGGTCCCCTCGCAGTTTTCAATCAAGGTCTCACCCCAGGGACAGGATCTTCCAACACCAAAGAGAACATTGTGTTTTCCACTCCCCAGTCCCAGACCTGGGCTGCTTCTCCAGAGATGCCCGCAGGTTTTAAAAGTTAAATTGATGATAACTTTTTTGGCTCAAGTATAGAAGTAATACATTATCATTGTAGATTATTTATAGGTAAATAAAATTTTTTAAATGACTTTTAACCCCACTACCCAGAACTAACCACCACTGGCGTAGTAAATGAATATATTGATTTACTTACAAATATAGGACCACAAGATATGGCACATGTTTTGCAACCAACCTGTTTTGATAGGCCCAGCTTGCTTCTGCTGCGCTACTTTATTTGCAACCCAAACCCGCTTTTAAAAGAAAAATCATGGTCTTGTATTTTACAAGTGATTTTTATAAATCTACATTATCATTTTAAAACTTTTCTCAAGATATGATATGCACACAGAAAGGTGCATATCGTAAGAAACAGCTTGATGAATTTTCACAAACCAAGCACACGCATGTAACCACAACCCAGACCCAGCAAAAGAGCATGTCAGGTACCCCGGGACCCCACCCCAGGCTCTTCCCAGTCACTATCCTAGGGCCAAACCAAGCGTATCACTACTCTAATTTCCAAACAGCAAAGATTCATTTCCCTGTTTTTGTACTTTTGCTAAGCAGTACCACATAACAAGCACTTTAGTTTGCATTGTGCTTCTTTGCTCAAAATCATGTTTAGGAGAGGCATCCACGAATGGCGGTGTGTGGAGTTGTTACTCAGTCATTTTCATTGCTGTGTATTATTCCTCTGCATCAATATACCTGTTATTTTCTCTTTTTCAGTTCATAGGCATTTGGGAAGCTTCCAGTGTGGAGTTCTTAGGAACAGTGCTCTATGAACGTTCTCTTATATACACATCTTCTTTCTTCTCCTTTTATTTATTTATTAAAAACAATAGAAATGAAGTCTTGGTATGTTGCTCAGGCTGGTCCTGAACCCTTGGCCTCAAGCAGTCCTTCCGCCTTGGCCTTCCCAAGTGCTGGATTTACACCATGAGCTACTGTGCCTAGCTCTTTTCTTTTTAATTGACATGTAATAATTGTACATATTTATGGGTACATAGGGATGTTTCCGTACACATAATGTTTAGTGATCAGATCAGAGTAATTAGCATATTTATCATCTTGAACATTTATCATTCCTTTGTTTTTTTTGGAGGCAGAATCTCGCTCTGTTGCCCAGACTGAAGTGAAATGGTGCCATCTTGGCTCACTGCAAACTCCACCTCCCGGGTTCAAAAGATTCTCCTGACTCAGCCTCCCGAGTAGCTGGGATTACAGGCACCTGCCACCAAGCCTGGCTAATTTTTGCATTTTTAGTGAGACGGGGTTTCACCATGTTGCCAGGCTGGTCTCGAACCCCTGAACTGTTCCTAGGTGATCCACCCGCCTCGGCCTCCCAAAGTGCTGGGATTACAAGTGTGAGCCACCTCGCCTGGCCTTATCATTCCTTTGTTTTGGGAGCATTCAATATCCTCCCTCCAGATATTTCAAACTATAGAACTTACTATTGCTAGTTACAGTCATTCTAATACACATTCTTTTTTTTTTTTTTTTTTTGAGACAGGGTCTTGCTCTGTCACCCAGGCTAGAGTGTAGAAGCACAATTATGGCTCACCACAGCCTTGACCTCCCAGACTCAAGCAATCCTCCCACCTCAGCCTCTCAAGTAGCTGGTACCACAGGTGTGTGCCACCATGCCTGGCTAATTTTTTTTATTTTTGTGTAGACGGGGTCTCCCTGTGTTGCCCAGGCTGGTCTCAAACTCCTGGGCTCAAGTGATCCACCTGCCTTGGCCTCCCAAGGTCCTGGGATTACAGGCGTGAGCCACTGTGCCCGGCTTCTAATACACATCTTTTAGAGAACATATGTATGTGTTTCTGTTGGGTGTATACTCAGAGTGGAGTGTGTCCTTGAGCAGGAAGGGTGCTGGGGTCTATGGTCCAAGCTCTCAAGGGAGAGTCAGGAAGCAGAGAGGAGGCACTGGGGGCAAGAATTTGCCCAAGCCCTGGGAAGGGAGTAAGAGAGCCGGGAATCTCAACCACAGCCTCCCAACACCAAGCTGCTCGGCCCCCAGAAAGGGTTCTGACACCTGCTTTGGGCAAAATACAAGAGAAGGTCTTGGAGGAGGCAGTGACAGAAATTCGGTACTGGGCAGAGCAAGGGTTAACTGGAAGCAAAAAAGAAAATGTTTGGAAACTGGGAGTGGGCTGGGGGCAGATGGAGGGAGGATGGAGCTATTAAGCAGGAGCTGGAAAATTCCTGGGAACTGGGGCATGACCAGGAAGTTGGCCTGCAGTCTCCAGGCGGGCATGGGGAGATTCTGGGCCAGCCTCCCCAGCCCCTCACAGCCCTGCTCTCCCTCAGAGCACCTGCCTTGAGCTGCGCCTGCCCAGAGCCCCAGTGTAAACCCACTGAAACTGGTGGCCTGGGGTGTGAACCCCTCTTGGGGACAGAGGTTAAGGTCCCCTGATAGTGCGTCCTGCCCCCGACAGCCGCAGCTCTTTTGTCCTCGGTATCTCAAATACCACGTTACTCCCAGGTGTGCACAGCTCTGGACCTGGCCTCCTCAGCCTTTTCTGATCCAATCTGTCCCCATCTACGCCCTGTTCCTTCTAAGGGGTGACCTGAATCCTGGTTTCTGACCTGTGACTCTGCCACCATTGGTGCCAGGGGCAGTAGGCTGGGGGTGTGGCCAGAGGGTATTTAAAGCACCTGTCCTGGGCCTCCTGCTCCAGATGGGAGAGCCAGGGAGCCCAGCTGCCTGCTCCTCCAAAGGACCTGCAGCAGCAGCTTTGAGGGTCTTCGTGCCTTAGCCTGGGGTGGGCGGCAAGGCAGCAGATTCAAGCAGAAGGCTCTGACGTCTTCTTACAGCCTACTCCCTGGCCAAACTGGCCATGCTTATGAGCGCTTTGCCTTGTTCATCTTCTCGTTCATTCACTCATTCATACATTCCACATGCCAGGCAGTAGGCTTGATAGAGATGAATCAGCCATGAGTTTTGTCCTCAGTGGGTTTACATCTGAGTGAGAGAAGTAAGACCCATACCTCAGTCACTGTAATAAAAAGCAGAAAACAGTAGAAATTATTAACTAGGGCAGACACTAAGAAGGGTATAAAAGGGACAGAGTGCTAGTCATTCAAGAAAAGGAGCTTACTTCCAAGGGACATATGGGAGGCCATCGTGGAGGAGGAGGCATTTAAACTGTCTTAGTATCTGGAGGCTGAAATCAGTCCAGGAGTGTGTTCCTCCTTCCTAGGGGAGCATCTCATTTTTACAAAGATCTGGACCTGGGGCAGTGTAGATGTTGAGTGAATGGTTGAGCATTAAGCATCCAGGCTGACTGTCAGGTATGAAGTTTTCATTGCTAGAAAAGGTAGAGAGGAGGGCTGGGCATGGTGGCTCATGCGTGTGATCCCAGCACTTTGGGAGGCCGAGGCGGGCGGATCATGAGGTCAGGAGTTCAAGACCAGCCTGACCAACATGGTAAAACCCCGTCTCTACTAAAAATACAAAAATTATCCAGGCATGGTGGCGCGTGCCTGTAATCCCAGCTACTCAGAGGGCTGAGGCAGGAGAATCGCTTGAACTCGGAAGGCAGAGGTTGCAGTGAGCTGAGATTGCAGCATTGCACTCCAGCCTGGGCAACAGAGCGAGACTTTATCTAAAAAAAAAAAAAAAAAGAAAGAAAGAAAAAAAAAAAAAAAAGGAAAGGTAGAGGAGGCTTCTGGGCCTGGCTGGAGGCTCCAAAACCACGCCACTGTGGAGGAGGAACACAAGCCTCCTGTTTTCGACCTCAGCAAGGGGTGTGCCTGTGTAATCCACGGTGGAGCCTGGAGCCTGCTCCTGTGTCCCAGTCCACGCTCCGGGATGGGCTCAGGTAAAGCTGTAGGCAGGCCCCGGCCAATGCGTCCTCCGGGGGTGGGGGATGTGGGGCTCAGGTGGGAGGTGTCACAGTTCCCAGTTTCAATGCTGAGAGCTGTGACCTGGGCTGGAACAGCTTGCCTTCCTGCCCTCCTGCCCTGGGCGGTCTGAATTCTCCCACTGGGCTACATCCTCCCCTGCCTCTGAGCCTTGGCACAAGCTGTTCCCTTTGAAAGCGTTTCTCTGTCATTACCTAGAGTGTCAGAATCCTTGTGGAAACAGGTGGCCCACCTAGAGGTTTGAAGAGATTTAGTGAGGGGGTGGGCAAGGGTAAAGGACCCCAAAAGCGATGAGGAGGCACCGGGAGCCAGCAGCAGTGGAAAATCAAAAGGAGCGCAGGGAGGGACTAGCACTGCCAGGACCCAGCTCGAGCTGGGGCTGAAGGTGGAGGGTACTGGAGCCTGGGGGTCAGTCTCTCCGCCTCGGAGCAAGGCAGATCCCGGTGGAAGGCAGGAGAGAGGAGGAGGGGGAGGGCCCTTGCTAATGCTCTCCTTCAGACCCTGCTCCCCCGTACCTTCCTCCCATGTCCTGCTGCCGCCTTGCCCCCCAGCACCCAGCAGATGGTGCGTGACCACCTGCAGTCGACCCTGTGCTCAAGGGGAGGGGCGGGGTCTTATCCTTTTCCTCTGGCACCCACCCCAGTCTGGCACAGAGCCCAGAGATATCAGTATGTAAAAATGGCAAGGAGAGCCGGGCACGGAGGCTCATCCTGTAATCCCAGCACTTTGGGAGGCCAAGGTGGGTGGATTGCTTCAGTCCAGGAGTTCGAGACCAGCCTGGCCAACATGGTGAAACTCTGTTTCTACTAAAAATAGAAAAAATTAGCCAGGCATGGTGGCACACGCCTGTAGTCCCAGCTACTCAGAAGGCTGAGGTGGAGAATCACCTGAGCCCAGAAGGTTGAGACTGCAGTGAGCCATAACTGTGTCACTGCACTCCAGCCTGGGCGACCCGAGTGAAACCCTGTTTCAACAACAACAAAAGAAAATATTTTAAATCTACAGAAAAAGTGCCAGAATAGTGCAACAAATTCCCATATATTTGGGAGGCTGAGGAGGGCAGATCACCTGAGGTCAGGAGTTAGAGACCAGCCTGGCCAACATGGCAAAACCCCATCTCTACTAAAAATACAAAAAAATTAGCCGGGCGTGGTGGTGCATGCTTGTGATCCCAGCTACTAGGGAGGCTGAGGTGGGAGAATGGCTTGAACCTGGGAGGTGGACGTGGCAGTGAGCCAAGATGGCACCACTGCACTCCAGCCTGGGTGACTGAGCGAAACTCCCTCTCCAAAACAAACAAACAAACAAACAAACAAACAAACACCTCCCACAAATTCCCATATATATTTCACTCAGATTCATTATTATTATTATAATTGCTTTTAGATTCACGTATTGACATTTTACTGAATTTATTCTCTTTGTCTCTCTCTCCATACACATGCATACATGCATATTATTATTATTTTGGCTGAATGATTTGAGTCAATTGCAGACATCATGATCCTTTGCTCCTAAATCTTTAGTGTGTGTTTCTAAGGACATTTGCTTACGTGGATGATGTCAAAATGACCACAGGCAGTAAGTCTTACATTGATACGATACTATTATCTAATACACAGCACATATTCAGATTTCACCAGTTGTCCTAAAATTGTCCTTTTTTGTGATTTTTAATTTTCTGTTCCACAACTCAATCCAGGATCGCACATTCTTTTGGGTTCCAGGTCTCCCAGGTGTCCTTTGATCTTGAACAGTCCCTCCCTCTGCCTTTTTCATTCATCACGTTGACACTTTTGAAGAGTATAGGCCAGTTGTTTTGCAGAATGTCCCTCAACTAGGGTTTGTTTGATGTATTCTTTCTTTATTATTATTATTTTTTGAGACTGAGTCTTGCTCTGTTGCCCAGGCTGGAGTGTAATGGCGCAATCTTGGCTCACTGCAACCTCTGCCTCCCCAGTTCAAGCAATTCTCATGCCTCAGCGACCCCAGTCGCTAGGATTACAGGTGCACACCACCACGCCCGGCTAATTTTTTAATTTTTATTTATTTATTTATTTATTCATTTATAGAGATGGAGTTTCACTATTGTCGCCCAGGCTGGAGTGCAATGGAGTGATCTCGGCTCACTGCAACCTCCACCTCCCAGGTTCAAGCAGCTAATTTTTGTATTTTTAGTAGAGACGGGGTTTCACCATATTGTCCAGGCTGGTCTGCCACTCCTGACCTCAGGTGATCTGCCCGCCTCGGCCTCCCAAAGTGCTAGGATTATAGGTGTGAGCCACCGCACCCAGCCTAATTTTTGTATTTTTAGCAGAGCCAGAGTTTCTCCATGTTGGTCAGGCTGGTCTCAAACTCCTGACCTCAAGTGATCTGCCCACCTCAGCCTCCCAAAGTGTTGGGATTATGGGCATGAGCCACCGCACCCGGCCTAGGGGTGACTTTCTAATTCTATCATTTCTTTTACATTTTACATTTTTAATTGGCATTCTTTGGTAAGGAAAAGCTTTTCTTCTTCCTATTTATTTACCTATCTGTTTGTATTTCTTGATCAGTGTGGTGTCATAGATTCCTGCTTTGGT